>NC_000020.11:43284415-43587446 GCF_000001405.40 Homo sapiens | reverse complement strand
GGTCTACAAACTCCTGACCTCGGCCTCCCAAAGTGCTGGGATTACAGGTGTGAGCCAGCACGCCCAGCCGAAACGAACCACTTTTCCACTGAAGTAAGGAAGCACAATCCATCCCACAAGTGCAGGGTGTTCTGAATTTATGAGGTGTTACCGCTCACGTTCTGTCCGATCAGAATTATCTTTAGAAATGACTAATCTTGGCTGGGTGCGGTGGCTCACGCCTGTAATCCCAGCACTTTGGGAGGCCGAGGTGGGCGGATCATCTGAGGTCGGGAGTTGGAGACCAGCCTCACCAACATGGAGAAACCCTGTCTCTACTAAAAATACAAAATTAGCCAGGCCTGGTGGCGCATTCCTGTAATCCCAGCTACTCAGGAGGCTGAGGCAGGAGAGTTGCTTGAACCTGGGAGGCGAAGGTTGCGGTGAGTCGAGATCGTGCCACTGCACTCCAGCCTGGGCAACAAGAGCAAAACTCAGTCTCAAAAAAAAAAAAAAAAAAAAGACTAATCTTGAACATATGGAGCTCCATGGTGGACAGGAAGCTCTAGGCATCAAGTCTGCAGCAGCCTCCAGCTCTGTCCAGCTCTGAGCTCCCCAATGTGCGGTGGAGCACGGCATGAACCTGGCAGCCAGGCTCAGACCAGGAGCGGCATCCCGTTCAATGTCTCCTCTTCAATACCCCATTTCTTATACTTGGCTTGTTCCAGCCAACTTTTGACTTAGCTCCTCACTAGAGATTTTGGCAGTCATTCTGCCTGGACCTAATAGCCAGGGTGAGAAGCAGATCAGCACAAAAGTTCAATGTGAGAGCCCTGGAGCCAGCTTGTAGGGCTCCAAGTCCCAGCTCTGGCCCTCATTAGCTATGTGACCTTCAGGCAAGGAACAGCTTCTCTGACTCTGCATCTTCATTGGTAAAAAGGGGACAGTAATAATTCCTACCTCAGGGTTGTTTGGATGGAAAATTTGTAACAGACATGGAAGAGTCTAGTACAGCAACTAGCCAAGCATAAGCAGGCGATCTAAAGCTAACTTTGGCCAATTAAGCAAAAAAGGAGTGTGTTAAAAAGGATCAGAAATTCTCAGATCATTTGGAAAGCTAGACAAGACTTGAGGCTTGGGCGGGTGCAGTGGCTCGCACCTGTAATACCCGCACTTTGGGAGGCTGAGGCGGGAGGATCACTTGAGGTCAGGAGTTCGAGAACAGCCTGGCCAAAATAGCAAAACCCTGTCTCTGCTAAGAATACAAACCATTAGCCAGGTGTGATGGCGCGTGCCTATAGTTCCACCTACTCAGGACGCTGAGGCAGGAGAATTGCTTGAACCCAGGAGGCGGAGGTTGCAGTGGGCTGAGATAGCACCACTACACTCCAACCTGGGCGACAGAGCAAGACTGTCTTAAAAAAAAAAAAAACACTTGAGGCTTCCAGGAATGACATTGCAGGGCTGGTCTGATGGCGTTGCTGCCACTGAGCACCAACTGCTACAGTTTGCATCCTTGTCACTTCTACACCAGGAACTCAATTTTGCGGGTACTGTTATCACAGTTACCACACAAAAGAGCGCTCCCGATCCCTTCCCTGAGTCAAAATGTGGCACAGGTTTATCCCTGGTCCCCATGCCTGGCCCTAGCTAAGGGGAGGCTGGGAAAGTCAGTGTCTAGCATTTTCAGGTACTCTTAAGTGGAGGTAGTTATTGCCCCCCCATGAAGTCTCATAAAATAGGGGGTTCTCTGGAGACAAGAAGGGGTTCAGATACCAGGCACCCAGACCCAATAACAAATGTCCAGTATTACCCACAACAAAGACAAATATCATCAACATAGAACAATAAGAGATATTGATACCCTATGAGCTTGTTACATCTCTGTCATTTTACACATTGAGATCAAAATCCAAACACCAGGAGGCCCTCTGGTAAAAGAGTGCTGGCTGCCTACCCAACATTCTCCCCTAATGTCTTAGTGTCAGAACCCCTTTGTTATTAGGGATAGTCACGTACCCAGCAAATAAGCCACATCTCCCAGCCTCCATTCCAGGTAGGGGTGGGTGGTTAGTGAGATGGAAGCAGAAGTCATTGGGTGGAGCTTTTGGGAAAGCTCTTTAAAAGCGCCCTTTGCTCTTCTCCCCTTTCCTCCATTTTCCCTTCCCTAAACACAAAATAGGCAGCTAGAGCTCCAGTAACCATCTTGTAGCAAACCTAACATTGGAAGCCATTTGTCAAGGTTGGCAGGGCAGAGATACAGCCTCTGAGTATCTGATGACCTGTCCTGCCAGTCCTGGACTCCGAAACATTATTTTTCTTTTATGTGCTGGAAAAAATAAACCTGCTTCTCGTTGAAGCCATTGTTAGTTTGAGTCGCTCTTCCTAGCAGCTGAAGGTAATTCCTTACTAATACCAGCTGGCCTCAGTAGTTTCACAGGTCCTTCTCTTCTAGCAATCCAAGATGTCATCATCCTCTGGCGCATAAGAAAATCCCAGGAATGCACTTGAGGCCCCAGAGCTGCTGGCCACAGTGTCAGGGGTACAGCCAATGGACTTGGACACAGCTTCCTGGGTGAACTCTGGGTCAAAATGCTTCAAGTCAGCAGGTCCTGTCTGTCAATAAAAGCCAATGATGAGAAGAAAACACCGGGGTCAGAGCTGCCAAAGGAGCCCAGATCCTCAGAGAGGGATGTCAGGCCTCTGTGAGTGCCCCATGCTTCACAGTCATCCATACTTGACTGTCACTTTCCTGTGCATTTACATTGATCATTTGATTCCTCTCACCCCCTGGTATTCTGCCTCCACACCAATCGTCAGGCAAGTCAGTTAATCAACATAACACTTACTGAATGCCTACCAGGTACTGTTCGTGGCGCTGGGAACACAGGAGAACAAGATAAAGTGAGCCCCTGCATTCATGGAGCTTACATTGTGTGGGGGGTAGGAGGATTGATAATAAGCATATGTACAAATAGGTAACTTAGGATGGTGATAGGTCCTATGAAGAAGAGAAAATAGGGTGATATGGTGGAGATTGACTGGGGCTGCTTTAGCTATTTTGGAGGAAGACCTGTGAGGGAGATTACAAAAATGTTCACAAATTCTCCATTTCCCATCTAGAGGTGGAGTCTATTTCTCCATTCCTTTAATGTAAGTTAGCCATATGACTTGGTTAGGCCAATGGGACATTACCAAATATGACACAAGCAGAGGCTTGAAAATTGCACATCAGGAGTTGCTCTCTTGCTGTACTTCTAACCCTGATGCCACCATGTGAACAGCCCCAGACTAGCCTGCTGGAGCATGAGAGGCTCATGAAGAACTCAGTTGCCCTGGCTGCCTGCCAACTCCCAGGCATGGGAGTGAGGCAATTCTAGATCAACAACTGCCAACTGTCCCGCTAGCTGACCACAGATATGAGAGAGCTCCACAGAGACCAGCTGGCCTGACTCAGACTTAAAAAAAAACACATAGAATCCGAACAAAATAATTTTTTTTAAGAGACAAGGTCTTTTTTGCCCATCACCCAGGCTGGAGTGCACTGGCATGATCACAGCTCACTATAGCTTCGACATCCCAGGCTCAAGCGAGCCTCCCACCTCAGCCTCCTGAGTAGCTGGGCATGCAGCACCACACCTGGCTAATTTTCTATTTTTCTATAAAGATGGGGGTCTCGCCATGTTGACCAGGCTGGTCTTGAACTCCTGGCCTCAAGCAATGCTAATAGCTCGGCCTCATAAAGTGCTGGGGTTACAGATATGAACTACCATGCCCAGCCAAAAGATTGTTGTTTTAAGCCACCTAGCTTTGGAGTTGCTTGTTATACACCAAGAGCTAACCAATACAGTCTCTCTGTGGAGGAGGCCTGGGTTTTATGAAGTAAGCAGGTGAGGAAGGGGAAGGGCTTGCAAATCTGCTTTAGTGTGCAAGTCGGGCTATGGAGCCAAACAGATCACAGTTTCTAGCTTCTCAATAAGGCTACAAGACAAGGTAGTCCCAGCCCAGCACTCAGAGTTCCAAGATCAGAATGTGCATCCTGGCCCTTATTAGTTGTGTGACTGTAGAAGAAAATGATACTAAAGAGACTTACTGAAGACCTCACAAATGGTAGGTGACAAAACCAGGAATCCAGCTCCGGAGTGTCTCATTCTAAAGTCCATTCATCTCTGCCTAGTATTCCATGTATGGTTCTCTCTCCAGGGTATAAGTTCGACATTATCTTCACTGTCTTTTTAAAATCCCAACGAAAAGAAGCTTTTCTGGTGCCTGGCCCGAGTGTATCCTATCTGATCCAGTGCCCAAAGACAAGTTCATGAATAGGTAATTAAACAAATGAGAAATGTAAATGGTGAATTAACATTGGCAGTGTTTGATATGCAGGCTGTTTCGATGGAAGGGGCTTGGCACCATGCTTTACAGGTAGACCACACAGCTTCACACGCCCACCTCCAATAGGACTCCTTTCATTCACACTGCCACTACCAATTAACATTGCAAAACTAGCACTTTGGGAGGCCAAGGCAGGCAGATCACTTGAGGTCAGGAGTTCAAGACCAGCCTGGCCAACATGGTGAAATTCCGTCTCTACTAAAAATACAACAACAAAAAAATTAGCCAAGCATGGTGCTGAGCGCCTGTAGTCCCAGCTACTCGGGAGGCTGGGGCATGAGAATTGCTTGAACCTGGAGAGGCAGAGGTTGCAGTGAGCTGAGATCGTGCCACTGCACTCCAGCCTGGGCAACAGAGCAAGACTCTATCTCAAAAATATAAAAATAAAAGCCAGGCGCGATGGCTCATGCCTGTAATCCCAGCACTTTGGGAGGCTGTGGTGGGTAGATCACTTGAGGTCAGGAGTTCAAGACCAGCCTGGCCAACATAGTAAAACCCCATCTCTACTAAAAATACAAAAATTAGCCAGGTGTGGTGGCATATGCCTGTAGTCCCAGCCACTCGGGAGGCTGAGGCAGGAGAATTGCTTGAACCAAGAAGACAGAGGTTGCCATGAGCTGAGATCGTGCCACTGCACTCCAGCCTGGGCAACAAAGTGAGACTCCACCTCAATAAAATAAAATAAAATAAAAATAAAAATAAAAATGAAAATAAAAACTGGCCAGGTGTGGTGGCTCACACCTGTTATCCCAGCACTTTGGGAAGCTGAGGGGGTGGATCACTTGAGCCCAGGAGTTCAAGATCAGCCTGGGCTACATAGAAAAACATCATCTGTACAAAAAATACAAATTAGCTAGGTGTGGTGGCACCCACCTCCCAACTACTCAGGAGGCTGAGGTACTCAGGAGGCTGAGGTAGGAGGATGGCTTGACCCCAGGAGGTGGAGGTTGCAATAGGCAGAGATCATGCCACTGCACATCAGCCTGGGTGATAGAGTGAGACCCTGTCTCAAAAAATAAATAAATTTAAAAAACTAACCATCTTTACTATAAGACAAAGAAATATAAATTAAAACAATTAAGAGATGCTGTTTTTTACTTACCAAATTTGCAAAGTAAAAAACAATAACCACACATGCTTCAGAGTGCAAGCAAGATGAGAACTCTCCAGCAAGTGCCGCTGGTAGGAAGTAGATGGTTCTCCCTTCCACACAGTGAAAAGGTGGTGTGAATCAACAACCTAAAAATGGCCAGGTGCGGTGGCTCACGCCTGTAATCCCAGCACTTTGGGAGGCCAAGGCGAGTGGATCACTCGGGGCCAGGAGTTCGAGACCAGCCTGGCCAATATGGTGAAACCCCGTTTCTACTGAAAATGCAAAAATTAGCCAGGCGTGGTGGCGCATGCCTATAATCACAGCTACTCGGGAGGCTGAGACATGAGAATTGCTTGAACCTGAGATCGTGCCACTGCACTCCAACATGGGCGATCGAACGAGACTCTGTCTCAAAAAAATAAATAAATAAAATAAAAATAAAAAAAGAATCTAAAAAACATTAGCATTGGGAATTCCCCATATGGAATCCATCTTAAAGAAATGACCAGAATTCTGGGCAAAGACATATACTTAAAGCTGTTCATCAGCACATCATGATAAAGAAAAAACATAGTAACAACCATAAGATTGCCATTAGGAACATGGGTAAGTAAATTATGTTACCAACATAAGATGGAAATATTATGCAGCCACTAAAAATTGTATTTATAAAATTTTTTATGACATGAGGAAATTATAACATAGTTTTTAGCCAAAAAAGGAGGAAGATAATATAGATGAATAAACACACACACACATATAGATACTATAAAGTAGGACCTAATTAGGTTAAAAACAAAACAAAACAGGCCAGGCACGGTGGCTCACGCCTGTAATCCCAGCACTTTGGGAGGCCGAGGCGGGCGGATCACGAGGTCAGGAGATCGAGACCATCCTGGCTAACATGGTGAAACCCCATCTCTGCTAAAAATACAAAAAATTAGCCGGGCATGGTGGTGGGCGCCTGTAGTCCCAGCTACTCAGGAGGCTGAGGCAGAAGAATGGCATGAACCCAGGAGGCAGAGCTTACAGTGAGCCGAGATTGTGCCACTGCACTCCAGCCTGGGCAACAGAGTGAGACTCCATCTCAAGAAAAAAAACAAAACAAAACAAACAAAAAAAAACACATAGAAAAGTGACTGGAAGGAAATATGCCAGTGGTTTCCCTTAAGTAGTGAGATAATAAGCATTTCGCCACTGCTACTTTAAACTTTTCTGTTTTACATACATTCCCTTTTTTTTTTTTTTTTTTTTTGAGATGAAGTCTCCCTCTGTTGCCTACGCTGGAGTGCAATGGCATGATCTTGGCTCACTGTGACCCTTGCCTCCCAGGTTCAAGCTATTCTCCCACCTCAGCCTCCCGAGTAGCAGGGATTACAGGTGTGCACCACCATGTCTGGCTAATTTTTGTATTTTTAGTAAAGATGGGGTTTCACTATGTTGGCTACACTGGTCTTAAACTCCTGACCTCAAGTGATCTACCCGCCTCAGCCTCCCAAAGTGCTGATACTACAGTCGTGAGCCACTGTGCCTGGCCAGTGTTTTACATACTTTTTATAAGGATATATGTCATTTTTATTATCAGGAAAAAGTCTATAAATAGAAAAGGATAAAATATCTCTAAAGGGCTTGGCCCTATGTGGGTGTGCTGTGCGAAACAGAGCACTTCACAAACTGTAAAAGTCTCTGCAGCCAGAGTTATTTATTGGTGCTCAAGACAAAGGAGCAGCAACATGGCTGTTTATCCAAGAGCTGCACCTGTAGTCAGGCCCAGTTCTGTCTCTAACTGACTGTGTAGCCTAGGACAAATGACTGAGCTTCTTGGACCCCCAAGTTTTCCATCTAGATAAGGAGAGTTGGCAAGCATAGCAAGCTCCCCCAGCCCCGGAAATCCAGAGTCTAGAATGCTGTGACCTCTTACCACATTTGGGTTGAAGGGTGGAGTTAGCCTCTTGTGGTACAGGTCATCCCAGTTTATGGGGCTGAAGAATACATGGTTCTTAATCTCAAGCTGCAGGAAGTGCAGAAAAAAGGTTCTGGTTAGAAGTAGCCCTCCCCATGGGTGCTCTCACCTCACCCCCACATCCTCCAGAGCTCCACAAGCAACTGGCTGTCAACTGGAAATTAACTTGCAGTTCTGGCTAGTTTCCTGGGACAAGAGAGTTTTGCAGCCAAGCCTCTCCCATCATCCAGAATCCAAACCCTTCTCCCCACTACAGCATCTGTTTATTCCAAAACTATTTACTGAGCATCTTCTCTGGGCACCGACCCTTTGCTAGGCTTTGGGGGTGTCAGTGAATAATACATCAGAATCTGCTCTGGGGGTGGGGGAGTACCAGTGGGAGCTTGGAGACCCCTCCCCTCACTCTGCTTCAGTACATCTTGAGTTTTCCAGTATGCAAACCAGAGAAGTAGACTAAATCAATTCACTAGGGAAGGTTTGAAAAATAAAGCCCCCAAGAAGACCTTCAGATTCCCAGACACCCAGATTTTAGGACTCAGCCCTGGTCATGATTCACCACCTTTCCTAATCAAAATCAACATTGGCACCAACTTCTTTCCATCACATCCTCTATCTGTGTTTCTCAAATAATTATTCTCCACCTCCCTATATCAGGAACCCCAGTGGGCTGGTTAACAACCCAGATCCAAAATATCTCCGTAAGAGGCTGGGTGCAGTGGCTCACGCTGGTAGTGCCAGCACTTTGGGAGGTCAAGGCAGGTGAATCACCTGAGGTCAGGAGTTCATGACCAACCTGGTCAACATGGTTGACCTCGTCTCTACAAAAATAGAAAAATTAGCCAGGCGTGGTGGTGTGTGCCTGTAATCCTAGCTACTTGGGAGGCTGAGGCAGGAGAATCACTTGAACCCGGGAGGCAGAGGTTGCAGTGAGCCGAGATCATGCCACTGCACTCCAGCCTGGGCAACAGAGCAAGACTCTGTCTCAAAAAAAAAAAAAAAAAAAAAAAAGCCTCCGAAAGAATGCCCAAGAAATTGGTAACATTGGTTGCCTCTGAATTGAGGAACTGGGTGGCTGGAAGGACTTTTTCTAGATACTCTTTTGTACCCTTTGAATTTTGATCTATGTGAATGTATAACTTATTTTAAGAGTCATACATATTTTTTTAAGATACAAATTTTTGCTTGGAACAGGAGACATCTTCACGGAAGCCCCTATTCTTTAAGCTGGCCAGGAATAGGCAGCAGATGCCCTAACTGTTGTTACGATTTACAGTAACTGGAATGTAAAGCTTTTGGTACACTTAAAAAGCACTTATTGTGTGCCAGACACTGCTGAGAGTACTTTGCATACATTAATACTAATCCATTTGATCTTCAAAACAGCTGTGTTAGGTGCTGTTATTACAATGGGGAAACTGCGGCTCACAGAAATTAAGCAACATGTCCAAGGTCCTGTAACTAGTAAGCAGTGAAGGAGGGATCTGCTGAACCCAGGTAGTTTGCCTCATAGTCCATTCATCTTTTTTTTTTGGAGATAGAGTCTCACTCTGTTGCCGAGGCTGGAGTACAGTGGTGCCCATCTCAGCTCACTGCAACCTCCACCCACCCCCAGGTTCAAGCAATTCTTGTGTCTCAGCCTCCTGAGTAGCTGGGATTACAGGCACCCACCACCACACCTGGATAATTTTTGTACTTTTAGTAGAGACCGGGTTTCGCCATGTTGGCCAGGTTGATCTCAAACTCCTGACCTCAGGTGATCCGCCCGCCTTGGCCTCCCAAAGTGGTGGGATTACAGATGTGAGCCACTGCACCTGGCCTAGTCCATTCATCTTAACCACTATGTTAGAAAAGAAAGCAAACTCCTGGTGAGAAAATATTGCGGCCTTCTTTTTGTAAATCCAAATTACCTTGTGTTGAATAAAAAAAGTAGGATTATTTTTAAAGTGCCACTTTAATGAATGAATATAATGAATTTGCTAAGAATGGACTATGAATCATTTATCCCTATATCCCATTTGCCCAGCCTGGGGTCTGGCAAGGAAGAAGTACTCAGATATTTGTAAAAAGCAAGTGCTGGCTGGGCGCAGTGGCTCATGCCTGTAATCCTAGCACTTTGGGAGGCTGAGGCGGGCAGATCACTTGAGGTCAGGCGTTCGAGACCAGCCTGTCCAACATAGTGAAACCCCGTCTCTACTAAAAAAATACAAAATTAGCCAGGCATGGTGGCGGGTGCCTGTAGTCCCAGCTACTCAGTAGGCTGAGGCATTAGAATTGCTTGAACCTGGGAGATGGAGGTTGCAGTGAGTTGAGATCGTGCCACTGCACTCCAGCCTGGGTGACAGAGCGAGACTCAGTCTCAAAAAAAAAAAAAGGCCAAGCATGGTAGCTCACTCCTGTAATCCCAGCACTTTGGGAGGCCAAGGTGGGCGGATCACAAGGTCAAAAGATCGAGACCATCTGGCCAACTTGGTGAAACCCCGTCTCTACTAAAAATACAAAAATTAGCTGGGCGTGGTGGCGGGTGCCTGTAGTCCCAGCTACTTGGGAGGCTGAGGCAGGAGAATCGCTTGAACTCGGGAGGAGGAGGTTGCAGTGAGATGAGATTGCACCACTGCACTCCAGCCTGGCAACAGAGCAAGACTCTGTCTCGGAAAAAAAAAAAAAAAAAAAAAGCAGATGCAGTGCAGTCCACTCTCCGCAAAGAAGCCCGAGGAATCTTCTAAAAACTTAAATCAGGTCATGCCAGACCTCTGCTCAAAACACCCTAAAACTGGCCACTCTCCTCCTTGTTCCCATAGCAGGACTTCTGCACATGCTGTGCCTTGTGTCTGGGGAGCCTTTGCCCAGCTGTCTTCATGGCTGCCTCTTTCTCATCCGTCAAGCCTCAGCTTAATTGTCACCTCCTCAGAGAGAACTCCCTGATCATGCCGCTATTAATTTGCCCCCCCTCCCATTATTGTCTATCTCAGCTCATTATTCATTTTCTTCCTGACACTTGTCATACCTTGTGATAATTGTATATAATGTTTGGGTTTTTTGCCTGCCCCCAATCCCAAACTTTTTTTGTTTTTGTTTTTGAGGTGGAGTTTTGCTCTTGTTGCCCTGCCTGGAGTGCAATGGCACGATCTCAGATCACTGCAACCTCCGCCTCCCAGGTTCAAGTGGTTCTCCTGCCTCAGCCTACTAAGTAGCCAGGATTACAGGTGCCCAACACCATGCCCAGCTAATTTTTGGTATTTTTAGTAGAGACAGGGTTTACACCATGTTGGCCAGGCTGGTCTCGAACTTCTGACTTCAGGTGATCCACCCGTTCTGGCCTCCCAAAGTGCTGGGATTACAGGCGTGTATGCCGCACCCGGCCCCCACCCCAAACTTAATAAGGGCAGAGACCCAGCCTATTGAATCCCTAACACCTAGCTCAATACCTGGCACATAGTTGGTGCTTAGTAAATATTGATTGACTAAGAGAACTAGACTGGAGAAAGTAGTCAGCTAGTAGCAGTAGTGAATTTCCAAATGAACAAGTGAGCAGTGCCTGGTTTTAGAAGGCAGCAGGATGCGTGTTAATGTGCTTCTGAGCTGCCTCTGCAGGAAGCTGCGAGCCCCATGGGGGCCAGTGCTCCACTGGTAGGTCACCTACAAAGTCTGCTTTGGAGCCCAGCCGCTGCCTCTGGTCCTTGTGGAGAAGGCTTTGCAGGAGGTCACAGGCGGCCACTGTCCGGCCTCCGGGGATCTGTAGCGGCTGGTGCAGAATGTTCTCATACATCTGGGATACATCTTGGCTGTAGAAGGGCGGCTGGGGAGAGAGGGAGAACAGCTGGAGGATCACCCATGCAAAGTGAACACAGGCTCGGGGAGACTTGGAGCAAGGTGGGCGGCTGGGAGGATTCAGTATGACCCCTGTCTTGTGCAATGGCTCGCATGGCAGACTGGAAAGAGACAGGACTCCAGGCTTCCGGCACATGGAGAGAGTTGCTAGGAAGGTCAGAAGTCTCTTCCCACCAGCGTGAGGCCCATCTCTTTTCATCTAGCTTATGCACCAACTTTGCATTTGGCAACATTTGCACTTTCACCTTAATCATTTCACCCCAGCCTCATAACCATCCTCCAAGAGAGTTGTAATTTTTCAGGTAAGAAAACAAGGCTCAGAGCAATTATGTGGCACAGTTAGGAAGACAGCCAGGCCCCAAACCATATCCAGGGTCCCCTTCTCTTTCTTACTATTCTTCCTCCCACACCTCTTCCAGCTGTTCCTTCCCCTTAATCCACAGAGCCTGTTCCTTCCTAGGGACCAAGCTATGCTGGTGAAACCACTTCAAAGCAAAGCATGGCCTAGGGCAAATCTACACATGCCTCTACCTAAGCAGGCAGCCTAGGACTGGGGTCAGGGGTTGGCTCCACAACCTATCAGGACTGTGATCTCTCTTGGTCTCAATTTCCCTATCAGCAAAATATGAATAACTCCATTTCCTGCTGTGTCAGCCTCCAAAGGCTATTTTGAGGCACCCAAGGTGAGACAGTGTGTTGTAAACTAACTTTTTTTTTTTTTTTTTTTGAGACAGAGTCTCCCTCCGTCACCCAGACTGGATATGCGGTGGTGCGACCGCGGTTCACTGCAGCCCCTGCCTCCCAAGTTCAAGTGATTCTCCTTGCCTTAGCCTGCCGAATAACTGGGATTACAGGTGCCCGCCACCACGCCCAGCTAATTTTTGTATTTTTAGTAGAGATGGTGTTTCATCATGTTAGCCAGGCTGGTCTTGAACTCCTGACCTCAGGTGATCCACCTGCCTTAGCCTCCCAAAGTTCTGGGATTATGGGTGTGAGCCACCGCCCCTGGCCTAAACTAACATTATTGAAAAAAATAATAATTTGCATATTCACCTTGGCGTTATCTTTTTTAGTCTGGAATGAAGAGATGGCTTGCTCATTTTCCTGGACAGAGCTTGTGTAGACCACATGAGAGACAGACCCATCCCTAGCCAGATGGCCCTTGTAGATGGCTACCCCTGACTCACCAGGCCATGGAGCATCTCGTAGAGGACTGCCCCCAAGCACCACCAGTCCACTGCTCGATCATAAGGCTCTTTCCGAAGCACTTCAGGTGCCAAGTACTGTTAGAAGGAAACACACTTATTTGAAATAAGTCGTTAAGCCTCAGTTGCCCCAGCTGTAAATAAGGCACTTGGAGGAAGATGACCAAGAGCTGACCCTGCTGTACGTGTGCTCTGTGGCTGTGTGTGTGTTCATGCATCAGTCATTCAGCAAAGGCCTGCTTTCTGCAGGGCCCTTTGCCATGGGTTGGGGATGTAGAAGAGGTCAGCCAGGACTGCTTTGTGCAATTTACATGGTGTGTACCACACAAAAGCACCAGCCAAAAGGGTAAAGGGGGCTGCACTCATGGCTGTAATCCACTCACCAAGCCGCAACACTAGTTCAAAGGTATTATCCGGCAACTTTATTTTTGTTTCAAGGGGTGCTTTTTCTAATTAGTCTGCCCGGAGGGGATGCCTTTTTCTATTTTTGCAAAGGCATTCAACTGGCTATCCGTGTCCTGGGAACGGAAGGCCCCGGGAGTACTCTCACAGGGCAGTGTGGAGACTAATGTGAGTGTAAGTAAAAGTACATGTGGCATATCCTTGTGCTGGAAACCCTAGGGTCAGACGAGAGGGTCAGGAAGGAGGGGGTGACCCCTGAGCTATTGATAAATAAATGTACACCATGTCTCTATGCCTTGCATGAGGAAGAGAACCTGGGAACAAAAAAAAGAGGCTTACTGACTTCTTAGCCTGGTGTCTCTGCCACCGAGTCGGGGGCAAGGTCTCAGCAACAGGAAAAGCTGCTCTGAGAGACTGTGTGGGGTCTAGGGAAGGGCAGAGTCACACAGACCTGAGCCGTGGTTGGTACGTGGTCTCAGGCAGGGCATTTAACCTCTCAGACCCTGGTTTTTTCATCCTAAAAATGTGAAGATACCAAATCCCTGCTAGAAGCTGTTCTAAGATGCTAACATATGTGCTGGCCCTCAAACAATGGGAGCAACCATGGCTACTCTTGCCTGTGCCCCCCAACACCATGGCAGTGGCTGAGTCGTGGTAAAGGTGATGTGTTGGGGCCACATGTCTCCTACATGAGCTGGGGTTCCATATCCTTTGTTCCCGTCCCTAGCAACGTCCAAGGAAGGGATGGCTGGACTGTCAGGCTTTGGGGCGCTGGCTTTATCCAGCAAACACCACCCACCATACCCAAACACAGACCATGGCTCCTGCTCAGAGAGTTCATCCGACCATCAGCTACCCTAGAACTAAAGTGAGGAGGCCATTAGATCTAAGACCCAGCTTTTCAAGCATATGGAGAAAAAGAGAGCAGCTGAGGTCCTGTCTCATGCCAGGTGGGGAGGAGTCTCCCAGTCTGTAGCCTCAGCCCTCCAACCCTCACCCTGACGTCTGTCTAGCCACTGGGGACCCCTTCAGGTCCAAGGTCCAAGGTCCAAGACTGGTGGGAGTTCAAATAAAGTTTTTTTTTTTTTTTTTTTTGAGACAGAGTCTCGCTCTTGTCCACCAGGCTGGAGTGCAATGACCCGATCTCGGCTCACTGCAACCTCTGCCTCCCAGGTTCAAGCGATTCTCCTGCCTCAGCCTCCTGAGTAGCTGGGATTACAGGTGCCTGCCAGCACACCTGGCTAATTTTTGTATTTTTAGTAGAGACGGGGTTTCGCCATGTTGGCCAGGCTGGTGTCGAACTCCTGACCTCAGGTGATCTGCCTGCCTCGGCCTACCAAAGTGTTGAGATTACAGGCGTGAGCCACCACGCCTGGCCCAAAGAAAGGTTTTAACTTCAGGGCTGCAGAGAGACCTTGGCAGGACATATAGACATGTCTGAATGACTGCTGAGATCTGCAAATTGTAACCCTCCAGGCTCTTGGCAGCTGGAAGATGGACACGGACCTGTGGTTTACACTTGCCAGCCCAGGTCTTAACACTCAGGCCAGGCCCTCTTGTTGCACGTGGCCTTCACCCTGCAGATCAGTAGTGTACAATATAGCAGCCACTGGCTGCACGTGGCTATCGAACACTTCAAATGTGGCTGCTCCAAATTGAGATGGGCTGTAAGTGTTAAAATTCATGCCAGATTTTCAAGACTTAGTTAGAAAAAAAAAAGGAATAAAATATTTCAACCAGTTTTATATTGATGGTATGTTGAAATGAGAATATTGGATATATTGGGTTAAATAAAATACATCATTAAAATTAATTTCACCTGTTACTTTCTTACTTTTTAAATGTGGCTGCTGGAAGTTTTTAAAGTGTTTATGTGGTTTGAATTTCTTTCTTTTTTCTTTTTTTTTGAGATGGAGTTTCACTCTTGTTGCCCAGGCTGGAGTGCAGTGGCACAGTCTTGGCTCACTGCAACCTCTGCCTCCTGTATTCAAGCGATTCTCCTGCCTCAGCCTCCCGAGTAGCTGGGACTATAGGTGCCCGTCACCGTGCCCAGCTAATTTTTTGTATTTTTAGTAGAGATGGGGTTTCACCATGTTACCCAGGCTGGTCTCAAACTCCTGACCTCAGGTGATCTGCCCACCTCAGCCTCCCAAAGTGCTGGGATTACAGGCGTGAGCCACTGTGCCCAGCCTGCGTTTCTATTTCTATTTCTACTGGATAGCACTGCAGTAGAGCTTCACCAGCAGCTAGCTGGCTGGGTCTCAGCAGTCCTAGAGCTGGTACCCCCATTACATAGATGAGGAAACCACAGTTCAGTGTATAGCCCACTCAGGAGAAGTGTTTGGGTCAAAGGAGTGAGTCCCCTTCACTGTAACCTGTTGGCTCTAATCAGGAGCTGTGGCCTCACCCACTCATGACCTCCCCTCTCCTGGGATGTTTACGCTTACCTCAGGGGTACCACAGAATGTGGATGTGGTGTCTTCAGGCTCTACACCTTCCTTGCAGAGGCCAAAATCCGTCAGCACCACGTGTCCCTGAGAATGACGGAGGGCATGGGCTGGAGGGTGGTATGAGCCAAGGGTATGGCCAGGCCTAACCCCCAAAGCCCAGATGCCACACCCCAGGGCAGCAGCTGTGGGATCTGATGCCCAGGCACAGGCTGGAGGCTCCACTCCAACACAGGGCTCCTGGACTGGATGTCAGGAGCAGCACAGGGGGCCGGGTGGGCATTCCACTGTTTGCCCACAGCTCATCACAAACTCAGACCCACCCCTACGACAGTGGCAGCTTGTGGACAGAAAACCCCTAGACAGAGGCTGGGGACTCAGAAAGCAATCACACCTTGTGGCAGCTGGGCAGGAAGGTAGAATGAGTAGATACTGTGGGGTTCTGCCTGGATCCCTCTTCTGAAACCAGGCTACAGAAGAACCATGCCTATCCCCATCCCCCTGCTGCTAGAACATTGCCCGCACCCAAAGTTATGCCCCGTCCCTAGGAGCAATCCATGTCCAGGGGCACAAAGGCCCATCCTCTTTGTCTCATTTTGGGACAATCCTAGAGACCCACCCCAGCTCAGGCCCTCCCCCTGCCGGCAAGATCAGCTGAGGCCCCACTGGTAACTACAATGCAGGTGAGCTTCTTCCTTTGCCCAATCCTGTTTTTTTACCCCTTTAAAAGTGTTATCTCTTGAGAATGTTCCCCAATAAAGCTTCTGCCTCCTCTCCATCTCAGAGTCTGTTTCCATGGAGCCCAGTCTAAGACAAACTCCACCAGCCTCCACCTGGCTCCACCCCTGCCCCCTATGTACATGCATGCACACATATACATGTACAGTCTCATGTGCACATATGTATGTGTGTACATGTGCATGGGCACACACACATATGCTCAAATGCCTCCTCTACCTATATGCATACATGTACAATGCATGCACACCCATGTACACAGACTCATGGTCAGATAGTGTACCTGTGCAACCACATACACACACACACACACACACACACACACACACACACACCAACCTGGCAGTCCAAGAGAATGTTCTCTGGTTTCAGATCCCTGCAGAAAATAAGAGAAAACAGCCTTGAGGTGTCTCAGCCATTTAGTGAGGAGAGTTGGAGACCTGGGCGGGGGGTGGTCCTGGCAGGAGAACTATTCATGGAGGTTGCCAGAGATGCAGAAGGAGAGCCCAGAAAGGCTGGGCACTTGGACCTCGGAGGAGGAGACTCCAACCCCACCCAAAACAAAGGACCAAGTCCACCAGGATTTCATCAGGATTTAGTGTCCACACAACCCCTAGCTGTTGGAGCAAGAAGGGCTTGGTCCTGGCTCTGAGCCACAGGCAGGCCTCACCTGTAAATGATGTTGAGGGAGTGCAGGTAGCCAATGGCGCTGGCCACCTCAGCAGCGTAGAACCTGGCCCGGGGCTCCAGGAACCGGCGCTCCCGCTGCAGGTGGAAGAAGAGCTGGAGGGGAGGAGGAGTGTGACAGGAGTTATTGGGTGGCTGCTGTAGGGCTAGGGTGCACCTGCTCCCCGCCCTGTGCGGCTGCGAGCTCACTCCCTCTCTGACCTGCAGCATTCTTCCTACCAAAAGAGTGCATGCTGGCCCCTGCCCCACACAGCAGTCCCGGGTGTCCAAAGAGTCAGCAGAAGAAGAGATGAGTTAGCATTGCTTAAGCACCTCCTGTGTTCCAGGTTCCAAGTCAGGCCCTTCCACATCTCTTATTTAATCCTCATGACAACCTTCAAGGTACAAGTGTCATGCTAGTTTCATGTAAGAGGAAGCTAGGAGGGGTCAGAATGGTTAGGCGACTTGCCCAAGGTCATGTAGCTTATAATTGGCAGAGCTGGCATTTGAACCTGCGTGGTTCAAAGATTATGCTTTTCCATCAATCCAGGCGATATGATGATACGGCTGTCAGACTGAGCTCAGGTTAGATCCACCCATGGGCCAATGTTTTTGGACTATTTTGCTGGCATGGAAAGCCCTTCACTTAGGGATGCAGGACAAAAACCCCCCTCTTAGCATCATTCTGAAAGGCAAGAGATCACGCAGGTTAAATCTGGGGTCACTGACTGGAGCTCCACTACATTTTGCATCTTGACCAGAGAGACAGAGTGAAGCCCAGGAGGGAGCTCTGCTTGTCCCAGCTGTGCTTCTGGGTCACCAGGTGGCCTTGAGGTCTCTGTTTACCACAGTGACCAGTCAATCCCACCCTGTGGCCTATGGGAGCACTAGAAACCTTGACCACGAGCTCCTCTTAGCATTGACCTTTCCCGGGCCTATCAAAGTGCGTCTATGGGCAACTCTGAATGAGGAAGGCAAGAAAGCATTATGGTGGGGAGTCTAACAGACCTGAATTCAAGTCCTGACTCTACCAGGTATGCGCTGGGTGGCCTTGAGCAAATGATTACCTCCCTGAACCTCAGTTTCTTTAGCTACAAAATGGGTCTATTGTAAGATGAAGTGAGATCATTCCAGAACTTGGCATGCAGTGGGCATGTGGGATGGACAGCTCCCAGCCGAGAGCCAGCCCAGGGAAGCCTCCCTGTGGGCCCACCCACCTCTCCCCCGTTGACATAGTCGAGCACGAAGTAGAGCTTCTCAGGTGTCTGGAAGGAGTAGCGCAGGCCCACGAGGAAGGGGTGCCGCACGTTCTTCAGAAGCACACTGCGCTCTGCCATGATGTGGCTCTGCTGTGGAGTCACAAAGAGAGGGGTCCATGTCACAGCCCACAACAGCCTCTTTTATCCCGGCTCAGCCCATATAAGCTTGTGGGTGGGGGTCATCCTACCCAGGACTTTCTCATGCCCCTGCTCAAACACCCACAATGGCTCCCTATTGCCCTTAGAGCCAGGCCCAAGTTCCTTCCTTAGTATTCAGGGCTCAGGGTGGTCAGCCTCATCCTAAGCTAGTTCATGTGGGCACAGCTCTAGCCCCTGTATCAGAGCTTCTTGCCCTTGGAGTGAAAAGCAAAGCATGTGTGATGCCTACATAACTGAGTTCCTAAGGGAAAGAAGCCACACACTATCCATATTCATGTATTTGCTCATGCTATTTCCTCTTCCTGGATGTCGCACCCTCTTTTCAGACCATCAGAATCCCACCATCAAGGCCAGCTGCACCGCTGCCTCCCTCAGGAAGACCTCCCATTCCACCCCCCACGGAGACCTTGTTAACATTAATCTCTCTTTTCTCTGAGTCCCCCAACCTCCTATGCAATCCTCTCTCTGGGCCTGCTCTGGCCTACTAATGGAGTCAGGTGTTAAAGGAACTCAGGTCAGCTGAGGCATCAAGAAATCCATGATGGGGCTGAGTGTGGTAGCTCATGCCTGTAATCCCAGCACTTTGGGAGGCTGAGGCCAGCGGATCTCTTGAGGCCAGGAGCCTGACCAACATGGCAAAACCCCATCTCTACTAAAAATACAAAAATTAGCCAGGAGTGGTGGCGGGTGCCTTTAGTCTCAGCTACTGGGGAGGCTGAGGCATGAGATCACTTGAACTCAGGAGGCGGAGGTTGCAGTGAGCTGAGATGGTGCCATTGCACTCCAGCCTGGGTGACAGAGCAAGACTCTGTCTCAACAACAAAAAAAGAAGTCCATGATGTGCTGTGCATGTAGCTCATGCCTCTAACCCCAGCACTTTGGGAGGCTGAGGCGGGAGGATTGCTTAAGCCCAGGAGTTTGAGGCTGCAGTGAGCTGTGATTGCACTACTGCACTCCAGCCATATGGCCTGATGGCATGAAGGGTCTTCAGAGAGAATAAAGTGGGGCTCCACATTATACAGATGGGGAGCCTGGCACTTGGAGCAGGCAGAAGACTTGTCCATCGTGGAGCCTGTGTTTCCCAGGGGAAGGCAAAGCCAGGCTGGTTTTCCTGAAAGCCCTGTGGTGAGATGGCTTGGCCTGCTTTCTTTGAGAAGGGCCAGCATCCTGCGTACCACCTCCCCTCTACCCTTTGTTGTGACCACTTCTGCACCCAGGCCCATGGACCTGTCAGAGGTGGGACCCATCTTTGAAAGCCACCCTAGGCTGCGGCTTGAGAAGCAGAAGAAGAAATGCCTGTGCCCGAGCTCTGGTACCTCTTTCTTCTTTAAGATGGACTTTTTCTGTAGTACCTTCACTGCATAGAACGCCCCATCAGACTTGCGCTTGGCCAGTAGGACCTGAGAAGAAACATGAATTTGAGGCCCTGTAGGTGACTTTGGACTTCCCAACAGCAGTACAAGGCCTCCCGCCTGCCCCTGCTTTTGTCTGCAGGTGCGAGTGCTCTCTCTTCATACATACAAGTGGCAGCAGGGGCTGGAAGAGGCTGCAGAAGGGAAGACCCAGGCTTCCCACCCTCACCAAGTCACTCACCTTCCCGTAGTTCCCTTTGCCGATGACTTTGAGGAAGTCGAAGTCCGTGGGCTGGGCACTGGGGGAAGAGGGAAAAACACGGATCAGCATTTGCAATGTCTGGAAACCTGGTGCCTGAGAACAAACCTGGGCTTCTTTTTAACTTTAGAATGGGGAAATACAGAGAGCCTTCCAGGAGCCATGCCTCCTCACCCCCGAAGAACCCCATGTTCTCCCAGCCGAAAGAGGGCTTGTAAGATTCACCCTGGCCCCAGGGGAACTCAAATTCAAGTTAAACAACAGGCAGAGGGTAGAGATAAAACCAGACATACTGCACAGAAGGCCTGCATAGAAGGCAGGGTTCTGGTACCCAAAGCCCCTCAGAAGGGCCTGAAGTGTGGGGAGTTGCTAACAATGCAGACATTTAGGTGGCATTGCAGGAAGAGGGTTCAGCATGGGCAGAGGCTGGGGAATTTGTGGGAGATAGAGCTGGGGAAAGGTCCTGGGCCCAGATGGCAGACAGTCTTGAATGCTAGACCAGAGAATCTGGATTTTATTCCCAAGGCAAGGGGAGCCAGGTATGAGGGGAGTCAAGTAGGAAAGGTGCTTGAGGGACCAGAACTCACTTTGGGTTGGCTGAAGGCCCCAGGTTGATGTTCCCATTGGCCCTGGAGGGCTAAAGAAAGAAGTGATTATGATCAGCAGATCCCTACTCCTTGGCTACCTCCCTTTCTCCTGGCCCAGGCCCTGATCCCTTCTCCAACAACTCTACTAGGCCTGCCTGCCTTTTTCTTTTCTTTTTTTTTCACCTGCCCGCCTGCCCGCCTCCCTCCCTCCCTCCCTCCTTCTACCCACCCACAAATCCACTTATCCACCATCTTACCCACTTCTCAAAACAGCCTTGGGAGGCAGCTGGCTGTTGTGCTAATTGAATAGGCGAGGAAACTGAGGCCCAGAGAGGAGTTGCCCAGGGTCTCACAGGCAACCAGGTTGGGATACGACCCAGGTGTCTCCATGACAAATCTCATGATTTTTCCAGTTCATCTTGAAGCCCTATTTCAAATCTCTACTCTATTCACCCTGCAAGTGGCTCATTTCTATGTGCTCGCAGTAACCCTCTCAGCCCCTGACATTGTCTGGGACCCACAGATTTCCTTAGCCTCGGGAAGAAGTGAGCCCCCGATGATGGGTGGGGGACCAAGAACCACTCACCTGTGGACTTGGGGTCCCAGCTGGGCTAGAGTTCATTCTGTAGCAATGATCAGGCAGCTCTGGGGGGACAGGGAGGAGCAGGCATGAGAGAGTTGGTGTTGGGGGGTCAGCTCCGCCCATCCAGGGCTTCAGGCACCACTGCCCTCTCCATCCTCCCCTACCTGTGCACCTGCCACCGCCTGAGGGTTTCCTACCCGAGGTAAGCAACCCCTGCATGGATGGAACAAGAAATGATATCCCCTGGACCCAGACTTCCTAACAAACATCTCAGAAGGGATAAAGGGGGATGGTCAGGGTGTGGCCCCTCCCAGGCTGATTCTTTTCAAGAACTGGGGACACCCAGGGCAACAAGACCCCTGTGAGCCAGGGTAGCTCCAGAAGTCCAAGATGGCCAGGGCTGGAAGGATCTTTTCAGGGCATAAAGTCTGAACCCATCCCCCATTTCACAGATGGAAGGCCTGTGGCCTAAAAAAGGACCTTCCTAGGGCCACATAGCCTTGTGAAGCACAGGCTGGGCTCTCCGGACTCCCATAGAGGAACAATGGCAACCCTGAATTACTGTGCGCAGTCCCAGCTGGGCTCTGTGCTACGATCTCCTTGCCACAAGGAATTCTGCCCAATGCCTCAGGAAAGGCAGCTGCCCTGGAAGCCTTGGGCTGGGGCCACAGAGAGACCCAAGACTGGCCAATATCTATTCGGGGCCAAACAACAGAAGGTGTGACCAGCTGATCTATGTGGCCAGGAATAGTGTCTTCCTTGCTTCCACCCTGCAGGGGAGACGGGGCCAGGGTGCCCAGGCCCTGCCACAGATTGCTTGGGGCCCCACAGTCTCATCCTTGCTTGGCAAAGGCTGAGAGCAGAGATCTCACCTGAAAGCCCAGTTGCCGCGCATCTCAAGACCTTAGTCTTGGCCCACTGTGGGGCCTGGGCTGCAGCCCAGCCTCTCTGAGTAGAGATTTCCTATCTTTACAAGGGGGGGTCCTGGAGGCACCAACCTCATGGCCTTCTTGGGAACAGAGAAAGTGAAGGGGAACTGAGAGGATCCCCCAGCCCAGGCTTCCCTGAGAGGCCCAGCCCTGCCAAGCCTTAAGAGCAAGCTGCAGAACTGCTAAGGAAGCGCAGCCTGCCCCTAGCCAATGCCAGACGTGTGTGCTCCTGCAAACGGCCCACAACACTGCCACACCCTCTCCTGGGCTGACCCCAGTGGCCCTTTGGCCAGGACCCGGCCTCCCTGGTCCCACATACCTGCGAGTCTGAGGAGAGGCCTCTAGGAGAACCAGCAGTTGGAACCGAAGACAGGCAGTGGACAAGAGAGCCTCTCTCTGTTCTCCCAACAAGGGCCTAAGTGTCTGTGCCTGGTGCCGGCCTGGCCCCAGCACAGAGCTCACAGCTCCCGGCAGCCGCGAGGGGGCTAGCTGATGTCACGCGGGATCCGGCAGAGCTTAAGATGGGACTGGAGACTTCTGTTCCCTGGGGAACACCATCTCACCCTAGCGGGGACGGTGGGAGGGGTGGGCAATAGCCCCAGGGCAGCCCTGGAGACCCTCAGGGCTTGTTAGACTGTTTGGGTCAGGGTATGTGCAGCATGGTGTGTACTGTGTGAGTGTTTTGTGCATAGAGTGCTTCCGTGTGTGTCTGTCTGTGGCTGTGTATTTCAGGTATTTGTGTCGGTTTCTATGAGTCTGCGTAGATGATTGCATGTATGTGTCAGTGTGACCACATTTGTACATTTACATCAGCATATGTCTGTGCATCTGTGACTGTGTGTGTCACTGTATCTCAGTGTGTGTGGTGTGCATATGGATGTGTTTCAGCGTGTCTCTGTGTGGTACATATCAGTGTGTATCTTTGTATGTGAATATGCTGTGTCAGTGTGTGTGTATGTGGGTGAGTGTGAGTCTGTGTGGATGTCTGAAGGTGTGTGTTAAGAGCAGTATGGGTGTCTATTAATATGTGTGTATAGGTAAGTCATTGTGTGTGTTCATAGTGGTGTATATCAGTGAATTTACTCTGGGGTGTGTGTGTGTATGTGTGTGCGCGCGTGCATGCACGCATGCGTGCGGCTAGGGGGCCTGTGTATACGAACCCTGTGTAGACCATCTGGAGCTGAAGAAAAAGTCCCCAGACATCAGCCATGGCAGCTGAGAGCCCTTCGCCTCCCAAAAACCTGCAGATGTTTCAGAGGAAGGAACCTGGAGCCTGGGTGTCTAGCTCAGTCCAGCCTGCCTTGGTCTTTAATGAGCACTTGGTCCTTTTGGCCTTTCCCTGCGGGCCCCTCAAGGGCTCTGGCCCAGTCCTCAGGGCAGGCCTGGTTGGCCCACGACTCTCCTGCTGCGTAAGAAACGGTCCCAGAGAGCACCCTGGCTCATGAAGGCCTTGCTGCCTGGGGCGGTCATTAGGTTCTCACAGGGTCCCTTCCTCTCCCCAGGATCCCGAGGGGTAGGCAGATGTTCTCAAGAATAAAGGAGTTGATGGGCCCACAGCCCCTGCCCTTCTCAAACTTTCTGTGTGGCTACAGTATACTACAGGGGAGGGACACATGGGGCTAGGGCCCAGAAAGTTGGTCAGGGAGGGAACTGAGCCCAGGGGCCTCAGGGGTTCTCTGTGGGTTCTGAAATGCGGAGGATCTGGAAGTGTTGACCAGAGAAAACCTGAGTGCACAGTATCAAAGCCTTCCATCTTGAACAAAATAGAAATGTGGAACCAATTCATGATCAGCAGGATGTCATGTTGACAAAACACATACCCAGAACAAGGACATTTATTTTCAAAAACAAGATCCTGATGTGGCCTTCATTCAGCAGCACTATTTATAACAGCAAAATAATTGTGCTAATAGTAACCTAAGTGTCCCACCACAGAGCACTTCAGAACACTTGCCAGCTGCAAGAGCTCCCTCTCTTGACCATATACCGTGTCCAGATATGGTCCCATTTCTTTGTACCCCTTTTCAGCTAAACTCTTTGAAAGAGTTGTCTGGACTCCTTGTCTCCAGTCCTCTTCCTGTTCTCTTTTGAGCCCGTTCCAAATGGGCTCTCATCCCAACACTTCAATGAAACCGTGGACCAGTGACCTCTATGTGCCAAAGCCAGTGATGAGTTCCTCATCCTCATCTTATTCAACTTCTCTGAAGAATTTGGTGTGCTCATGTTCCCCATTTGGCTTTAGGAACTCTTGGTTTTCCTTCTAGCTCACTGACTGCTCTTCCTCCATCTCTTGTGCTGGATTTTCCTCCTCTTTTTATCCTTAAACACAGGCCTATCCCAGGGCTTAGTCTTTGGGCTTCTGTCTACACGTACTTGTTCTTTAGTTGATCACTACCATTTTAGTGGTTTAACCAACTATACTTGTCAGTTCCCAAATCTTTTTTTTTCTTTCTTTCTTTTTTTTTTTTTTGAGACAGAGTCTTGCTCTGTCACCCAGGCTGGAGTGCAGTGGTGCTATCTCAACTCATTGCAACCTCTGCCTCCCAGGTTCAAGTGATACTCCCACCTCAGCCTCCTGAGTACCCGGGACTACAGGTGCCCGCCACCATACCCGGCTAATTTTTGTATTTTTTTAAGTAGAGATGGGGTTTCGCCATGTTGGCCAGGCTGGTCTCGAACTCCTGACCTCAAGTGATCTGCCTGCCTCGGCCTCCCAAAGTGTTGGGATTACAGGCGTGAGCCACTGCGCCCAGCCTAGTTCTGATTCTCTCCTGAACTCTGGATTTAAATATTTAACTGCTTCCTTGACAATTCACTAGTCAGATGTCTAGAGGCATCTCAATCTTTATTTATTTATTTATTTTTTAAGAAAGAGTCTCACTCTGTTGCCTAGGCTGGAGTGCAATGGCACAATCTTGGCTAACTGCAAGCTCCGCTTTCTGGTTCAAGCGATTCTCCTGCCTCAGCCTCCCGAGTAGCTGGGATTACAGGCACCCGCCACTGCGCCTGGCTAATTTTTGTATTTTTAGTAGAGACTGGGTTTCACCATGTTGGCCAGGCTGGTCTCGAACTCCTGACCTCATGTGATCCACCCACCCCTGCCTCCCAAAGTGCTGGGATTACAGGTGTGAGCCACCGTGCCCAGCCAAAGCATCTCAATCTTTTTTTTTTTTTTTTTTTTTTTTTTTGAGACATGGTTTAGCTCTGCAGCCCAGGTTAGAGTGTAGTGGAGTGATCTAGGCTCTCTGCAATCTTTACCTCCCTGGCTCAAGCTATTCTCCCACCTCAGCCTCCTGAGTAGCTGGGACTATAGACACACACCACCAGGCTTGGCTAATTTTTTTTTGTACTTTTTGTAGAGACAGGGTTTCACTATGTTGCCCAGGCTGGTCTTGAGCTCATGAGCTTAAGCAATCCTCCTGCCTCGGCCTCCCAAATTGCTGGGATTACAGGCGTGACCCACTGCGCCTGGCTGGTATCTCGAAGTTAACATGTCCAAAACAAAGGTCTTGACTCATATTCCTTCCACTCTGCCCCAGTCTGCTCCTCCCTCAGTCTTCAGCCTCAATAATGGCACTACCGCCTACTCAAAAGTTCAAGCCAGCAACTTTGAGTTCATTCTAGAAAGCTTGCACCCTCACTCCGCCTCCACTCCATCATGAAATTCCATTCAAAATATATCCAGAAACCATTGCTGCTCACCATCATTGCTGCAACCGCCCTGCCTGAGCCCCCATTGTCACTTGAATGGATTATTGCAATGGCTTCTCCACTGACCCCTGCTTCTCCATTTACCCACTACAATCTTTCTCTATGAAAAGCCACGGTGAGTCTTAAAATGTAAATCAGATCATGTGCCTTAGTTGCTCAAAAACTCCAGTGGTTTCTCAACACACCTAGAATTAAAATCCAAAGCCTCAGCTGGGCGCGGTGGCTCACACCTGTAATCCCAGTGCTTTGGGAGGCCGAGGCGGGTGGATCATGAGGTCAGAGATCGAAACCATCCTGGCCAACATGGTGAAACCCCGTCTCTACTAAAAATACAAAAATTAGCTGGGCGTGGTGATATGTGCCTGTAGTCCCAGCTACTCAGGAGGCTGAGGCAGGAGAATAGCTTGAACCCAGGAGGCAGAGGTTGCAGTGAGCTGAGATCACGCCACTGCACTCCAGCCTGGTGACAGAGCAAGACTCTGTCTCAAAAAAAAAAAAAAAAAAAAAATCCAAAGCCTCTACCATGGTTTATGAGATCCATATGACCTAGCTTGCTGTCTCCATCTCCTCCTTGGCTTCCACTCCCCTCCTTCCTGACTGCCCTCAGCCTCTCTCCTTTCTCTTGCTGTCCCTCAGACACACTAAGTGCTCTCTGGCCTCCAGCCCCTTGCACTTAGTTTTCCCTCTGCCTACAACACTCTTCCCCCAGGCACCTGCATGGCTGTTTTCCACTAACGTCATAGAGGCTTCTGCTTAAAGTCACCTCTTGGAGAGGCTTGTACTGATTACGGGTGACAAGTCATCTTGGTTTGTCTGGGACTGATGGGTTTCAGTGCTAAAACCGCTATAGTCCTGGGCCAACCAGGATGGTTAGTCACTCTGATACCAGTCCTGCTCATTCCCTATACATTTTGTCTACTTTATATTTTACTTTGTAGCACTGATGCCTTATCACGTATTTATTAGTTTTTATTTTCTATCTCCAACTAGAACATCAGCTCCAGGAGGGCAAATACTTCCTGTTCAACTATTGAATCCTCAGCACTGAGCACAGGGCCTGGAATATAGTAGATGCCCAGTACAATTTGACTAATGAATCAATAAATGAATTGATAAATGTTGGTACATATATAAAGTGGAAAATTACACAACCAAAAACTATATAAAACCTATATAAACCAAAACAGGAACATACATGTGATACAATATCAAGCAAAAAACCAAGTTTCAAAATAGTAGGTGTTGTAGGGGTACCAATTTTGTAAAAGAAAAACAAAAGACATGTCTGCACGTACACATTTGTGAGCACAGCTGCCAAAAAAAGACTGCAGGGTCATGACCCAAGGTCACAGCGGGTTCTTAGGTTAGGTTATTTTAACTTTTTTTTTTTTTTTTTGAGATGGAGTCTCGCTCTGTCGCCCAGGCTGGAGTGCAGTGGCGCAATCTCTGCTCACTGCAACCTCCGCCTCCTGGGTTCAAGCAATTCTCCTGTCTCAGCCTCCCAAATAGCTGGGATTACGGGCATGTGTCACGACGCTCGGCTAATTTTTGTATTTTTAGTCGAGACGAGGTTCCACCATGTTGGCTAGGCTGGTCTCAAACTCCTGACCTCAGGTGATCCGCCTGCCTCGGCCTCCCAAAGTGTTAGGATTACGGGTGTGAGCCACTGTACCCGGCCGGTTATTTTAACTTTTATCTTTGTACTATTGTGTAAAGCTTCTCAAGATATTGCTGTTGAGTTAATATTCAAGTACTGAGTTCCTGGTGGGAACCTGGCATGCCCATGGCCCATCACACCCTCCCCCATCACCTTGACTGTGACCCCCATGCCTAAGCAGCCCTCAGTTCCTAAGGCTTTCTTCTCTCTCGCACCACGGTGTTCTAATTTTCTGGCCAGAAGCTGGACATCAATATATTCTCCTAACTCTTCAGACTCCGCAAACTCCCACTCAAGCCCCTCCATGAGTCCTCAAGCCTGTCCCTTTCCTAACTTGCCACAGCCCAGACTTGCCTCCCTCTGTCCCACTGTTACATGGACCTGCTTACAGCTCCCTGGCCCTGCCAAATGGGGTGTGGGGGTGGGACAGTGTCACACAGTTCTCTCTCCTTGGAACATTCCCCAACAAACCTGGTCTTTCCAGCTCACCTTTTCACCTGTTCTCATTGCCTTTCCTGGAAGCCAGATGACCCTCCGATCCCATGCACCCTCTCCTGCTGCTGTCCCTGTCTTCACTGTAACTTGTTCATTTACACGCCTGCCCAGTTCAAGTGCCAACTTGATCTTATTTTGTTCCCACAACCCCACGGGTTAGGAACTATCATCGTCCCTGTTTCAAGGAGGAGAAAACTGAGGCAAGGACAGGGAAGTGACATGATCAAGACAGTTAATAAATGACATAACCAGGATTTGAACCCAGGCCATCTGACTGCAAAGCCCACGGCCTGGAATTTCAGGAAGACAATAGAAAGCTAGAAAAGGAAAAAATGAAGTCAGTGGGAAGGAAGTGAGGATGTAAGTTGGTTAGTTAAGGAGGAAGAAAATTAGGCAGCTGAGAAAGCAGATAGTTGGGAGGGAAGGAAGGAAAGGAAGGAGGGAGAAGGGAAAGAAGTCGCCAAGGAAGAAAGGAAGGAAAGAAAGTAAACAGGTACTAGGAAAGATGTTAGCTAGGTAACTAGTCAATCTGGAGACCAATAGGCGAGCAGGCAGGTATCCTGCTCACAGGTGAGCCTCTCACCTGAAAACTCCAGGTTCCTGCTCAGGTCCTGGGGAGCAGCCCCATGCACGGCTCTGCCCTCTTCTCTCTCTTCATGGTCCTTCTGACTGGAGGCACAATCCTGACTTGTCAAGCAACCTTCCCAGTCAGGAATGACCTGTCACCCACTCGCTCCTGGCTCCCAAACCGGCTCAAGTTCAACCTCCCAGCCCTGCCTGCTGGAAGCTGGCTTCGGGGCCTTCCAGTTACTAATTAACCACTGGACCTGAATTACCAAGCTGGCTGCACACACTGGCTCCTGGATGGGCCCTGCCTGGGGGACTCTCTGAATTTTTTAAAGCACAACTTGTTATGTGACCATGGGCAACTGACTTCAGCTCCCTGAGCCTCATGTGAATTGGTGACGGATGGTGTGTCCTGCTGGAGGGACGGTTTCTGAAGTCCCTTTCAACACTGGAACTGCCGCACTCTCTCAAGGTCCAGCTTAAGTGCTGACTCCTACACAGCCTTCCCTGATTCCCTCCGCTGAGTCATCTTCCCTTTCGCTTGGAACCTAGTGAACCAGCAACTGAAAGGTTGGTCTCACACAACACCCTCCTCCACCCCTTCCCTAATGGGGGCCACCAGCCCCTATGTTCAGTCATTTCATGGAAACTTCCAGGACTGGGCAGCTCATTTCCCCCTGAGCCAGCCTCTGGCAATTTCTTGTGTTAAGCCGAAGACTGCCACCCACAGCCTACCCGACCAAGCACTGCCCTGGCACCGTTCTGGGAGAATCACAGCTGAGTTGAAACCTATGCCCCACTCTGCCCTTCAGAGATTTGAGGCTCAGGAACCAGAGATGAGTTCACCCTGGAGAACAGGGAAGGCTTTCTCGGGGGTTGACCCAAAGCTTCCCAGGCCCTGGGTTCTTTTTTTTTTTTCTTTGAGACAGAGTCTCGCTCTGTCACCCAGGCTGGAGTGCAGTGGCGTGATCTCAGCTCACTGCAAGCTCCGCCTCCCAGGTTCACGCCATTCTCCGGCCTCAACCTCCCGAGTAGCTGGGACTACAGGCGCCCACCACCACGCCCAGCTAATTTTTGTATTTTTAGTAGAGATGGGGTTTCACTGCATTAGCCAGGACGGTATCGATCTCCTGACCTTGTGATCTGCCCGCCTCGGCCTCCCAAAGTGCTGGGATTACAGGCGTGAGCCACCGCGCCTGGCCGGCCCTGGGTTCTAACTCAGGGCACAGGCAGGGCCTGGACCCCTGGACAGGTAAGGAAAGCTCTGCCCAGTGACCCCTCCTGAGCAGGCTGACTTTCACACTGCTTCCTCCATTGCCTTTCCATTAAAATGTCAACAACTTTCTGGTAATTCTGGTGCCTTAAACACCGGCTGCTCTGCTGTGCTCCGGAGGAGCCCTGCATGGCCACACACCCCACCTCCACCAACACACATAGCAGCATGTGTCTGGCCCTGGTCCAGATAGGGGAGGTAGCTGGCCCAAGTGCACAGAGCAAATCAGGGCAGCGCACAAGGTCCTGCCCTTTCCAGAGCTCCTGCTGCTGCTGCTGCTGTGCCACCAAGCTCCCTCTCCTCTGCTCTTCCAGAGCTGCTTAAAAAACCCCCAAACACGCCACATACTGGTATTGGTTGCATAAAGTGTATCAAATAATTCCAACTTACAGAAGAATGTCAAATAAAAAGTAAAAGCTTTCCCTCCAGCCCATCTTCAATCTCATTTCCAGAGGCAGCTGCTGTTAACTAAAGGGTGACAATCCGGCTGGGCGCCATGGCTAATGCCTGTAATCCCAGCACTTTGGGAGGCTGAGGTGGGTGGATCACGAGGTCAGGAGATCGAGACCATCCTGGCTAACATGGTGAAACCCCATCTCTACTAAAAATACAAAAAGTTAGCCAGGCGTGGTGGCGAGTGCCTGTAGTCCCAGCTACTCGGGAGGCTGAGGCAGGAGAATGGCATGAACCTGGGAGATGCAGCTTTCAGTGAGCCAAGATCATGCCACTGCACTCCAGCCTGGGCAGCAGAGCAAGACTCCATCTCAAAAAAAAAAAAAAAAGGGTGACAATCCTTCCAGATTTTTGTCTATGTCTTAATCTATATGTATATTAATCTTAATCTATATGTATTAATCTATATAACTGCATCCATTTTTTTTCCAGAAAATGGGCCATCAGTAATTCACTTTTTTTCATATATACATCTTTTAAGCAGCTGCACCACACTTCATAGTGTGGAGTTTTCACAACCCCTATTCCCTATTTACTGTTCCTTCTGATGGACATTTTGACTGTTAGCAGTTTCACAATATTTCCAACAAGGCTGCAGCAAACATCTCTGCTTTAATATCCTGTGGCCTTCCGCTAGTATTTCTGACAGATGAACTCCTGTTAAGTGTGAGTGCTGGGTTAATTATGAACTCTCTACCAAATGACTGTAACAAGTTGTGCCAACCAACGTGGCTAGCAGCAGTGCTGAACTTGCCCTTCCCCCCAGTGATACTGCAGGAAATAGCCAAGGTCACTCGTGCAGATATGTGTAGATAGGCCACTGCAGATATGCGTCTCCTTCCCATCTTCCTCTCTTCCTTCTTTCCCCTCCCACCCTCCCTGGCTGGACTTTGTTGTTTGGGTATGAAGGTAAAAGTCATGTTCTCAGGCATAAGGGAAAAGCAAGAGACTTAACCAATGGAAATCTACCTCCAGAAATATTCCCTTCACTTTGACATTCCTCAGCCCACTTTTCTGTCCTTAGTCTGGCTCCAGCCCTATTCCCACCCCCAGCCCCACCTGCAGATTCACCCATAGGCAAAGGGAATAACAGACACAGGGCCACCAGAGAAAAATCTATTACCCACATGGGCTAACAGACTCTTGGGCAACAGAGCTCATACATAGCCCAGATATGGGCCCCAGTTTGCCTTCTGGAAACATTTTTAGAAAGTGATAATTGTACAAAGTGTAAAATCAAATAATGAAAAAGATCAGTTCCTTGCCCCATTCCTCATCTTTTTAAGCTGCTTTCTTTGGTATTTACCTCCATGTATCTTAATAGCCTTATACTGTTATTCTTCCATTTTTCAGTTTAAAACATTTTCAAGTGGCTTCTTTCCTACTATGGAACATGAATGCTTAGATTATGCCCCTCCAAACACACATTTCAGCTTTTCCTGAATTTATAGTTGCTTCATTTGGTTTTAGAAATTGAACATATTCAATATATATAATTATTAGAGAATTATATATAATTATGTGTATATAACTCTCTGATAAAGCTAAAATATCCTCTTGATACATTAATATACCAGTTTCAGTTTGTTTTCTTCCCCCCATTTTTCTTAGAGCCGTTCATCCTCCTACTCTCACCTAGACAGCTGTCCAGAGGTGAACCTGGCCCTTCCTTTCCCATCACTCTGGAAACCCGTCCCCACCTCTGCCTTTTTTTTTTTCATTTGAAGTAAGAGTCTCTCTGTCGCCCAGGCTGGAGTGCACAATCTCGGCTCACTGCAGCCTCCCACTCCCAGGTTCAAGCAATTCTTCTGCCTCAGCCTCCCAAGTAGCTAGGATTACGGCACGCACCACCACACTCAGCTACTTTTTTGTATTTTTAGTAGAGACGGGTTTTGCAATGTTGGCCAGGCTGGTCTCAAACTCCTGGCCTCAAGAGATCCACCTGCCTCAGCCTCCCAAAGTGCTGGGATTACAGGCGTGAGCCACCGGTGACTGGCCTGCAAATCCCCTTTGTCTCTTTCCTTGGTGTGTCTTGCTTCCTGGATCCTATGTCTTCCTCTTTTAAAGGGAAATTTATTGTGGTAAATATAAAATTTGCCATTGTAACCATTTTTTGAGTGTGCAATTCAGTGTCATTAAGTATATTCATGATGTTGTATAAACATCATCATTATCTATTTAATTAATAAAAAATCTGTTTTTATCACCCCAAAGAGAAACTCTGTAATTATTAAGCAATGACTCCACATTTCCCCTTCCTCACAGTCCCTGGTAACCTCTAATCTGCTTTCCATCTCTATGAATTTGCCTATTTTGGATATTTCATATGTGTGGAATATTTGTTCTTTCGTGTCTGTTTTTCATTTTTTTGAGACGGAGTCTTGCACTGTCGCTTAGGCTGGAGTGCAGTGGTGCGATCTCGGCTCACTGCACCCTCCCCCTCCCGGGTTCAAGTGATTTTCCTGCCTCAGCCTCCTAAGTAGCTGGGATTACAGGCGCCTGCCACCACTCCCAACTAATTTTTTGTATTTTTAGTAGAGACAGGGTTTCACTATGTTGGCCAGGCTGGTCTCAAACTCCTGACCTCATGATCCGCCCACCTCGGCCTCCCAAAGTGCTGGGATTACAGGCATGAGCCACCGCGCCCGGCCTCATTTATTTCACTTAGCATGTTTTCAAGGTTCATCCAGTTGTAGCAAGTATCAGAACTTTATTCTTTTTTGACTGAATTAAGATTCCACTGAATGGATAGACCACATTTTGTTTTCTGTTGATGATGACATGGGTTGTTTGCATCTTTCGGCTGCTGTGAATAATGCTGCAATGAGCATAGGCATTCAAGTATGTTTTCAAATCTTTTGGGTATATACCAGGAGTGGAATTGCTGAATCATGTGATAGTTCTATGCTTAGCTTTTGAAGGAACTGCCAAACTCTTTTTTTCAGCCTACATCACGCTTTGAATGCCAAACTCTCTTCCATAGCAGCTGCACCATTTTATGTCTCCACTAGCAATGTACAGGGGTTCCAATTTCTCCACAGCCTCACCGTTTTACTTTCCTTTTTAAAAAAATTATAACCATCATAATGGGTAGAAAGTGATATCTCATTGTGGCTTTAATTTGCATTTCCCTAATGTCTAATGATGTTGAGCAACTCTTCATGGGCTCACTGGCCATTTGTATGTATTTTTTTGGAGAAATATCTATTTAAGTTGTTTGCCCATCTTTTAACTGGGCTTTTTGTTGCTTAGTTTTAGGAGTTCTTTATATATTCCACATGTTAAACCCTTGTAAAATTTGCAAATGTTTTCTTCCATCCTGTAGGTGCTTTTCACTTTTTTGATAATGTCCTTTGATGCACAAAAGTCTTTAAATTTTTATGAAATTCAATTTTTTTTTTTTTTGAGACAGAGTCTTGCACCGCTGCCCAGGCTGGAATGCAGTGGCGAGATCTCGGCTCACTGCAACCTCCGCCTCCCGGGTTCAAGCGATTCTCCTGCCTCAGCCTCCCGAGTAGCTGGGACTACAGGCGTGTGCCACCACGCCCAGCTAATTTCTGTATTTTTAGTACAGACGGGGTTTCACAATGTTGGCCAGGATGGTCTCGATCTCTTGACTTATGATCTGCCCACCTCGGCCTCCCAAAGTGCTGGGATTACAAGCATGAGCCACCGTGCCCAGCCATGAAGTTCAATTTATCTATTTTCTCTTTTGTTGCTTATGCTTTTGGTGCCATAGCTAAGAATTCATTGCCAATTCCAAGGTCATGAAGATATACCTTTATGTTTTCTTCTTAGGGTTTTATAGTTTTAGTTCTTATATTTAGGTCATCAATCCATTTTGAGTTAATTCTTGAATATGGGGTGAGGTAGGTATCCAATTTCATTCTTTTACAAGTATAAATCCAGTTACCCCAGACCCATTTGTTGAAGAAACTGTACTTTCCCCATTTAATGGACTTGGCATTCTTACTGAAAATCAATTGGTTAGGCCGGGCGTGGTGGCTCACGCCTGTAATCCCAGCACTTTGGGAGGCCAAGGCGGGTGGGTCACGAGGTCAGGAGATCGAGACCATCCTGGCTAACACGGTGAAACCTCGCCTCTATTAAAAATACAAAAAATTAGCCGGGCATGGTGGCGGGCACCTGTAGTCCCAGCTACTCAAGAGGCTGAGGCAGGAGAATGGCGTGAACCCGGGAGGCGGAGCTTGCAGTGAGCCAAGATCGCGCCACTGCACTCCAGCCTGGGCAACAGGGCGAGACTCTGTCTCAAAAAAAAAAAAAAAAAAATTTCAATTGGTTATGGACATATGGACTTGTTTTTAGACTCTGAATTCCATCCTATTGGTCTATTTGTCCTTATGCCAGTAACACACTGTTTTGATTATTGTGGCTTTGCATTCCAGCCTGGGCAACGAGAGCAAAACTCTGTAAAAAAAAAAAAGAAAAAGAAAAAGAAAAGAAAGAAAGAAAGAAATCGGTTTGTTCTTCAACTTTGTTATACTTTATTAAGATTGTTTGGGCTATCTGAGGCCTCATGCAATTCCATAGGAATTTAAGGATCTGTCTTTCCATTTCTGCAAGAAAAAAATAATCAGCTGAGATTTTGATAGGGATTGCATTGAATATGTAAATATCTTTGGGTAATATTGACATCTTAACAATATTAAGTCTTCCTAGCCATGAACACAGATCTCTTTCCATTTAGTTAGGTGTTCTTGAATTTCTTTCAGCAATGTTTTATTGTTTTCAGTATACAAGTTTGTTGTTTGTTTTTGATATAATTTGTTTTCTCGGTTCTCTCTTATTAGAATTTCTATTAATCATATATTTGGGCCTCCAACTAGTCCTCTGATATTTTCTTCTTTCCCATTTCTCATCTTTTCTTTTTTTTTCTTTTCTTTTTTTTTTTTTTTTTTGATGTGAAGTCTCACTCTGCCACCCAGGCTGGAGTACAGTGGTGCAATCTCGGCTCACTGCAACCTCTGCCTCCCGGGTTCAAGCAATTCTCCTGCCTCAGCCTCCTGAGTAGCTGGGATTACAGGAGCGCACCACCATGTCTGGCTAATTTTTGTATTTTTGGTAGAGACGGGGTTTCACCACGTTGGTCAGTCTGGTCTCAGACTCCTGACCTCGTGATCTGCCTGCCTTGGCCTCCCAAAGTGCTGGGATTACAGGCATGAGCCACCAGGCCCGGCCTCTCTTTTTCTTTTTATTCTGCCTACTGGGAAATGTCCTCAACTTTATCTTTTGACCCTTGTGTTGAATTTTTATCTCCATAATCCCATTTTAAATGTCCAAAAGCCTCTTCCTGTCTCTTAATGTTTCTTTTCCTTTTATTGCAGCTATGGCTAGTAGAAGATTAGCTTCTGACAAGTTGGAAGCATCAAGTCTTCCACTGTAATAGGAAAGAAACAGAATGAATGGGGGTGGGAGGAGACATGCAGATGAGACGGCAGGAAGGTGAAGGTGTTTCTTCCTATGACTTCCACTTTCTCTGTGACATGGATGGTAAGGATATCTGTCAAGACAATGGGGTAGGAGGTTTGAGAAGCATGAAAAGGGAAGTCAGAGCTAAAGCCCCCAGACCCTACGTGCTTCCTGGGTAGCCCTGAGGGTTCAGTTCACATTGAAGCCAGGGTCTACCAGTCTATCATGGCACCAATCTCGGTCAGGTAGGTTCCCAGTTGTGGTGTGGAGAGGATGCGCTCTCGGACAGCTCCATGGTTGGAGCTTCTAGACAAGTGATCTGGAACAGCAGCAGGGCAAAGAAATTAAGGATATTGACGAGAAAGCAGTTAAAGTGATCAAACACTTTAAGGTGGGAAAGGTGCCACCTTCCCACCTGCTTGTAGTCTCTGGGAAGCTTAACAAAATCTAACTGTTCAGGTTGACATTTCCCCATCTGAAAGTTTGATGTTTTCATTTTTTATTTGAGCACTGGGATAGAGCACAGTGTTGCAATCACAGCTCACTGCAGCCTCGAACTCCTGGGCTCAGGTGATCCTCCCGCCTCAGCCTCCTAAGTAACCGGGACTACAGGCATATGCCACCATAAAAAATACTTTTTTTTTTTTTTTTTTATAGAGACAGGATCTAGCTACGTTACCCAGGATGGTCTTGAACTCCTGGCCTCATGTGATCCTCCCTCCTTGGCCCTCCAAAGTGGCTAGGATTACAGGTGTGAGCCACTGTGCCCAGCTGATATTATTATTTTAAAAATTACAGGTTTCATTGAATTTTCTGCCCTTGACCATTTATCAAATGTTAAGGATCAGGCCCTTTTACACACCGATCTCTGGGAGTTCCCACTGTTTACACTTTCAGTGCAGACAGATACCCATTTATCCTTATCCTTTGTTTCTTTCCTTAAAAACTATAAGGACCCCTAACTAACAACAAAGAGAACACTTTAGTCTCTTCAGTAGTGCCACTACTGATAACCATTTTGTGTTCTCTGGATGTTTTATCATGAAAATAGAAACAGACTCTGGCTGCGTATCAGTTGTTCAAGTTTATTTATGTTGTTTTGATACACTGACAGATCACACCACATTTTGTTTGTAACTTTTTCTCCTTCAAGAGTCACCTTAGCTTAAGCCAGAAGATTCTCTTAAAGAACACATACACACATGTGCACACACAAGAGGCAAGTACAAAAATGTAACCCCACCAAAGTGCATGTGAATGAAAGTGCAAAAAAGGCTTCATTTGCAAACTCTGAGATCATTCTCTCTGCTTCAGAAAATAAACAGAAAGGTCCTAACTGCCCTAGGCCTGGGCTGATCAGGGGCTGGGCGAGGCTGCCAGGGGCCAAAATATAAGTGGCATCTGTTGCTAGGAGGGCAGAGGGCACCAGAAGTCTCTGCCAACTCCCTCCCCTCTCTGCGCTCCCAGGTCAAGGTGCAATAATATCATTTGGGGACAGAGTGGGGGTAAAGGGGCAGTAGGGCAGACAAGAGGCAGATTTCTTTCTACTTTTTAATGATTTGGTTTCTTTCCAAAGAGTTTGACGATAATGCAGAAAGTGCTGAGGCCTCAAAGTTCAGAAGCCTGGGAGCCCTTTTCTCCAAGGCCCTTGGTCCATCTTGCCTTCACCACAGGCAAGCATTAGGTGCTTGGCAGATCTGATGGCAAAGGCCCTCCCAGCCCCTCTCCTTAGAAGCTGTGAGGTCCCACAGCACCAGCCGTGAGTACTTGCTGCCTTCTCACTGCACAAAGTCAGTGAACATCTCTCATCTTTTATAGAGGAACAGACTGAGGATAAGGAGCTGATGAGTTCTGCTACCACCCAGACAACTAAGATAAAAGCAAGGCTTAGACTTGTTCTTCTTTACTCTTGGCCAAGGGGGTACCAATGTCACCCTTGTAAACCCAACCTTCGCTGTGTGGCAGGTCTTGCCTAGCTTCCTTCCAGGAAGGCTGTGCTCAAAGCTGCCTCTAAGCAGTTGAGAGGGAATGGACACCTAAAGCCCTGTGGGAGCTCAACTGTGGGAGCTGAATGGCTTCCTCAAAAAGCTGTCCAGCCCATGGCAGAGAGAGGCCCCTACTGGGTTGTGGTAGGAAATCAACAGAGCTCTGGGTTTCCCACTTCTAAGGGAAAAATAAAGCTTCAAATTTTAATGATAATAGCCCTTGGCATTTTCCCAACACTAAGCCTCACATCTGCACCCTGTCAAACACTTCTGAGAGTGCCACACACACACACACACACACACATGCACACACACACACATCACATGATTGAAGGGGTCTGGGTGAAGGCACCAGCCCCACACTCCGCAGGCCCACATCAGCACCTGGACACGGGAGGTTGGCAGTGGCTCCTCACCTCCATGTGGGGCTGGCTCCTACCAGTGGCTCTCCCCCTTCCCACCCAGGCTGGGAGGCAGGTTTGGCAGTGACTCAGTGGAAGCTGGGTTCCTATGTGGACTGAGAAGTGGAAGTCCCAGAGCCCCAGCAGGGACCCAGCTGGCAGTGCAAGACAGATGGAGAGCGGCAAGGAGGGCTTCAGGGACCCGGAGAATTCAGATAGAAAAGTTCACCTTCCTAACTCCCAACTTCAAGTCGTCTTTGTAAGACGCTGCAAGAGCTAATGGTCAACATTTAAGGGACAGGTTAAATGATGTCATGGGGGTGTGTGCTACACAGAGTGCTACATTCTCATGGCAGAAGGCCTGGCAGGCCTGGAGCCATCACCCCATGGGCAATACCTTGGCTGAGGTCCAAAGCTACAGAGAGTACAGTATTCCTAACTTCAGGCACCACTATGCCTGCTGGAGCTGCCCCTCTGGCCAAAGACCCGAGATTGTCTAACAAATCCTTATGCTGGTCTCCTAACCTAGGCTACTGGCAGGCTAGGCTTACTCCTTCCCAGACTCAACACATGAAGGGTGTATGGAAAACAGCAGTGGAACCTCAACCTCTGCCATCTATAAAACAGGCTCAAACCACCTGCTCATTCTGCTGAAACTTGGACTTGGCGTGGGACACTAAAATGCCAACTGGTCCAGAACTGGGTAAGTTCAGGAAGGCATCTTGGCTCAAAATCTCTCAATTCTGGGCAAAAGAGAGAAAGGCAGCTAGAGACTTCCAAGGGATCTTAGGAAAACATGTTTCCGAGGTTCACATATCTCAGGGGGAAGAGCCAGTGGGGTCTGGCTGGGGGCACTGCCCAGGAAACGAAGCAGCAGAATGAGGGCAGCAAAACCAGCAGACAGAAAGAGAGGAGGTACCTCCAGGAGTAAATACATTTGTGGTGGGGTCACTTCTTGGCAGGAGGAAAGGAGCCAAGGAGAGAAAAGTACACAGAGATACCAAAAAAGGGAAAGGGGCCTCAGATTGAAGGACTGCTGCTCTACTAGTCTCTCCTCCACTGCCAAGAAAAAGACCCTTTGGTAATACAATAAAAGTCCACTGGGGCTGTGGGGGCTGCCACAGTCCAACTGACTCCATGAGTAATGCCCCTGCCAGTCACGCCCTCACCAACATGCCTGGTGACGAATGAGCTCTAGGACTTGGGGCTGGGTGCCTACCCTCCCCAGGGCTCCTCAGCTCCCATGCACCCTCTAAGAAGGACCAGCCTGGTCAGATATAGGTGGAGCATGGGGACGTGTGGGGTATGAGGAATTCAGGTCAGGAAGAAAGCATCAGCTGGAGAGGGAGGCCAAGCAGGGGCTGCAGGAGGGCCCAGCCCTGGGCCAGTCACTTTAAGGTGTCATCAGCGTTTTTGAACATGAGAATGGCGTTATAGATCTTCAAGGCTGGGCCCAGCTTGACGCTCATGATCTTCACAATGTCCGCCTGTGTCAGCAAAAGGAAGGCCTCGCCGTCAATCATCTGAGGGGTTGCGGGAGGGAGGTGGAAAGTGGAGAAGGTGGAAAGGGTCACGGGGCAGGGGTGAAGGAAAGGGAGGGGTGTGCATGGGGAATGGGGGAGGGGAGTAGGAGTAAAGGATATGCGGGAGAAAGGGAAGGAGGAGAGAAGGGGAGAGAAAGGACCGGGAGAAAGGAGAAGGGAGGGAGAAAGGAAAAAAGGAAGACAGCAATGGGGACGGAGAAGGAAAGAAAGACAGCCACTGGTTTCCCCGTGTTCACACACTTGTTCTCTTTCTCTCTTTCTGCTGACTGGTCTGAGGTTTAGCATTTGTATCCGCAAAATGTCTTTTGAGTCCTCACAGACACTGGCTTTGAGAAACCTGCTCTTGTTGTCCCCACATGACCTCATTGGTCAACCTTAGTGCTGCTAACAGCAAGACAAGCAGACACTGTGTGCATTCCAACATGAGGCAGTACAAAGTACATAGTATCACCTAGGAACTAGTCTTGCCAAAAGCAGAGGGGGGCAGGGGGAGACAGAGAGACACAGAGAGAGAAACAGAGACAGTGACAGTGAGAAATTTAACCTAAGTCTAACCCAGCCTTTGGATCTAACTTTCAGTTCATGGGAAATACAGGGGATAGAGGAACAAGTTAAGTGACACCACTAGAAAGCAACAAGACAAATCCAAAAAACCACACTCTGAAAGACTTTTAAAAATGTCAATTGGCCGGGCGCGGTGGCTCACGCCTGTAATCCCAGCACTTTGGGAGGCAGAGGCGGGCGGATCATGAGGTCAGGAGATCGAGACCATCCTGGCTAACACAGTGAAACCCCGCTTCTACTAAAAATACAAAAAATTAGCTGGGCGTGGTGGCGGGCGCCTGCAGTCCCAGCTACTCGGGAGGCTGAGGCAGGAGAATGGCGTGAACCCGGGAGGCGGAGCTTGCAGTGAGCCGAGATCGCGCCACTGCACTCCAGCCTGGGCGACAGAGCGAGACTCCGTCTCAAAAAAAAAAAAAAAAAAAAGTCATTAAAAAAGGAAAAAAAGGATGGGAGGGGCTCTTCTAGAATAGAAGAAACTTAAGAGACATAAAAACCAAAACCAATTATGTAGGCCTTGTTCAGATTCTGGCTCAAAAACTGCAAAATGTATCCTGAGAACTGGGAAATATGAATGCAGACTGGGTATTGGATGATATAAAGGAGTTACTTGCAATTTGGTAGTGGGATAACAATATTGTGGTTATGAAAAGAAAGTCCTTAGTTTTTAGAGATGCAAGTTATGTCCTCAGGGGTGAAATGTCATGATGTCTAAAATTTACTTAAAATTACTTCATCCAAATATAGGTGAAACAAATATGGAAAATATTAGTAATTGTTAATTCTAGTAGCTAGGTATATGGGTAGAGTCAAGGAGGGAAGTCAGTTGGTCAGTTGTGGAGGACAGGATAGAATGAAGAGAGCTGGGAGGCAGGCTGTGGGGGTCAAGAGACTGAGCTGGGGGACGCTGTTTTTGAGGAGACGCCATCCCTCCTATGCTCACCCCTCAAGCATCATAGCAATGAAAACACTTCTATGTTGTTTCTTACGTGCCAGGCACTGCTCCTAAGCACCTGTTGTGTATTAACTCAGTTAATCCTCACAATAACCCTATGAAGCAATACCAGCATTATCTCGATTATACAGATGAGGAAACCAAGGCAGACAGGCTACAGAATTTGCCCAAGATATACCTAGCTTATAAGTGCTGACCTGTGTTCCTAACCACTGTGAGAGCTGGGTAGGGGTATCCTATGGACATGACTCATGCAGCTCAGGGGGCAATGCTGCCCAAGCCTGGCCCTGCCCCACAGTTCCAAGTGAGCCCTCCTCACACCTAGCTCCACAGACTGCACTACAGACCCTTCCCCAATAACTGGGTGTCTTCTGCCTTGCAGCTCTGTTCCCTCTACCACCCCTGCCAGGAAGGCCTGCCCACTGTCAGCATGCTTCCCCAGCAGTCAGAACTGCCCACTCCTTCCACTCTGTCTGGAGTTCACACAGTTCCACAAACTCCCCTGAATTGTATGTATTTCTTCATTTGCCTTCCAGGACCACCAGGGGGCTGCTTACCTGACATAAGTCAGGTGCTCAGTAAATCCAGAAAGAATGAATGAAAGGATCTCTGAGGTGTGGCGACAACAGGACTGTATCTCAGAGAGGCTGGCAACCTTAGAGGTTAAACGGAGGCAGGACAGAGTGGGGGAATGAACCCCATATATCTGTCCCCCCAGCAGCTCTGAGAAAACAGTTACCTGATCTTTCCCAATTCACTAACCAAGGAGGCTCTGAAAACTGGCACTTCTGATGGCTAAAAACCTTTCCCCCAAAAGAAAATGAAAGTCTAGTAGCCAAACACACCGATGAGATTACCTGCATTAAGCTTCCTTTCTAATGCTCTAAAATGACCCCTCAAGTGAAAAGCGGCTTCTCAGGTCTAAGACCAGGGTCTGCTGAATAAGCCCATTTCCCCCTTTCTCAAGGAGTCTGCCACTCTATTCTCTCTCCAGCACCTCCTCGATGGGGAAGCACTGGAGATACTGCTTGCCTGAGACACTGGGAGCTGTGAGGGGGATGCCAAGTGGTCATCCCAGGAGGCAGCTCCCTTGGACCTGAGGAGCTCTCTTTGCTGACCCCCAGCAGATGTGTCTGTGCAGAAACATCCAGATTCAGACACCTCATGCCGGTCTGGCTCTGGAGCTCCCCACCTTTTTTTTTTTTTTTTAAGACTGAGTCTTGCTCTGTCACCTAGGCTGGAGTACGGTGGCATGATCTCAGCTCACTGCAACCTTCACCTCCTGGGTTCAAGTGACTCTTCTGCCTCAGCCTCCTGAGTAGCTGGGACCAGAGGCATGTGCCACCACACCCGGCTAATTTTGTATTTTTCGTATAGACAGGGTTTCACCATGTTGGCCAGGCTGCTCTTGAACTCCTGACATCTGGGATTACGGATGTGCGCCACCATGCCTGGCCTCTGGGGCTCCTTCTTGATGGTCCCATTGAATCACAAAGCCTGGCCAGGGAGATCTCGAAGTTCAGGATATGAAGGAAAGAAACCCCTGGCAGAGTTAAGCATGGATTCTTACAGGAGTTCATTTATTTTCTTTTGTTGTTGTTGTTTGTTTGATACAGAGTCTTGCTCTGTGCCCAGGCTGGAGTGCAGTGGCACGATCTCAGCTCGCTGCAACCTCTACCTCCCAGGTTCAAGCGATTCTCATGCCACAGCCTCCCGAGTAGCTGGACTACAGGCATGCACCACCATGCTTGGCTAATTTTTTTTAATTTTTCATAGAGACTGGGTTTCACCACATTGGCCAGGCTGGTCTCGAACTCCTGACCTCAAATAATCCGCCCGCCTTGGCCTCCCAAATTGCTGGGATTACAGGAGTGAACCACCGCCCCGGTCAGGATTTCAGTTCTTATCATTCAGAGAACCCACTGGTATATGGTTCCTTGTATATCGCCTGAGATTTCTCACCCACGGTAACTGCCAAAGCCCAGGTTCCAGGTTCTTCAAAGCAAAGGCCAGAGTCTGTGGTCTGGCAGTCTGAGACTAGGTAAGGGAACAATGGAATGACCTCAGAAAATCTAAGATGTTGTCTGTGTGCTGGTGGGTATGGGGAGTTTTGAGTCATATGATCAGGAAAAGGGTCATGTTCTGACCTTGAAGGTAGAGGAAATCAACAGGAAAATGGATAAAATAAGCCATACAATAATCCACCCTAAGCAACAGCCTGCAGTGCTGTGGAGAGGTCCAGGGAATTTCCTAAAATTGAGGTGATCTGGATAGATCTTGAGAGAGCCACACATGGAATGTTTAACACAGGTCAAGCTAAGATTTAATTGGCACTTTCAAAACCCCACTGGGACTTCTATGCTTTCACAGCAGAAAGGTGTGGTCTACCAGGAGCCCAAGAAAATCAGACATTTGGGAAGCAGGAAGCTGCCAGTAAACATCTGGCTGCACAGTTAGTAGAGCCCACTGGCCCCTCTCTGTCCTCCCCTTCCTCTGGGCTCCCAGGACACCTGCACATGTGTCTTTCACGGCCCTTACCACACTCCACCAGGAGCAACAACTTACAATTCTGTCTCCCCTACCATGCAGAGAACCTTAAGAGCAGGGACCTGTTCTTACCTGCTTCAGTATCACATCACCTTATACAAGGCCAGGCACAAAGCAGACATCAATAATTATTTGCTGATGAATTAGACAAATACACAATGGCTACAATAAAGATGACAAAGAGAGGACTGGACAGACTACTTTTAGGGCCACCAGTACAGAACAACCATAAGACCATCTATGCACTTTGCTCTAATTCCTCACTCATGAAGCAACCCTCTACTGGCTGGTCTGTGTCCCAGATGGAGAGCATCTTGACTGGTGTCCCTGAATACCCAATCATCAGTTAAGCCAGAGAGAGCCCACTCCTGGAGCATTGTCCTACATGGGGAAACTGATGACATGGGCCAGACACTGGAGATGGTGATCCTCAGACCCCATAAAGGTCCTGCTCCACTCTGAGATTCTATTTAATGCTGGCAGTCTACCAGTACACCTCCCTTTGGCCACTAGTTTTTTATATCACAGACCATGCTGAACCAAGAGACACAGCAAATGTTCCTGGGAGACACAGCCCTTGTCACAAGAAGAAGAGAATGTAAAGCCAAGCATAGGCTGGAGGATGAAACTTGGGTGGCTCTGCAGCTGGCTGAACAACTACATTCGAAGACCTGTGGTCAACCGACAGAAAGGTTTGAAACAGCGTGCCACGTGGTTCTGCCTTCTCATAAAACATGTTAAGACTTGGACAAAGACACAGAAGGCTTAGTTATCAAATGTGCAAGCTGTATGAGGTTGGAAAGCCTTATTAACATCGTAGATGACAGAATCAAGATTTAAAACAAGGCTATGAAACCAACCAGATAACATTTAATAGGGTGGATGTAAAGTTTTACATGAGGTTATTAAAAAAAAAAAAACTCAGTGGTGCAAGTACTCACTGGAAAATTTGGTTCGACTGTAGTTGACATGAAAACCACCTGGGGGCTTTTATGAACCCCAAACTAGTGTGATGTGGCTATAATAAAGCTAGGGCAAACTTAAGTTTTGCTAACAAAAAAATAGGGTTCAAATCTAGGGGAAGAGAAAATAACCCTAATGTTGACCATTAACAAGAAATTATGGTATACTCATGAAATGGAACACCAGTCAGCAATAAACAAACTACAGATACAGATAACAACGTGGAGAAGCCTCAAAAACATGACACTGTGCAGAGACAGACCTAGAAGAGTACATGCTCTATGATTCCATTTATATGAGTTCCAGAACAGGCAAAGCTCATCTATGACGCTAGAAATTAGAAAAGTGGTTGTCTTTTGGGGTGCGGACTGACTAAAAGGGGCTGAGAAAGAACTTTCTGGTATGAGGGAAATGTCTGTATCTTTTTCTTTTCTTTTTTTTTTTTTTTTTTTGTTAAATTTTTTTTGTATGACTTAACACGAGAGGAAATGTCTGTACCTTGATTGAAATGTTGAGTTCAAGGGCAGACATGTCATAAAACCTGTGAAATTGTACTTTCAAGATGTGTGCCTATCTCTCTATAGGCATTTTATCTCAATTAAAACACTTCTAGGGGAGCAGCACCCCGGTGTGTTCTATGTTGGCCAGAGGCCATCGAAAACAGGGAGTTCAGCTCTGGACACGTACATGAAGAGAAGATCACCAACACAGAGGGCAAGGAAAGCACCTGGAAGTGGGAGGAGTTTGGGAGCTCCACCACACACAGCTCAAAGGAGGAAACTGGCTGTGCTGGGCTTGGATACAGACACTCTTCCAGGGCAAGAAGAGCCAACTACTTTCTTTTTATGTTTTTTGAGACAGAGTTTCGTTCTGTTGCCCAGACCGGAGTGCAGTGGTGCAATCCCGGCTCACTGCAACCTCCTCCTTCCAAGTTCAAGTGATTCTCCTGCCTCAGCCTCCCGAGTAGCTGGGACTACAGGTGCATGCCACCACACCCAGTTAATTTTGTAATTTTAGTAGAGACAGGGTTTCACCATGTTGGCCAGGCTGGTCTTGAACTCCTGACCTCAGGTGATCCACCCACCGTGGCCTCCCGAAGTCCTGAGATTACAGGCGTGAGCCACTGTGCCCGGCCGACAAAGTTCTTTACTTAAGGACAACTATGCACTAAAAGTCAAAACTGGTGTTTATTGTGTTCCCACCATAGCAGTCATTTTGTATAGGTAAAGTGATTGGATCTACATATTCCTCCATAATATTGCTCTATTATATACTAGTGATACACAGCCATATGCTACATAAAGACATTTCTGTCAATGATTCCACATTTAAAACCATGGTCCCATAAGATTATAGTGGAACATATACAGAAACCTGATACATGGCCCTTGATATTGGCATTGCAGATCAAGTAGGGGAAATGACTGACATTCAGTAATAATGCTGTGACATTTGGTATTTCATGTGAAAATATACATGTAAATAAAAATACATATAACATCTAGGTTTGTGTAAGTACATTCTATAATGTTTACACAATGACAGAATTGCCTAGTGACACATTTCTAAGAATGTATCCCCATCGTTAAGCAATGCATGACTGTAATTATACTAGACGTTCTGGTATGATTCATTCATCATTTCCAATGCTCACAATGGCTCTGCAAGGTAGACCTCATTAAACCCATTTTATCTCCATTTTACAGACAAGAAGATGTAGGCTCAGAGACAGTAAACAGCTCAAATTGACAGAACTGGGATTTAAACCCAGACTGTCTCCAAAGCTGACATTCTTTTTTTATCTACAACTCACTACTCCTTGGCTCTTGATTTTAAGTGTGTGTTAGGATCCTTGCAGTAAATCACAATATCTGTGTCATTCAAAATACACTTTAATTATCAACTATATTGGATTAAAGGGGAAAAAAGTACACTTTAATATTGACTATCACTGGCAAAGCTAAGTTTGGCAAGCAAATGAGTGGGTAGAGAGCAGAGGAGTGAATGGACTCCTGTCTCCAGGATGCCTTTTCCTTCCTGAAGATGATCTGAGCACACAAGGTCCCCAAGCTGGGCCACAGTCCAGACTAGAGTCTTCCCAGATACATGGGTCACTCTGACTATTCTTGCCTGGTGGGGCAACACGGGTCCCTCCTTAGCAGAAGTGACGCTGGGGAGGGCACCTGCTTCCTGCCGTCTTAAGGACAGTGACCCCGGCTCTGTCTCCCACTCTGCACTTGCACCTTACCTCGTCTTTGAAGAGGCGTGCTTGGTCCTCACAACCTGTCAGGGTCTGAACAAAGCCGAAGACCTTGGAAACCAAAGATGACATGTTGACCAGGGGACAGAGCTTAGGCATGTAGGGAGAGCTGGCCTCCACAGCCTAGGTGCTTCTGAGCTGTGCCAATGCTGCTTTTTCTCACCAGCCTAAAAGGATCCTAGGGTTTCTATGCTGGCAGATGTGCCAAGTTGGGCCCCTTGCTTCTGAGGCCTGGGACCGAAGCCTGCCTCTCCTGCTGGATTTCTGGCTGAAACAGCAGCACAGCCCCCGCCCCCTCTGCCATAATGGACCTATCAGGAAGGGTCTCAGTCAGCCCCTACTGGGCAGCTAGAAGGGACTGTGCACAGGACAGATGAGCAAGAGGTAGTGCCAGGAGTGGTACCGGGTTCTACCTGACCTGGGCCTTTCCACCAGGGTATGGTGAGAGGGAGGAGGAGAGGAAGAGAAGGATAAAGAAGGGCCCTCGCTCCTCACCTCATCGATGGTCCACTTGGCGACTGTCGAGGCTGAGATGCCCGCTACTCCTGGCAGGAGCTTGCAGTGCTGCTCCCAGCACACTGAGAGTGAGCGGTCAGGGTGGGCCGACAGGGCTGACATGAAGAGGGACTGGTGCACGACATCGGGCGTGAGGGCTGGAAAGCAGAGGCAGAGGCTGGCAGGCCAACGAGGATGACTAAACTGTTCCCGAAGCCCATGCATACCCACACCACTCAGGAGACTGGCTGGCAGAGTAGACAGGACTCCGGGCCCCTTCTGACAGCCTGTAGAGTCAAGAGGGTGAGCCGTATCTCCTGACTCCTCACACAGTGTTCACTCCTGCTGGTAAAGTGACTCTCTTAAAGACTCTCAGGTCAGCTATTCGGAATGACCCTCACCCCGTCTCTCTGAGGCTGCACCACCCTGGGCCCTGCAAGGATACTCTCTTGGAGCTGCTGCAGCATCTCTAAAGACATAATTTTCTAGATGCCAACCATCAAAAGGGTCCTTAACATCCAAACAAGCTCAGCCTTGATGTCAGAAGTCCACTCTGTTTACTCTTCTTCTCATGAGTCCTTCCGGGCCACGACCAACTTTCTCAGAGCCAGGGTGATTCTGCTTCAGAATCACAGTCCCCCTGACCAGGCTGAAGACCACCCCTCTGGCCACTGCCATTGCCTCAAGCTCCAGTTCCTCCCCTTCCTCCACCAGCCCGGTCTGTACTACTGCCTATGCCAGCACTAGAGGGTGATCCCTGACCCACTCCCCAGCTCCATGTTGCCTGTGGCTTTGCTTCCTGGTCTGCCTCTGGGATCACTGGCCCCAACCTCCTACCTCAAGCAGCTGTACTGAGCTGATGACCGATGCTGCTCAGCTTGGCCTCCCCCTTGGTGGGGCCTGGCACGTGCCAACTTGGACTTCATCCCCCTCTGGCTGCTTTGACAAACCTGGCCCCACTCACTGCTGTCAGCCTTGGCCGGCCTTGTGCAATGTGGCCACTTTCCCAAGGGGTTTTCCCAGCCTCTGTCCATGGTCCAGGAGCATTGGCTCTTTATTCTCCTGGTGCTAATTCCAGATGCTCATCAATGCAGCACCTCCAAGTGCCCTCTTGTCAAAGACCCTCCCTGTTGGTCACAGATTGTCCTGCCCTCTCTCCCTGAGTGTCAGCCTTTCAGCCTGGCTTTTCCACCTCCATTCACCCACAAAGCCTCTGGGATTCCATCCTCAGCCCTACCAACCACACTTCTGTGCCACTGCCTTCCTGCTGCTCTCTCTGTTCATCAGCGAAATCCTAATACCTGCCCATACCCCAGACAGCCCCATCTCCCTGCTCAGCCAGCTCCTCTCATGGCCCGTCTGGGGCACACTCAGCATCTCTCATGACAGCTAGCACCACTAGCACCTCATCTACCTGGCCACAGGTTTGGCCTCTGGTACACCCAGGTACTCCCTCTCTGAAACCCTGTATCTGGGTTTCATACCCTGGGGTGGGGTTTGGGAGACAACATCAAGTTTGTAGGGAGCTTTTCTCCTTATCTTTCTTCCCCAGAGCACAGGGAAGAGCACAGGCCAGGAGTGCTTACCAGCAGTTACAGTGTCTTATCTAACTGCAGACCATCCAGTTGCAGGTCAGACATGGCTCCTCAGTTCCTTCAGTAGCTGACACTCCTAGGCCTAAAGACTAAGCCCAGCCAAGCCCTGTCCTCTCCGGGCAGATCTTCCTATGGAATTGTTCACCAGCAAACCTCAGAGCCTACACTAAGGAGGTCTACCCACCAGTATGTAAGAAGTTGCCTCTGGAACAAAACCCAGAGTGACCAGTGGCTCTTCTGGGTGACAGGCCAGCTAGAAGAGCAGGGGTGCCCTGTGGAAGTGAGACCTGGGCAATGACCCCTGCTCTATCCTTGAAGTGCCTCAAGGATCTGGGTGAGCCCTTCTTTGCCAGTTCCGTGACATAGTCTCAGCCTCTGGAAAGATGTAGCTTCCCAAGAATTCTACAGCCTAATTCTGGGATGAACACAGTAGGCAAGTGCCCTCTGGTGGTCAGAACTTGGTCCTGCAGTGGACTTGACCATGGGTACCACAGATGGGTACAAGAGGTGCCCACTGCAGTTTGATCCTTAGGAGTCCTTACTCTGAGGGTCTAGGTGCTGGCCAAGACCCTCATCACTCAGGTCTGAGGCTGAAGAAACTGCTTCTGTTCCCACAAAGAGGAAACAGTATGAGATGACAGCAAGAGGAAGTGAGGCAAGAGACTCAGACTAATAATACTGGCAGGGAGCTGTGCTAAGCACCTCACATGGAACATCTCAGTTAAGCCTCTCACCACATCATACGGTGGGTACGATTATTATCAGCATTTTACAGATAAGGAAGGTGAGGCTCAGAGAGGAGTGTCACCCACCCAAGATCTCTCAGCCTGTAAAAGGTAGTCTGACTTCAGGGCTATGCTTTTTATCACTATGTTACTTACTGCCCAGGTTACAGAGACTGTTCTTGAAGAATTGGGACAGCTTGGGTCTCGCCAAGGTGCACTAAACCAGGTGATTTCTCAAGGTCTCTTTTAGCCTTAAAATGACATGCATTCCATTCAACTGAGGCGTCCCTGCTGTGCATCAGGCCCTGTACTAGTGGCTGAAGATGTAAGATGAATTCACCACCTAGGGGAGGGCTCAGCCACTATGCCCCTCCCGCTGAAGTATGTTATGGGCTAAAATGTGTCCCCGCAAAATTCATATGCTGAAGCCCTAACCCCCAGTGCCTCTGAATGGGACTGCATTTGGAAAAAGGGCCTTTAAAGAGTGATTAAGTTAAAATGAAGTCATTAGGATGGGCCCTAATCCAATTCAATTGGTATCCTTACAAGAAGAGACACTTTGGACACATCATGGGACCCCAGGAATGCTTGTGCACAGAAGAAAGACCATGTGAGAACACAGCAAGAAGGCAGCCATCTGCAAGCCAAGGAGGGAAGCTTCAGAAGAAATCAAGCCTGCCAACACCTTGATCTTGGACTTCTGGCCTCCAGAACTGTGGAAAATAAATTTCTATTGTGTAAGCCACCCAGTCTATGGTATTTTTGTTACAGCAGCAAGCACGCTAGTGCAAGGGGAGTGAGAAGTGAACTGACATTTGGGTTAGGTGCTTTATGTCTCTTATACCAGCAGCATGCAGCAGGAGGAGTCAGGCCAGATCCGAGTTGGAATGCCAGCTCTCCCCCTTACAAGGTGAATGACCTTGGGCAAGTGACATCACCCTCTGAGACTCACATTCCTCCTCTCACAGAAGAACAATATACATGTTAGAGAACTCTTGTGAGAGTTAGACACAGTATGTGTAAAGAACCTGGCATAGTGCCTGGCCCATAGTAGATGCTCAGTAAGCAGTGGTAGTAACCACTGTTATTTCAGGTATTGACAATGGAAAGGCAGGTTTTATCCAGTTACTCAAGTGAGAAAACTGAAGCTCAAAGATGTTAAGTGACTTGCTTAAGATCACACAGGTAGAAAGTGATGGCCATGGCCTCCTTCCCAGGAAGCCTAGAATCAGAGAAGAGCAGGAGCATCATCTTGCTGCACAGTGAGAACCAAAGGCCCCGAGAAGCTCTGTACCCTCCCCACAGACTCACAGCAAGGCCATGGGGGACATGAGATTGGAACCCAAGGTCACTCAAGGCCCCTCCACTGCTTTTGCCACTGCTCTGTGCTCTCAGTATCTCAAACGAAGAGGCACAGCCCTCCTTCTAGCTTCTCCCACTCTGGGAAATCTGTCTCATCCCACCAATGACAGAGCACTCGCTGTGAACACTCTGTGGTGGAGGACATAGGAGCAGATAACCCAGACTTACTCTGGAAATCTTCCTGCGGAATCTTTCGATACTTCGGAGGGCGTCCAATTCTGGAGAAAGACGGACCAGGTCCATGGCAGGGAATCAGTGTCTGGCCCAGTCCAAGAGGCTACAAGGCCCCACACCCCCAGGAAGCCCGGGCCCTGATTCCCTGGCCTCCATACCGGCCGTGATGGCGAGGCTTCTTCCTTGGGGAGAAGCCTGAGAGGTTCTTCTTGCGGGCTGAGGCCTCCGAGTCAGACAGCTCCGCTTTCAGCCGGCTCTGGTTCCTCTCAGCCAGTGGGCAGCCTGAGAGGCAATGGTGAGCTGTGAACTTGCCTGTGACATGGCCAGAGCCGTCGCAACCAGGAGTGGGGCACTTCCTGGGGAAGAAGAGACTTCAGTTGGGTTTAATCCACTGGTCCCCGCTGAGCCCTCCTCAGCCCTGGTCCCAGCTGGAGTGTGTTTTGGTGGACCCCAGTCGCCTGCATGCAGTAAGTGCAAAACAACGCTGAGGGTCTCTCACCAGGAACCTTCACTCACCGGTGGTGAAAGCTGTATTTGGAGGTCCTAGTGTGGGGCAGGCTCCTATAGCTGAGAGGGGGACAGCCCCCAGGGGAGGCAGAGCTGGGCTCTCTGGGTCCTAAAAGAGCAGAAAGGAGGCGGTCCTCATGGAGTCCTGGGGGTGGGGAGTGTGGGGCACGGAAGGAGCAGTTTCCACTGGGGAGATCAGCACTAGAAACCCACTCCCCAAGGATGAGGGCCCTGCGTTGGCTGTGACACCATTCTGTGTTACTGGATATCTGCCCCTCTCTGGGTAAGGAGGGCTTAGCTCTCATATGTTAATACTTTGCTGAAACCTGCAGGCTATGCCCTCAGTCTCTGAGAGAACTCTGGGGGAGAAGAGCCACTCAGAGCTGGTTGGGTGTAGCCATACCTTAGAAGCCACATCTGGCAGATTCATGTCACTCTCAGTTCTTTTTCTTGTTTTCATCCCCAAGACTTTGGTAACTTTTTTAAGGCTCTGCCTATGCTTGGAGAACATTCAAGAAGGATCAACACCCCATGTGAGACAAACACGGTTGCAGCAGGGAAATAAGGAAGGGAAATCCTAAGGGTGAAAATGGGGCTGAGCAGCCCAGTGACCTGAACTCTAACCCCTGCCTGCACAGACAATCAGAATTTACTTTAGGAAGCCATCATGTCCTTAGCAAACAGTGCACGCTCAGTGTGGCTCTGCTAGATGCTGAGAGAAATCCCTGGGTGCCTGACCACCTCTGAAGCACATGCAACCAAGTGAGCTTGCCCCTTTGCACCTCAACACCCCAAACCCCGACAACTGGGGTAGCCAGAAGCACTGCTTAGTGTAGCAGATGGTCCGGGGGTGGGGCAGATGGGGGATTCTGGAACTCATGGTAGGCATCAGAGCCCTCTGTGTCATATTTGGGCATGGGGAGTCAGAGCTCTGTAGGCAAACTATAGGATTGTCAGAACCTGGGGGGAAAGGAAAAGATCAGAGTGCCCTAGGGGTACACACCGAGAGGAGGCTGCAGGGGATGTCCTGTCTTGGAGCACCAGCCGGCAGGGTGGATGTCTGGGTGGTCAGCGTCGATCCAGAAATCATAGCCATGACTCCAGCCATCAAAGTGGATCTGGGGAGGAAAGGCTCTTGGAAGTCAGGCGTTTCTCATGGAGCCCAGCTCAGCCAGAAGGTCCTCTCCCCATCCCTGGGACCTGTCAGAAGCAAGATCCTGGATTGAAAGAACCAAGGGGCCAACCCTGCAATAATCTGTCTTGGCCACCACATTTTCCAAGGGCATCACTCATTAAGTTACTGGCATCTCCCACTGGCAATCCTTAGGTGGGACGAGGATTATTAGGCCCATTTTACAGATGATGTAAGGCTTAGAGAGGGAAAATGACTTGTCCAAGCCCACAAAAATAAGTCACAGATGAGGCAAGAATGAGATTCAAGATCTTTGGCTTCATCTCTCTCATGCCATGATGCCCCTGACCTCTAAACAGTCTACAGAATTCCTGCCCAACTGGCCTGTCCACTTCCCAGCCCTAGGGTCCCAGAGCCACCTTTATCCGATGGTCCTCCACATCCTCCACGCTGGCCACGCGAATCAGGGCTGGGTTCCTGCGGTCCACAGCCTCCAGCTTCATATTGACCAGGAAGCTGTGAGGGGGTCGCTGCAGAGGGGACAGCTGCCTTCAGGGCAAGGCGCAGCTCAGCAGAGCTGAGCCCCACAGAGGGAGCCCAAATGCTGTGCCTGGGGAAACTGGGGCCTGCCCAAAGGGGAAGGCTAGGGCCCCAGCCTGGCTAGCTGAGTGCTCCATGTCTTTCTGAGCTCAGCTCTGGGGTCAGGGAGCACTGACTCACCACCTTGAAGGCCCAGGTGGGGACAGCAGAGGCCCCAGTTTCTTCCAGATATTTCTCCCAACAGAAGTTATCAGGGTCTGGGTAGTCTGGAGGAGAGGATGAGAGCAATGTCTAGCCACCCAGGTGTACTGCGGAAGCCCTCTGCCCCCAAGCAGGACCAGGAACATGGAAGGGACAGAAGCCCTTGGAGTAGAATCTCTCCCACCATCACCACAGCCAGCTCCTTGCACTGGGCTCCTCAGGCAGATGGGTGCTAGTAGAACCAAGCAAGGCACCACCCTAATAGTTCACAGGGCTGTCTGGGAACCCTGACTCCTGTCACTCTTGGCCTGTTGCTCCCACCCCAGCCCCATTTGAATCTCTACTGTATTTGGGCCAATGCAATACTCCCAGGATGAAGGACTCATTTTCTTTACTTCTGATTCCCTGTTTCCTTGCTGAGATGGTCATGTAACTTTCTTCCCCTAAACCCCAGTGGAGTCAGGGTTTGACAGGAGTCTCCTAAAATCAAAGGGTTCTCAACTCCCAGGCCAAGAAGCTGAGGCTTCAGGACATGTCTGTTCTCTCACCCTGACCCTAGAGAGCCAGCTACTGGGGCACTACTGGTGAGGGGTCAGTGGAGAGGGAAGCAGAGCCAGGCTTAGGAAAGGGGGCTTGCTCAGGCTGCAGGGTCACCTTGTGGAGGGGTGAGGGGCTTTCCTTGCTTCTGGCACCAGCCCACTGGGTGGATGTAGGGGCTGCTGGGATCACACCTGAAATCCAAGAACATGTCACTGTCCCAAGAGAAACTTGAGGCCCTGAGCCTGCCATCCTCTGAAAGCATGGCTCAGGGCCCACCCTCATCTACTTCTTAGTGAGAGGGAGACAGATGGCAAGGACAAAGTTAGAAAATTGCAACATGAATTACAAACTCTACCATCACCATAATATCTAAGGGAAAATCATGAATCATAGGGGCTTGCTCATCTTAACCATGGTATTTTTAGATGAAACATTTAATATTGAGCTGTATTTCTTATGATAAAGCTCAATTCAATTATCTTCCAACCGGAGGAAGATCTGAATGTCAGAACTGGACTGAGTGGTGCCACATGGTACCTGAGATATGAAAGCAGTTGCCCCCTGCCATCCCCTCACCCCCTGAGGCCAAGTCTGGGCCCTCCTACTACCAGTAGTCATAAGTATCATCCCAGTTGTCAAAGTGCACCAGGAAGCGGCTGTCCACCACATCGGTCACACTGGCCACGCAGACAAGGGACGGGTTCATGCGGTCAACAGCCTCCAGCTTCATGCCCACCTGGAAGCCCAGGGGTGGGGGACTCTAGGGGAAAAAAAGGAGCTGCCACGGCCAGGGCCAAGCTGGCTAAGACCAGCCCAGAGCCCATTGGCAAACAAAGGAATAGGTTCTCTAGGAAAGCCTGGGGTGTGGGCAGTGAGAAAGGAAGGAGAAATAAGCTGGGAAAGAGGGCCCTCCAGGGCAGAATCATAACCTGAGCCCTGAGGCACTCAGGAACCTCTGGCCTCCAAGGTGCACTCAGAGGCCTGGCTTGTGTCAGAAGGTAAGTGCCTGGAAGGAGGCTATGCGTTCGCCCAAAGAACCTGGTGAACCAAGTATAAATCTTCCCTACCCAGACAAGCCCTTCCCAGCTTGTCCTGAGGCAGTTGTGGCAACAGTGGGGTGGCTGGGAAGAAACAGCGGACATCTATGGCATAGAGGCAGACAGGGAACCAGTATAAACTGAGTACCTGCCATGTAAGCTTCAAAAGACATCACCTCCTTGGACCTTTACAACAACCCTATTCCCATTTAAGAAGTTAAATCACTTGGCCCAGAACACAATGCTAGTCAACGGCGGGGCCAGTATTTAAATAGTTTGAATTAAAAGTCGGCATTCGTTGTCACAACAGCAGGCAGGACCCCACCTGTCACCTGGGAACTTGCAAGTATGAACTCTGGGGCTGGACTGGGGTAGGGGAGTAACTGTCTCTGCCTGAAGAGCATGGTGGAGTCCTGGGCCCAGGGAAACTCTAGACATTCAATATGGTTTTTTTTCTTTAGACACAGGGTCTCACTCTGTCGCCCAGGCTGGGGTACAGTGGTACAATCATAGCTTGCTGTAGCCTTGAATTCCTGGGCTCAAACAATCCTCCCAGCTCAGCTAGCTACTGTGGTATCTAGGACTACAGGCACATGCACCATGCCCAGCTAATAATTTAATGACATTTTTTGTACAGATGGGGTCTCACTATGTTGCCTACGCTGGTCTCAAACTCCTGGGCTCAAGTGATCCTCCCGCCTCAGCCTCCCAAAGTACTGGAATTACAGGTGTGAGCCACCGCACCCAGCCAGTAAGACTGATACATACTTCTTTTTTTTGAGACGGAGTTTCGTTCTTGTTGCTGAGACCGGAGTGCAATGGCGTGATCTTGGCTCACTGCAACTTCCGCCCCCCAGGTTCAAGCGATTCTCCTGCCTCAGCATCCTGAGTAACTGGGATTACAGACACCCACCACCACGCCCAGCTAATTTTTTATATTTTTAGTAGAGATGGGGGTTTCACCATGTTGCCCAGGCTAGTCTTGAACTCCTGACCTCAGGTGATCCACCCGCCTCAGCCTCCCAAAGTGCTGGGATTACAGGCATGAGCCGCCACACCTGGTCCAGTATGATATTTTTAATGGAGGCTCCCTGTATCTCTTAGGCCTTTTGGTTGGGATTATGAGATACTTTAACTGCTGGATAAGCTGCCAGCTGCCCTGAACAGAGGAAAGGACAAGGGATGAATTGTTGGAAATAAATGGAAGAGTCTCAATGTTGGGCAAAAGGAAAGAAAAAGAAGCTCCCAGAATAGAGGCATTGACCTTACACCAAAGAACTGCAGAGCAAGCCAAAGCAAGAATATATGAGCAATGACATCTCAGTGCTCAGACTAGGGTAGTGGGCCAGGGGCTCCAAGGGGATGTGAGGACAGGGTATCTGCAGTAGCAAAGGAGGGAGGGAAGTCGGGAAAAACCTATAACCAGCTTCCCATCTCTGGCCCTGGACCCTGCCCAGCTGTACCCCTCCCATCTGATATGAGAGATCAGAACAAAGCTGAGAGAACCAGCACATGAGCTCCCTTCTGATGAGTCAGATACCCTGGGCCAGCTGCAGTGAACTCTGGCACATGGGAGTGACATCCACTCTCACTCAGGGGCACTCACGTGGCTCTGGCTCACAAACAGGTGCTTGGGGGCAGCCTGAGCTCTTGTGCTGCGCAGGTACTGGCTCCAGCTGAACTCCTCCTCCTTGTAACCTAGGCCCCTCGAGGGGCATGAACAGAGCGCCGTGCAGAGGCTGGGCCACAGCAAGGGCACCCCACAGTGAAGCAGCAGAATCAGGCATGCCTGAGGACCTCCCCCCAACCCTCAAGAACTTGCCCAGGGATTCCCCACTACTGAAGCAGGACACGACTTGAGTAGACACTCAAAGGGCAAGTGCAAAGCGGAAGTTCTAGGGCTTCTGGTCAACTTGGCCCCAGCGCAGAGTCATCAGGATGCGATGAAGAGAGGCTGGCTTTGGAACAGGGTACAGGGTCAGAAAACAAAAGAGCTGGAAGCCGGGGACCCAAGGGGAAGAAGCGAAGGGTCTGAGGACTCACTGCCTCACTGTGACCAACCCAGCTAGGCCTTACCTTTGGGAGGCTGCAGCTTGTGGCCCGTCTTCTCGAACCAGCCAGCAGGGTGAATGTCAGGGGAGTTGGCATTGACCCAGAAGTCATGGCACTCAGAATACCCATCAAAGTGCAGGCGTAGGCGATAGCCACATACCTGGCCCCATGAGGGGAATCAGGAACTCCAATGTCAGGAGATGCCCCACTCCCCATCTGCCTCACCTCTCCTGGCCCAGTCTGGTGGTCTCAGGGGCTCTAATGCTAGCAGGTTCCCCAACCCCACCTTTCTTTCCTCCCAATTGTACCCCACCCTGTCCTATTCTACAGTGAGGACAGTTCATGTACTCATGAGCCCTGAGTTCTGGATGCAAGGGAGGTGGACCCTATGACAGCTTCCTGCCCTTTTGAGCCCTGGACAGAATTCTGAGGGCAGCCACCAAGGCTCAGGACTGCTGAGGGCTCCTGATGACCGCTCCCTCTGCTACCTTCTCTCACTGCTCCCCACTCGCACTCTGCTTCCAGTCTTGCTGAGCTAGTGGCAATTCCTTGAAGGTAGCAGTCTGTTCCATGCCCCAGGGCTTTTGCCCACTTTGCTCCTTCTGCCTGGAGCTCCCTCCTTATTCACAACTTATCTCTCAAGACTCTGCAAAGGAGGCCCTTCCTCTATGCTTTTGCTGCTCCTCAGACAGAACTGACCCAACTGTGCCTCCCAGCTCAAGTCTGCTGCCACCCCTGTGGCATGTCACTGACATGTTTATTTGGCTGATTCCCCAGACAACTGTGAGCTCCTAGAGGACAAGGACCTTGTTTGACTCATGCCAACATCCCTGGCCCTCGGGATCTCCTCAAGCTCCCCCAGAGTGGACAGTATACATTCATCCAATAATAGGACTGTCCCATGAACTCCATCTGGTTTTTGTTGTTTTAAGCTTTCTATGTATTCCAGCTTCATCCACTACTAGATTGTGTGTGCTCTGAGGGGAGGGAGGTGTTTCCTTCTATGTCCCCAGCAAGATCCATCAATCTGCACTGAGAGACATCATCAGAAAGGTGGTACCAAGCCCCAGCTCACCTCAGCCACGGTGAGGATGAAGTACATGGACGGGTGTTGAGGGTCAATGCCTTCCAACTTCATGCCCAGTTTGAAGCCATTCTTGTTGTGAGTGACTGCCTGGGACTGTCAACGCACAGAGTGGAGAGGACCCAGCTTCCATCCAGCCTTATCCTTGCCTAGTGGGCTTGGGGTGAAGGAGCTGCCTTTAGGCCCCACCCGCCTGGTATTTCCAAAGGGGCAACTTATTTGGGGATCGTTACTACAGGGATCTAGAGAGAGAGAGAGAGAATATCTCCCAGGTCCCTTGAAAAATGTGGGTGAGTCAGGGCTGGACTCAAGGGCTCCCTCTCACCAAAGTCATGGAAAGATCAATGCTGAATTGAGTAGAAGTCACCAGAATTCAAAAGTCTGCAGGCCCAGTGATGAGTGAGCCTAGCTTCCACCTCTCTGTTTCTTCCCACCCTGCCAGCCCCTTATGGGGGGCCCTTTTCCACTCTGGGCCCCTAAACAGTCTCTCCCTTTCCATTCTGCCAGTCCACTGAGGCATGCCTGACACAGAAAACGCCAGAAGGCCTGAGGTTGGTGGTGTGTCCCTAGGCTAGGAAGACAAGCTGTTCCTACGGGGAAATTGTCCAACTCACGTCCTGGAAGAGGCTGACTGGAGCAGTAATGGCCTTCTGCTCCTCTAGGTAGGACTCCCACGACCAGCATTCCTTCTTCTCACCTGTTGCTGTGGAAAGGGGACAGACAGGCTAACTCCTGGGCTGTTCCTGATATATGACTTTCTTCGGCTTCCCCTGACCAAGCTCTACCTTCACCCCCAAAACAAATCTTTGTCTGTGTTCACATGTACCCTCTGGTCCCACCCACCATGATGGTGCCAGACACGGGGCTGAGGGGAGGCTCAGTCTCAGGTGTGGCTACACCAAATTCTGCCCGTCACTTCCCCCCCACCCGCTCAGGCCACTGTCAGCAGAAGTACTCTGGATTATTCAGCAACTGACTGAAGTTACAAAGTCTCAGCCACAGAGGGACCCTGTCCTCTGACATGACAAAGCTGAGTGACAAGTCCTGTGCCAGAGAACTTAATCACAATGCCATCTAAACTCACAAGGAAAGGAGAGGAAAAAGAGAAATGAGAGAGAAAACATGAAAATAGGAAGAAGTGGAAGGGTTGGGAGAAACAAGAAACACGGCTGGGCATGGTAGCTCACGCCTGTAATCCCAGCACTTTGGGAGGCCGAGGCAGGTGAATCACTTGAGGTCAGGAGTTCGAGACCAGCCTGGCCAACATGGTGAAACCCCGTCTCCACTAAAAATACAAAAATTAGTTGGGCGTGGTGGTACATGCCTGTAATCCCAGCTACTCGGGAGGCTGAGGCAGGAGAATTGCTTGAACCTGGGAGGCAGAAGTTGCAGTGAGCCAAGATCGCACCACTGCATTCCAGCCTGGGCAACAGGGCAAGACTCTGTCTCAAAAAACAAACAAAAAACCAAAAATTATCCAGGCGTGGTGGCACACGCCTGTAGTCCCAGCTACTTGGGAGGCTGAGGCAGAAGAATTGCTTGAATCCAGGAGGCGGAGGCTGCAGTGAGCCGAGAACATGCCACTGCACTCCAGTCTGGGTGACAGAGGGAGCCCCTGTCTCAAAAAAAAAAAAAAAGAAACACTTTTTTGATCCTTCTTCCCCTGAACACTTACAGAGACTTACACAAATGTGTATATGTGTGCTTGATGGGTACCCCCAGAGTGGATATACTGATTCCACAGCCCTCCCAGACACACACAGCCTATGTGCACACACACAGCCTATGTGCACACACACATACACTAACACACATACACTATGGTCAGGACCTACAGCCCAGGTCCTGTCCATGCCTCCAAGTCTCAGGGTCCTGGGGAGGGAGATGAATACTCCTGCAGCACCTTCAATCTAACCTGAGGTGGAGTCCTAGCCTCTAACAGAGGACAAACACCCTTTAAAGGCTAGAATATCCAGTTACATGTAGGCTGACCAGATTAGCATGAGCTGCCTCCAGTCGAAGGCTACAGACAACTAAAGACGTAACAACTCACAAGAATCAATTCATATCCCTTAGGTAAATAGCTCCAGCTTCTTCTAGAAACTTCTACACCTCTATTTTGTCATCTGTGAAATGCAGATACCCACCATACAGGATCACTATGATGATTAAGTCAGATCTATGTATAAAAGATCCTTATGAAATACAGAGTGCTGGACTTCTGTTACCAGTGCTTCCTGGGTCTTCACTAAGGCTGTAGGACTGGATTCTAGCTCTGCTTCTCTTGGCTACTACCCTGGATAATTCAGGCTTGGAGTGGTCTGTCTCTCAGGAAGATGCTTTTTCCCTTTTTGCTTTAGTTGGGACCTAAGTGGCTAGAGGCACCTGTTTTTTGTTTTTGTTTGTCTGTTTTGAGACAGAGTCTCACTCTGTCGCCCAGGCTGCAGTGCAGTGGTGCAATCTCAGTTCAATGCAGCTTCTGCCTCCCAGGTTCAAGCGATTCTCCTACCTCAGCCTCCGAGTAGAGATTACAGGTGCCCACCACTACACATGGCTATTTTTTAAATCTTTAGTAGAGACGGGGTTTCACCATGTTGGCCAGTAACTCCTGACCTCAGGTGATCCGCCTGCCTTGGCCTCCCAAAGTGCTGGGATTACAGGCATGAACCACCGCACTCGGCCTAGAAGCACCTGTCTTGCAGCTGCCTAAATTCCTCAGACACTGTACCAAACCTTGAGATCTCAACTGCCTGATCCAGTTGGGCCACAACAGATATTTTGTTCATCAATGGATCAAGCAAGCTATCAAACTCTCAAGGACCTACGCGGAAACCAATCTAGAGCTCATCTCTTCCGGCTATCCTTTGTCCTGAGTATAACATATCACCTACTATGTTCCCTCAAGAAACCCTCCAGTTCTCCCACTCAGTCTTCCTCCATTCTTACTGAGTAGGGCAAAGAGAAGAGAGAGTAGACTTCAGGATGCCATCATCCTGCTGCTTCTTGCCACTGGGATTCCACATCATCATGCATAAGACCTCTTCACTTTTCCCAAATCTCTTCTACTATGACAGAACCCTTCCCAACAGCCATTTCTTCCTCCCTGGATGACTTTCTTCTTTTTGCCTCACTCTTCCCAAACCGTAACATCAGCTAAGGGGCTGACTACCTGCCAGATTTCTTGTCTCAGGCGCCTCTGCTGCTCTTTGGTGCTTCAATTCTCAGCTTGCTTCCCTTTACCCATACTCCAGAGACCAAGCTCTGAGACCCCCATGCCACAGCAGACACCTCTGACCAACACCCTCTTTATCTGCCATTATCTCTTACCACTGGTCCCCTGAAGATGTCCCTCCCTGGGCCTGTACTATCTTCATATTTGCTCACTAGTCACAACACTTACCAAGTATACATTCTTCAGTTTACCACTATGCACCTCTTCATTTGACCTTCACCATTCCTTTTACCATTTAATGGTTAAACCTGTGTGCCATGTCTGGTACTAGAAATTGGGGGTACAGAGATGCCGGAAAGACTTCATATACATGGTCTCCTTGAGTCCTCATAATGCCCTTAGATGATAGGGAGGGCTCATAGTAACCCCTTTCACGGGTGAGGACAAGATTCAATGTAATCCACTGGAAAGAGGCCTGACCACCAAATCCTTCAGCAATTACTAGATTCCTTCCCTGACCAACACCCCCAGCCAAATTCAGTTTCCTGCCTCCTTTTTCTATTGTTGAACAATGGGCTGAGCTCTTAGGCATATCCCTAAACCCAAGTAAGTCCCAAGGCTCCTGTGTATGGTTGTATAATCTGTGCACTATACATAGGTACCCAGCCAAGGGTGTGAATGGGGCTAAAATCCATCCTGGGCTTTCTGCCAAGCCAAGTGGCTGAGTCTACTGTGAAGAAAGGTTGCCCTTTTCTAATTGGTCTGCCCTGGAGAGATGCTTTTTTTTTTAATAACTTGTACAAAGGTACCATATTGGCTAGCGGTGGCACTGATCCTCTCTCCACTTCCAGAAATGCTCCTTTGTTTATTCCTGCTTCCTTAGACCAGATGCTCTTGGATAGCACTTTCTTTGGCAAGCTCAGCCTGATCTAAAACCAAACTTGTAACTTCTCTGCCAAAGCCTGTGGCCCTTTCGGTATTCGTTACCCTAGTCAATGGCGCCACCATCCATTCATCCAGTCACGCAAGCCAGAAACTTGGAAGTGATACTTTATGCCTTTTTTTTTTTTTTTAACTCCCCAGGATCCTTCCATTCTACTGATTCCAACTCCTAGTTATCTCTTGGATCTATATCCATCTCTCCACATTTACTGTCCTTGCTTTGAGCCTAGTCCAAAAGCCTCTTAACTGGTCTCTGCCTCACACTTATTCTACTGCCAGAATACATATCAAATGAAAAAACGTGTTTATTTTCTTTAAGTTCCATGGCTTCTCATTTCCAACCCAAAACCCCAAAATCTAAACACCTTTCCACACCACACACAGCCTTGGTGAACTAGCTACTCCCCATCATGCCAGCTTCATCATGCATTTCCATGCCCCTGAGCCTCTGTGCCTTTGCATAGGTTGATACTTCTGCTTTAAAATCCCACCCCCACCTTGTTCTATTAGCCTATTTTTTTCACATCCTTCAAGACGTAGCCATAGTTCCAGCACCTAGCACAAGACTTACATAAAATAGATGCACAACAAATGCTTGTTAAATGACTATAAGGATGGATGGATGGATGAGTGGATGGATGGATGAATATCATCCCATCTACCCCATGGAACCTTTCTATACTCCAGCAGGCAGAGTTTGTTCTGTGACAGCCCCTTGTATTTACATACCTCAAACATAACACTTATTATATGGTTACATAATAATCTGTTGACATATCTATTTCTGCAACTAGATTATGAGCTCATTAAGTGCTAGTACTGTGTTTTGCTTACTCTGAACTCTTAGTATCTAGCCCACTATCTGGTACATAGGAGGCACTTAGTATTTGTTAAATAAAAGAACAACGATGGAAATAACTATGTATCAAAAACTGAGATGCAGCCAAAGCAGTATTTAGAGGAAAATGACAGCCTTAAATAAACATATTAGAAAAGGAGGATGGCTAAAATTAATGAAATTTAAAAATCAAAATAAATCTGTCTCATGAAGTTAGAAAAGTAAAATTAACCCAAAGAAAATGGAAATAAATTTTTTTTAAAAGACAAATAAAATTAGTAAGTTTCTGGAAAGACTGATTAATAAACAAAGAAAAACTCTGGGAGGCTGAGGTAGGAGGATTGCTTAAGGCCAGGAGTTCCAGACCAGCCTGGCCAACATAGTGACATCCTGTTTCTTTTTTTTTTTTTTTTTTGAGATGGAGTCTCACTGTCACCCAGGTTGGAGTGCAGTGGCACGATCTCAGCTCACTGCAACCTCCGCCTCCCCGGTTCAAGTGATTATCCTGCCTCAGCCTCCCGAGTAGCTGGGATTACAGGTATGCGCCACCACACCCAGCTAATTTTTTGTATTTTTAGTAGAGATGGGGTTTCACCACGTTGGCCAGGCTGGTCTCAAACTCCTGACCTCAGGCAATTCGCCCGCCTTGGCCTCCCCTATTTCTATCTTTAAAAAAAGTTAAAAATAAAAAGAAAATAAGAGAAATTTAAAAATGTCCTATAGATATTAAAAGGATAAGGAGATCTTGTTGACCAGTACAGACCTTCAGGAGAGCGGTGCAAATGCAGGCCTGCTATAGTCTACTGTCTGCACAGGACAGGGTGAGAAGAGAACAATGCCGCAGGATACTGGTCCACTAGTGCCTTTGCACTGGTTTGGGTTTTGGCTACGCAGCACTGGTTGCCTCTGGAGGGATCACTGACTATGCAAAAGCAGGTAGAATGCTATTCCTCTCTGGGGGTTTAACAGGCCTGGGTGCTTATCAGCTCTCAGGATCCAAGGGATGCTTGGGTTTTCCTTGCTACGTCTGAGACCTTGGCTGGCATTATGGGAATGAGATTCTACCACTCTGGAAAATTTATGTCTCCAGGTTTAATTGCAGGTACCAGTTTGCTGATGGTCGCCAAGCTTGGAATCAGTACGTTGAACAAACCCCATCAGTAGCAGTCATCTTCCAGCTTGGACTCTTTAAGAATTAAAAATCTTCAAACTTCCACTATTTTCAAGGTATTAACAGAAATAAGTACAGCATTTTTGCATATTCTGACATTTTACTTTATTTATTTTTATTATTTTTTTTTGAGACAGGGTCTCACTCTGTCACCCAGGCTGGAGTGCAGTGGCGGATCTCGGCTCACTGCAACCTCCGTTTCCCAGGTTCAAGTGATTCTCCTGCCTCAACCTCCTGAGTAGCTGGGATTACAGGCGTGCACCACCATGCCCAGCTAATTTTTTTTTTTGTATTCTTATTAGCGACGGGGTTCGCCATGTTAACCAGGCTGGTCTCAAACTCCTGAGCTCAAGTGATCCACCTGCCTTGGCCTACTAAAGTGCTGGGATTATAGAGGTGAGCTACCATGCCCGGCCATCTGACATTTTACTTTAGGAAAAAAAAAAAAAAAAAAAAGACACCGTTGGCCGGGCACAGTGGCTCATGCCTGTAATCCTAGCACTTTGGGAGGCCAAGGCGGACGGACAGCTTGAGATCATGAGTTTGAGACTAGCCTGGGCAACATGGCGGAACCCTGTCTCTACAAAAATACAAAAATTAGCCAGGCACGGTGGTGTGCGCCTGTAGTCTCAGCTACTCAGAAGGCTAAGGAGGGAGGATGGCTTGAGTCTTGCAAGGCGGGGGTCACAGTGAGCGGACATCGCACCACTGCACTCCAGCCTGGGTGATAGAGCCAGATCCTGTCTCCAAAAAAAAAAAAAAAAAAAAAAAAAAAAAAACTTAGCAGGGAAAAATTCAGTTACCATTACAATCCCACAGATACCCTAATACAGTTTGATTCTTGTGTATTGATATTATATCTTCTTTCTGTATCATTTTTTTGAGACGGAGTTTTGCTCTGTCGCCCAGACTGGAGTGCAGTGAAGCGATCTCAGCTCACTGCAACCTCCGGTTCACGGGTTTAAGTGATTCTCCTGCCTTAGCCTCCTGAGTAGCTGGGACTACAGGGGCACGCCACCACGCCTGGCTAATTTTTGTATTCTTAGTAGAGATGGGGTTTCACCATGTTGGCCAGGATGGTCTCAATCTCCTGACCTCGTGATCCACCCGCCTCGGCCTCCCAAAGTGCAGGGATTATAGGCGTGAGCCACTGCACCTGGCCTCTTTCTGTATCTTATAGGTAAAATCTCAAGGAATAAAATGTTAAGTGGCAACACTGGGGGCTCTGAAACCTCATGCTGTGCTCAGAGGAACAGTGTGAAGAAAATCTCTTATGATATTTAGGATATCTGTTCTTTTGCTCATCTTAGGGCACAGAGCTACTTTGAAATTACGTTAAATGGAGTATCAGTGAAAATAAAGTTTACTATAAATAAAAAAGGGGAGCCAGGTGCAGTGGCGTATGCCTGCAGTCCCAGCTACTCAGAAGGCTGAGGCAGGAGGATCGCTTGCACTCAGGAGTTTAAGGCCAGTCTGGGCAACACAGTAAGACCCTGTCTCTAAAAATAATGATAAAAAATAAAATAATTAAAAGGGGGTATTATGAACTTTACGCCCTTTTGATGAATTCCTTTCTTAATCACCTAGTCTCATGCCTACCTCTACACACTAGTGAAATTGCTCTCTTCAGTTACTAAGGTCAAAATCCAATGACCTATTCTTATTCTTCAACTCTTGATCTTCACGTGCTCCCAACCACCCATTCCATCTTGGCATTTCTTTCTTACCACACTCTCTTAGCTCTATTCTTCTTTCTCCTCCTGCCTCAACCCTGCTCCTCAATGGTGCAAACCTAGAAACCAACACAGTACTTCCCTCCCATCTTCTTTCCTTTCTTATTCCTTCGGGAAGCTTCTTCAGCATACTTTCAGTTATCTCAGTATAGATAATTAAAAAATTAATGGCTCTAGTCAGACCTTTCACTACAATGTCTACAGAAAATGTAAAGGGAAGAACAGAATGCCAAGATTCAAGAATCAATTAATTACAAGCAGTCATCAGGGTACCACTATGTGCTGGGTCTTTTTGCTTTCAATTTGCTACAGAGATATTTGTGTGTTTGCCTCTCCTATAGAGCATGATTAGCCAATTCATAATTAGTTCATTTTAAGACACTGAAAGTTTAACCAAGAGCCTGATACTTATGTTTAACATGTGCCTTATAGGGATCTACGCCTGGGAACACCAAACTGAAGAGGCTGGGCTCCAAAATGTTATAGTCTATTGTTTACCTGGTGTCAGCCATTAAAATTGCCTTTGGTTTCTAGGAAGTATAAATGGACCCTTTTTGAAAATGTAATGAAAGCCATGGACAATTCACATAAACAAGTCACAGAATTTTGCATGTAAACTTAGATTAAGGACCACAGTTAAGTAAGTGCTGCTTTAAGTAGCATGCTGATCCATGTCTGGTACTGAATTACACACTCATATTCTCAACTTGTTCACCAACTCCATATGGCAGTCCTTGTATTTCAATATAAAATCTGTTTTTTAAACCCAATTTAAAAATGGGCAAGGATCTGAATAGACATTTCTCCAAAGAAAATATATAAATGGCAAATAAGCACATGAAAACATGCTAACATCATTAGCCATCAGGGAAATGCAAATCAAAACCACAATGAGATACCACTTGATAACCTCTAGAATGACCATAATAAAAAAGATAATAACAAGCATTGGTGAAGATGGGGATAAACTGGAATCCTCATATACTGCTGGTGGGAATGTAAAATGGTACAGACACTTTGAAAAACAGTGTGACAGTTCCTCAAAAGGCTAAACATGGAGTTACCATATGGCTGAACAATTCCACCCCTAAGTATATACCCAAGAAAAATGAGTCCATATGTCCACACAAAAACTTGTATACAAATGTTCATACTGGCATTATTCATAATAGCGCAAAAGTAGAAGCAATCCATATGTCCATCAACTGATGAATAAACAAAGTGTGGTATGCCCATACAATGGAATATTATTCAGCAATAAAAAGAAGCACATACAGCCTAAAATATGTAAACCTTGAAAACATTGTGCTAAGTGAAGAGCCAGGCATACAAAACCACAATATATAATTCCATTTATATGAAATGTCCAAAATAGGCAAATCTGGTATACAGAAAGCAGACTGCTGGTGGTCTTTAGGGGGAATGATGGCTAATAGATATATAGGACTTCTTTTGGGAGTGATGGAAATGTTTTGGTGATGGTTACAGAACTCTGTGAATACACCAAAAAAAAACCCCACTGAATTGTACACTTCAAATGGATGAATTGTATGGTGTGTGAATTGTATCTCAGTAAAGCTATTAAGAACCGGTACCTTATAAAAATGTATGGAAAAAGCACTAATCATTAAAAAATTGACAAATTGGGCACCATCAAAACGAACTTTCTGCTCCTTAAAAGACACCATTTAGAAAAAACAAAAAACCAAGAGCAGGGTGCCTGTAGTCCCAGTTACTCAGAAGGCTTAAGTAGAAGGATCCCTTGAGCCCAGGAGTTTGAGGCTACAACGTGCTATGACTGCATTGTGAATCACTACTGTACTCCAGCCTGGGCAATACAGCAAGACCTCATCTCTTTTTCTTTTTTGAGATGGAGTTTTGCTCTTGTTGCCTAGGCTGGAGTGCAATGGCACGATCTCAACTCACTGCATCCTCCGCCTCCCAGGTTCAAGCGATTCTCCTGCCTCAGGCTCCCAAGTAGCTGGGATTATAGGCATGCGACGCCATGCCTGGCTAATTTTGTATTTTTAGTAGAGATGGGGTTTCTCCATGTTGGTCAGGCTGCTCTCGAACTCCCGACCTCAGGTGATCTGCCCGCTTCGGCCTCCCAAAGTGCTGGGATTACAGGAGTGAGCCACTGCACCCAGCCTTTTTTTTTTTTTTTTTTGAGTCAGGGTTTCCTTCTGTCACACAGGGTGGAGTGCAGTGGTGCACTCTCAGCTCACTGCAACCTCTGCCTCCTGGGTTCAAGCGATTCTCCAGCCTCAGCCTCCCGAGTAGCTGGGACCACAGATGCTCAACACCATGCCCAGCTAATATTTGTATTTTTTGCAGAGACAGGGTTTCACCATGTTGCCTGGGCTGGTCTCGAATTCCTGAGCTCAAGTGATCCATCCACCTCAGCCTCCCAAAGTGCTGGGATTACAGGGACCATGCCTAGCCTTAAAGTGTATTCTTTTTTTTCTTTTTTTTCCCCCTGAGACAGAGTCTTGGTCTGTTGCCTAGGTTGGAGTGCAGTGGCGCAATCTCGGCTCACTGCAACCTCCTCCTCCCAGGTTCAAGCTATCCTCCTGCCTCAGCCTCCCGAGTAGCTGAGATTACAGGTGCGAGCCACCATGCCTGGCTTTTTTTTTTTTTTTTTTTTTTTTTTTTGTATTTTTAGTAGAGATGGGGTTTCACCATGTTGGCCAGGGTGGTCTCAAACTCCTACCTCATGATCCGCCTGCCTCGGCCTCCCAAAGTGCTAGGATTACAGGCATGAGCCACCGTGCCCGGCCTTAAAGTGTATTATTTATCATACCTTTATCGTAGGTATGGATAGGAAAAAAAACAGTATCCATAGGGTTCAGTACTATCCATGGTTTCAAGCGTCCACTGGGGTTCTTGGAATGTATTCCCTGCAGATAAAAGGGGACTACTATAACTGTGAACACAGTCAGAATATCTATTAACGACTAAGTAAGTTGTAGAAACTTGCAATGGTGTGTTAGAAAATCATCATTCACAAAATATGGTTATCGAAAAGGAGAAGATCTATGAGACAGAAGGCCTGAATGGGCACATGAGTCACATGTTTTTAACTCTTAAACTACTGGAGCACTCCGTCAGCACTAGGTATGTCAGGTCTGTGGGACGTGAATTGAACAGCTGGCCATCAAACTGCCAAACAGAGTATAGCTCAAACATAGATTCTTCCCACATACAAGAAACTCAAGCAATCCCAACCCCCATTCCCACCCCCCAGATTCTTCTGTCAGAAGACTCTGAAAATGAGAAAACATTTCAGTCATAGATGCAAACTTCTGTCTACTGATACAGTTTCTTTCCTTGGAAAACGAAAAAAAAAAAAAGGCGTTGGGGGAAAATGTCACACTAATATTCACAGTTGAGACAGTGAGTAGTATGCTTCAAAAGATTTGTACTGGTCAACAGGACCCAGCTAAAAGAATGTTGATTTATGAATCTATTTATCTAAGTAAGATACAGTAGTTGAGCCCACAGGAGTTAAGACACTGCTTCTTTCCTCTGCATAAGTCTTAAGAGGCCATAAACCAAAGAGAGCTAAACCTTTGCCTTCTGATATGAATACCATGGGTGAGACATAATAGTGAAGTTCTGGTTTAGCTACAATGGGCAGAAGTTGGAAGAAGCACTATAAAAAGTTCAGAGCCCTGGGTGCAGATTGGGCTCCTCCAGCTGGCACTGGATCCATCAAGGCAGGATAATGTCCTAAGAAATGACCTCATCTGTCTGGTTCTCTGTGGGACGGGAAAGACAGTGACTGAGGCAACTAAGCCATAGTCCAAGAGAAACCATCAACATAAAAATCATCCATTCAATCCATTCATCCACTGAACAAACACTGATTGAGAACTTATTCCATACCAGGCTCTAGCTAAGCACCAGGGATAAAATGATTAATAAAACAGATACAAGAACCAAGTGCAATGGCACATGCCTATAATCACTGCTACTCAGGAGGCTGGGGCAGGAGGATCCCTTGAGCCCAGGAGTCCCAGGCTGTAGTGTGTCTGTGAACAGCTCTACACGCCAGCTTGGGCAATAGAGTGAAACTCCATTTCTTAAATTAAAAATTAAAATTAAAAAAAAGGCTGGGTGCCTTGGCTCACTCCTGTAATCCCACCACTTGGGAGGCTGAGGTGGGCAGATAACCTGAGGTAAGAGTTCGAGACCAGCCTGGCCAACATGGTGAAACCCTGTCTCTATTAACACAAAAATTAGCCACATGTGGTGGCATGTGCCTGTAGTCCCAGCTACTCAGGAGACTGAGGCAGAAGAATTGCTGGAACCCAAGAGGTGGAGGTTGCAATGAGCCAAGATGGCGCTACTGCACTCTAGCCTGGGCAACAGAGTGAAACTCCGTCTCAAAGAAAAAAAAAAAAAGACGACCAGGCGTGGTACCTCACACCTGTAATCCCAGAACTTTGGGAAGCCTAGGCAGGAGGACTGCTTGAGCCCAGGAGTTCGAGACCAGCCTGAGCAACAAAGTAAGATCCCCATCTCTATAACAAAAATTTAAAAAATTAGCCATGCATGGTGGCATGCACCTGTGGTCCCAGCTACTCAGGAGGTTGAAGTGGAAGACTGCTTGAGCCTAGGAGGTCAAGGCTTCAGTGAGCTGTGTTTGCACCACTTTACTCCAGCCTGGGCAACAGAGCAAGACCCGGTCACCCTCCAAAACTTTTAATTTAAAAAATTTTAAAAAAGAAAAAAAAAAACAGATACTGTCCTTGTGTTGATGGTTTTGAGGGCAGAAGAGAGACATTAAACAAACTGCTACACAGTATCTATGTGATTACAAGTATGCTACTTAGCTACAGTTGACAGTTGTCATGTGGGAATGTGGAGATGGTAATTGAGAAGGCCTGAAGGTTGGAGATATGAATGACCTCTGCTCCATTTTTCTTAGAATCAAAGAGTGAGAATAGGGTTCCAAACAGGAATGTTAGACCAATGACCAGTGCAGGCTTGCCCCACCACTAAAGAGAAGCAATGACATGTGGTGCCAGTAAAAGTTACTCAAGTCTTCAAAAATTGAGCCAAGATCTCCCTGGCACTGGGGCCTAGTCATGACTGGATAATAGAGGATAAACAAACACATCATATAACTCCCAAGAAAATACATACACTAATACACAAACCCAAAATAGTCTCTCACTGTCTCTCTCTCTTTCACACACACTAACTCATGCTCATTTATGCATGTACAACCTACCATCACAATCATAACCCACATTCTCAGCCTCACACCTCCAAAGGTATATACACACCTCACACGAATATATATACACACAAGCCACCGTACCAGGCTGGCTGCTGCTCCACTCCTCACTCTCTGGGGTGCTAGCAGTGGGTTGTCCCTCTGGGTCCTTTCCTTCTTCTTGCTTCTCCTGTAGAAGGCAAGCCTGATCCCAGCTTCTTCTCCTCATGGTTTGGGATGAAGCCCTAGGGTCTGATCCTGGCCCCTACCTGGCTCTCTGGCCATGTGGTGTTCTGCCCCAAACAGGCAGAATTTCTTCTAGGCCGCCAGCAGGAGTGCAGCTCCAGCAGACATCCCCCTATCACTTGAGCACAGACTCACATGAGCATGCACATCCTAATTAAACAGCCTGACTACAACTCTCCTTATTATCTGGTAGAGAAACTGAGTACACAAAAACTTCCTTTGTGATGCTCTTACACGCCCAGTAGAATTCATGCTCTGTCCCTTCCAGCTTCTGCAGCTAGAGCCCTGGGTGTTCCCTGGCCTTTGGCCTAGGCACTGGACTCCAGTGATGGAGTTTTCCAGCTGCCTGCACATGTACTTTGGGTGCTAGTTCACCTGACTATGTCTTAACCTTGACACTAAACTGAGATGGGAGCTCTGGAAAATCAAGAGAGTGATTAATTCATTTCCCTTTAACCAGGTATAGGACCTAACTCAGGATGGGACCCCAAAATATGATGAGTGAGTCATTATGCGTGTCTTCTCTGGCCCAGCTCCATAATCTGGATTGATGGAGGGGACAGTGGGAATTGAGGCATAGGCTATAGCTTCCCCCTCCCTTCCCCACTGCCCTCTTCCTACCATGGCCTCTGGCTCCGACTCCTCCTCTGATGGGCTCTGGTATTCCCTGCGCTTCCTCTTCTTCATGGGTTTGAGGAGCTCAGAAGCGCTGGTAGAGCCTGAGGAGTTCTCCACTATGACTGACCTGAGGAAGGGCCAGCCTTAGGGAAAGAACCACCCGCCCTGCACCACCCAGCCCCTCTCCTAACCCCTGAACAGGAATGAGGCTTTGGGGGCTGAAGGTAGAGCAAGTAGGGCTGCGACCTCCTCCCCTTACCGCTCCTGGAACAGCTGAGGGCAGCCATCATTAGAGGAACCAAGATCTGGACCCGCGGCTTGGTGAGGCCCGCACGCCTGGCACTGACAGGTGCTATCATCCTCTGGGGGGTCCTGATTGGGATCTTCTGGAGGATTCTGGGGGTGGTCCTCTGCGGGGGCCAAATGGGCCTCAGGCCTCCCTCCCCATCGCAGCCACACTCAGGCTCCGCCCACGCCCCCTCAGGCCCTGCCTCCGCCTCGGTCCATCTCCGCATCGGATGGCCTCCTCCAGCCTTCTCCACCCCAGGACCACCCCGGGCCCCGCCCCCGAACCTTCTGGGGCTCAGGCCTCGCCCCACCCGCACAGGGCCCAGCTCAGGGCCTGGGGAGCGGGGCTCCTACCCGCCTGTTGGGGGCCCGCCTCGCCATCTCCCGCCGGGGCCCCGCCATCTTCGTATTCGGTCACGCCTTCCTGCCGCAGCTCGGGGCTCGGGGGCTGCTCCACTCCCGCCATGTTCAGCGGCTTATACTCGCTTATCCGGAACTGGAGCGCGGGAGGGTCTGAGGATTGCGACTCCCGTACGGGTCCTTGACCCATCTCGGAGTCGGTGCCATGGCCCTCTCTTCGCCTCATGCCAGCTCACGCCCTCAGCAGGCCTCAAGACTCCACGCCAGGGGGCCTCACTCCAAGCTACACCAGCCAAACCCTCACTCCAGGCTACGCCCCCAAGCACCTGCGGGGTCCAGTCCCAGGGTGCCCCACTCTAAGCCACGCCCCCAGGCTCCCACAGGCCCAGTCCCACGGTACCCCACTCTAAGCCACGCCCCCAAACTAACACAGGCCCACTCAGGGTGCCCCAGTCTAAGCCACGCCCCCAGACACCCACAGGCCCAGTCCCAGAGTGCCTCACTCCAAGCCACGCCCCCATAGTCCCCAGGGCCTAGGAGTGCTTCAACTCAAGCCACGCCCCGAGAGTCCCTCACTCAAAGCCCACCCCTAGGGCCCATCATCTGAGCCAGCTTCCCCCACTTCCGTCTCAGGTCCAGCCTCCGGGCCTGCAAGCCCCGCCCCATGGCTGCGGTTTACGAGGCTTAGCCAATCCCCACAGACACTGACCCGCAGGCCGCCCCCTGGGGGCGGGGCCGCGGCCTCTGTCCATTCCAGAAGCCGCACTGTGCTGGTGCTGGAGCTGGCCGGCCCGGCGCTAAGCTGCGGCAGGACGGTGGCAGAAACTGGTTCGCAGCCGGCCACTTGCTCCGGGGCACCCACATGGATTGGCTCCCGGGGAAAGCAAGACACATCCAGGGCACTGCTGGGCAGGCCGAGGGTGGCCGAACTGGCTGTAAACAGATATACAAATAGACACGACACAGGTGAGTCTAGTGGCCCTACCTCAATCCGGCCATGCATGTGTAGGCATGTGAAGGAAGGCAGGTGGAGGACAGTGAAAACGGTCATCCCCTCTCCAGGATCCACACTTGCTTGAGCAGGTACAGAGATGCTCTTCCTTCCCAGACTCCTACCCTAGCTTGACTCACCTGGAATGATGAAGGCAGTTGCGGGCAGGTGAGGACCAGAACCGGGGCTGTCTCCGGCCACCAAGTGCATGCTGACCTCCCCTGTGGAAGGCCCCTTCAGTGTCCTCAGCATCTCCATTTCAGCATGCCCCTCCATCCCAGCATGCCCCTCCATCCTGGCAGGCCTACAAGCCAAACATAGCCCCCAGGGTGATCAGGTGGGGACCTTTGTTACAGCAGCAATGGAGATGTGAAGGGATGGGGCTTCTTTGAGAAGCTAGCCACCTTCAAACCCGTGACCTGCAGAGAAAGGCCTCAGTCCTGTGGGGAGTAGGGTGTCTTCAGAGACCAGCATCAGGTCTGGCTCCTGTTCTGGCCAGGCCCTGCACCTCCCCAGTCTCTGTAAGGATGGTAAGGATGGGTAGGGTGGCATGTGTGAGGGTACTTTGTAAACTGTGATGTACAAAACTGACTCTGGGGAGCATGACTCAGGTCAAGGTTCTGTGTGGCCAGTTGTCTCCAGGACATAGCCCAGGCCACATCCAAACTCACCTTTTTCTTGACCCCACCTCTATCCCCACTGGAATCACTCCCTCCTCCCTCTGGGGATTCAGAGACCTCAAGTACCAGGTTTTCCTTCACCCATACAGGGTTCATCTTCCTGGGAGGTGGGATCTTTCCTGATCATGTTCTTTTATGGCCCTGTCCACCACTCCCTCCAACCCCAAGCACAGGGTGGGCACTCAAGCATCTGCTGAACAAATGTATGCATCTGAAGAGCAGAGACATAGTGTACGAAGACGCAGTCAAGTCAGTACGTGATTTTGTTTTAATAACGCAAAGGCAGTAGAAGCATTTCACAGAGTTCATTCAACAGGTAAAGACATAAAGAAAAAGACCTAGAGATACAAAGAATATACTTAATATCTATTTACTCAGCACCTAAAATGTACTGACCACTGTCCTACTTGCCTTACCAGCACTGTCCAGTAGAATTTTCTGTGATAATGAGAATGTCCAATACTTAAACTGTCCAACACCGTAGCCACTAGCCACATGTGGCTATTGAGCACTTGAAATGGGCTACTATGACTGAGGAACTGAATTTTTTATTTTATTTAATTTTAATTAAATTTAAATAGTGACCAGAAGGTAGGTACAGTGGTGCATGCCTGTAGTCCCAAGTTCTCTGGAGACTGACACGGGAGGATGGCTTGAGCCCAGGAGTTTGAGGCTAGCCTGGGCAACATAGCGAGACCCTGTCTCTGACAAGAAATAAGTAAATAAATAGCGACAGTAGCTATGACTATTGTATTGGACAGCACAGCTTTAGACGTATTAAAATTGGCCTGTCAGTGCTACCTCCAAAACACACTGAAGGTCTAACCACTTCTCTCCATCTCCATTGCTGCCATGCTAGTCCCAGCCAACATCAGCTCTCTTTGGACTTCTGAAATTGCCTTCTAACCCATCTCCCTGCTTCCTTTCCTGCACCCCTACAGTCTACTCTCCAGTCGAAAAAGCTTTAAAAACATAAACCAAATCACATAATTTCCCTATCTAAATTCTTCAGTGGCTCTCTATTGCCCTTACAGTAAAATCAAAGCACTTTGCCCTAGAAAATCTGACCTCTGCTTTTCCCTCTGGCCTCATCCTCCACCACTCTTCCCCTGTTCTCTCCACTCAACAGACTCTGGTTTCCTTCTATTGCTTGACCAACATTCCCACTCACAGCCTTTGCCCTTGCTGTTCCCTCCCTCTGGAATGCTCTTCCCCAAGCTCTCTGCTTGACTGGCTCCTTCCCATCCTCCAGGCCTTAACTCAATAGTCACCTCCTCAGAAGAGGTCTTTCTTTACCAATTTTTTTTTTTTTTTTTTTTGAGATGGAGTCTCGCTCTGTTGCCCAGGCTAGAGTGCAGTGGTGCCATCTCGGCTGACTGCAACCTCTGCCTCCCAGGTTCAAGCAATTCTCCTACCTCAGCCTCCTGACTAGGTGGGATTACAGGCACATACCACATAGCCTGGCTATTTTTTGTATTTTTAGTAGAGACGGGGTTTCACCATGTTGCCAGGCTGGACTGGAACTCCTGACCTCAGGTGATCCGCCCACCTCGGCCTCCCAAAGTGCTGGGTTTATAGGCGTGAGCCATCGAGTCCGGCCTGACCAAGGAATTTAAAGCAGCAGCACACCCCTCACCCCATCCCACCACTATCTGTCTCATTACTATTATATATTTCTTTCTTTCTCATCCTTCATTATAATCAATAGTGATCTTCAATTATTTATTTCTGTGTTTGATCAGTCATCTCCACATAAATGCTGACCGTCTGTCTTATTCATTGCTGTATCCCCAACACTTAGTACCTGGCACATAGTAGGTGCTTAATAAGTCCTTGTGTTGGATTTCAGTAACTTGAACTTGTTAATAAAAAACAGTGTATGGGGCCGGCTTGGTGCCATGTGCCTGTAATCCCAGCTACTGGGGAGGCTGAGGCAGGAGAATCGCTTGAACCCGGGAGGTGGAGGGTAGAGGTTGCAGTGAGCCGAGATCGTCCCACTGTACTCCAGCCTGGGAGACAGAGCAAGACTCCATCTCAAAAACCAAAAACCAAAACCAAAACAAAAAAACACTGTATGGGCCCAATGCAGTGGCTCACACCTGTAATCCCAGTACTCTGGAGGCTGAGGTGGGAGGACTGCTTGAGCCCAAGAGTTCAAGACCAGCCTAGGCAACACAGGGAGACTCTGTCTCTATAAAAAATTAAAAAATAAAAATAAGCCAGGTGTTGCAGTATATGCCTGTAGTCCCAACTACTCCAGAGGCTGAGGCAGGAGGATTGCTTGAGCCCGGGAGGTCAAGGCTGCAGTGAGCCATGATCTCACCACTGTACTCCGGTCTAGGTGACAGAGCGAGACCCTGTCTCTAAAGAAAAAAAAAAAATTAGCTGGGCGCAGTGGCTCACGCCTCTAATCCCAGCACTTTGGGAAGCCGAGGTGGGTAGATCACCTGAGGTCAGGAGTTCAAGACCAGTCTGACCAACATGGTGAAACCCCATTGCTACTAAAAACACAAAAAAATAAAAAAAAAATAGCCAGGTGTGGTGGCAGGCGCCTGTAATCCCAGCTATTTGGGAGGCTGAGGCAGGAGAATTGCTTGAACCCAGGAGGTGGAGGTTGCGGTAAGCCAAGATCATGCCACTGCACTCCAGCCTGGGCAACAGAATAAGACTCCACCTCAAAAAAAAAAAAAAAAGAAAGAAAGAAAGAAAGAAAATTATAAAACATAATTCCCTGAATTTCAATTCCAATTTGCTTTGCACAGCTGAAGTACTTGTACTATTTTAAATACCTTTAGAGTTAGGCTGGACGTGGTGGCTCACGCCTATAATCCCAGCACTTTGGGAGGCCAAGGTGGGTGGATCGCTTTGAGCTCAGGAGTTGGAGACCAGCCTGGGCAACATGGTGAAACCCCATCTCTACAAAAAGTACAAAAGTTAGCCAGGCAGGCCATGCGTGGTGGCTCACACCTGTAATCCCAACACTTTGGGAGGCCAATCACTTGAGGCCAGGAGTTCAAAACCAGCCTGGACAACATGTTGAAACTCCATCTCTACCAAAAGTACAAAAATTTAGCTGGGCATGGTGGCACACGCCTGTTATCCCAGCTACTCAGGAGGCTGAGGCAGGAGAATCCCTTGAACCCAGGAGGTGGAGGTTGCAGTGAGCCAAGATCGCGCCACTGCACTCCAGCCTGAGTGACAAAATGAGACCCTGTCTCAATAAATAAATAAATAAATAGAGTTAATCTTTTTATTTGAAACACTGGCAGTTAAGAGTGAATGTGGTTACTTCTGAAAGAATTTCACTCTGTGTCAAAACCTGTCACATCTCAGGTCTATTGAAGAAGCTGGATTTGAAGACTACGTTTCTGTTTGGGTTCGCTGCCTCTTTTCCAGCAAGCATGGGAGGACCAAGTAGGTGTCACCACCATTCTGTGCTCTGGGGTTACAGTCACAAACATGACAAAATGCTCTCATGAAGCTTATATTCTGGAGATAATGGATGAGGTTGGGGCTGGAGGTATAAATTTGAAGACCAGCATGTGTAGATGGCATTTAAAACCACAGAACTGGGGCGAGGCCTGGTGGCTCATGCCTGTAATCCTAGCACTTTGGGAGGCCAAGGTGGGAGGATCACTTGAGCCCAGGAGTTTGAGACCAGCATGGCCAACATAGTGAGGCCTCAGCCTCAACAAAAGATTTTAAAAATTAGCTGAACATGGTGGTGCACCCCTGTGGTCCCAGCTACTGGGGAGGCTGAGGTGGGAGGGTTGCTTGAGCCTGGGAGGTAAAGGCTGCAGTGAGCTATGATCACACCACTACACTCGAGCCTGGGCGACAGAGCAAGACCCTGTCAGAGAGAAAGGGGAGGGGAGGGGAGGAAGGAAGGAAGGAGAGAGAGAGAAAGAAAGAAAAAAGAAAAAACCACATAACTGAGTATAAAGAAAAAAGTGGGAACTTTGGAGCACACCCACATTTATAGGTTGGGAAGAGGAAAAGGGTCTAGCAAAAGGGACTGAGAAGGAGTCTGCCATGAAGTGAGGGGGGACTCAGAAGAGTCTGGGTTTCTGGTGGACACTGAAGAAAGTTTTCAGCCTTCTGCCGTCAGCCTCTCTTGGAACTGCTCTGAGCCTAGGGAGCTACCTCACTTGAAGGCTCTCCTAGAAGCCGCCAGCCAATGACGAGTTGCTATGAGGTGTAAAGACCCCACCCCCTTGCCTTACTTTGGAACACCTCTGCAGGGCCATCTCAGTTCCAGAGCTTCCATTAGGTCAGGCTGAGGCCTCTGTTGAGACTACATCAGCAGTTCAGCTTCTTCTTCCGCCCAACCCGTCATTCCCCTACTGGTGATATTCGCAAGAGCACTCCGATAAACCTACACTCAAATCTTGCTATCGGAGTCTGTTTCGGGGGACCCGACCTAAAACAACCATTGTAGCCCCAGCCCAGAGCCGTGCACATAGCAGATGCTCAATAAATATCTGTTGGCTGAATGTGTCCATGGGTATTTTCTCTTGATGTCTGACAAGGTTTTCTCAATCCCTTGCCTTCCAAGGCCTTGTATACAAAAACGACCAATAAATGTCCTTACTATAGGTGTTGGGTGGGGAGTAGAGCCCTCGACAGCTACCCAGAAAACAACACACAGCAAGGCTGAGCGCTACAAACTTGGGGCCTCGGCCCCGCCCCTCGCCGCAGCTGCTTCCCGGACTCGGGAGGGGACGGAAGCGGCCCTGAGCGCAGGGTTCCAGGATCGGGACCCGCCACCAGCCTCCCGGGACTGGTATAGGCAAAGGCGGGCGGGGCGGTCACTGATCCGACAGTTCCGCAGAACGGTTACTTTTTAAAACGCTAAAATGGCGGAATTCTTTTTATTCTTTCTCTTTATGGCCAAAAAAAAAAAAAGAGAGAGAAACAAAAAAAATTCCATATTCCATTATAAAAATCCAAAATTAATGGTAGGAAAGTTTGCCAAATGACTCATTCATTTCCCAAGAAAACCAAAACCCCGCCCTCCACACCTTTCCATTAATAAAAAAACTCTTAATTGATTGCGTATCTCCAAACACGCAGCCTCCACCCTCCTCGCCCCTCCTGATCGCAGCCCGAAGCCACGCCGCAGGGTCGGCTGGGCCTGGAGTCCCGCACCCGCCTGGCCCCCTGCGCGCTCCGCCCAGACCGCTTTCCCCGGCGTTTTCCCGAACCTCCTCCCCAGCCCGCGCCCCCCGCCGGAGGCGCTCGGAAGGAGCGAGACGCCGGGGCCGCAGACCTGAGCCCTCGCCGCCCTGGACGGAGCGGGGTGGCGCGGCGCCCAGGGGACGCAAGGTCTGAGCCCACGCACCGCTGGTTGCTTACCTGCCTGGCCAGCCGGTGGCCGCCCAGCGCCTAGCTACGGTCCGAGCCGGGCGCCGCGCGCCTGCGCGTTCGGGGGGCGGGTCCGCCTCCCTGCAGGACGCAGAGCGCGGGGCCCGAGCGCCGGGCACATCTGCCCGGCCCAGGCGCAGGCCCAGGCTTCTGTGGCGCCCGCGCCCTCTTGCCTGCCTTCGAGGCCCTGGTTGTGCGCGCCTCATGCCCCCTCAACCTAGGACAGGTTTGCCGCACGGGCGTGGCGGGTCGAGATTTTTCCTGCCCCCGAACCCCTGCATCACAGCTAGCAGAGCGCAGCGGGGGCGCAGGGACCGCGGAGCTCGAAGAGAGAGCCTGGAGGGCTACCGAGCTGAGTGGTTAGTGACAAAAGACGAGGCTGCACCCAGGCATGCACCCCAGCCGAGTGTCTGCTCTGTCCAACGCCTTCCCACCGCGCCTGCCCTCACCCTGGAGGGGAGCTCAGGAGCGTCAGAAAACGGCCTCAGGAAGGGTGAAGGGCACGTGCGACCGGAGAGAGGAACCCTCGTGCGGGGACTCTGGTCCTGGCCCTGCCGGGCATAAAGAGCGGCATTAGCCGCGTCTACTTTTGGGTGACCCCACTGCGAAGGGCTGGGTAACATCAGTATCCCCCAGGTCCTCCATTTCGACATTGGTAAAGACTATCACCCACTTCATGGCGTATGGTCGTTTTCAGTTTGGGTTCCTGTGGTGGTGTAGCAATCACTGCCCCTCTCTGCTTCACTTTGACTGATCTCTTCGCCTCCACCTGATCTCTCTAATTAATCAAATCTCCTTGTTATTGGTTCTGGTAACACAAGATACCTGTCTCGCTTACACATACCACAGCTGGCACTTCACATAGATTTGAGTAATTCCAGAGGCTAAGAGGTTTCAAGCTCCAAGAGGGTAGGAAATATTAGTTTTTGTATTCCTAGTACCTAGCCCAGAGCGGGGCACAGAGTGGGTGCTTAATAAATATCTGTTGAGTGACTAAATGATGTAGGGTATGCAGATGAAAACAGGGTAACTTTTGGTACAGTCCACCATCCAGCCCCTCTCCCACACCAATGATTTAATTTAATCCCTTGATTTTACTTGGCCTTAAGTCATGGCCACATGTCAGACCACCAGGCTCCTGATTCCCTCCCAGGCCAGATGAGAAAAGGGTTCCTAATGAAATGTAGGCAAATTCTCCAAATTGCTGTGATCGACAGGTTTAAATTTATGCAGAATTTAACTATTCCGGTTGCCACGCCAACGCATTGCATGTGTTCTTCCTTGCTGCAATGTCAATTTTTAATCACATCTCATATTATTGGGAACAGGATTGCATCAGTTAAGGATGCTGGTTGCCATAACGATGGATGCCTTTTTCTACACATTGATACATACACAACCATCCGCTCAGTATTCTCTCATCTCAACCTAGACTGTGCGTGATCTAGATTTCAAAGGTTTATTTTAGGTATTCAGAAGATTAAAAGAAAGTGGTGAACCTACACAAACACATGGATTCTCAAAAACAAAGGCATCTTTTAGATGGTGATTAAGACGGATAAGTGGAATTTGAGCTAGCAAGACCTAGAAACAAACAACTAACATGGATGTGAGTTGCTAAGACATTATTTTTCTGGCTATCGACAGTATTTTTGTGCCTCACGCCTGTAATCCCGGCACTTTGGGAGGCTGAGGTGGGAGGATTGCTTGAGCCCAGGAGTTTGAGACCAGCCTGGGCAACATGGCAAAATCCTGTCTCTACAAAAAAAAAAAAAAAAAAATTAGCTGGGTGTGGTGGCGCATAACTGTAGTCCTCCCTAGCTACTAGGGAGGCTGAGGTGAGAGGGTCGCTTGAGTCCAGGAGCTCAAGGCTGAAGTGGGCCATGAGTGAGCCACTGCACTCCAGCCTGGGCAACAGAGAGAAATCCTGTCTAAACAAACAAAAAATCTCTCTCCTCACCCAAGAAAAAAACTGTATTTTTGTGGTCTTGATACCTGGCTTGTTGGCTTGAACAGGGGTCAAACAAACAAACCAGGTATCAAGATCACCAAATCCTGGGGTGAAGAGCTGCTACCACGTTAATATGATTTGGAGAAGTTTCTGCCTCATGAAGCCAGAGTTTCCCCTTCCAGTACCAGTCTGCCTTCAGGAGCAAGTAAGCAAGTCCAGTCCTCCCCTCAAGTGATAGCCCCCTCTTCACAAGTTCACAGCCCCCATTGTCTTCTCCATGTTAACCCCCTGCTCAAGCATGGACCCAAAATATTTTGAAATATTGATGAGTCAAAGCACTGAGAAGACTGTTGTTTACGCCAGGCATAGTGGCTCACACCTGTAATCCCAGCACTTATGCCAACGTGGGAGGATTGCTTGACGCCAGGAGTTCAAGACCAGCCTGGTCAACATAGTAATGAAACAAGAAAAGTTCCCTTATCCCCCTAGCAGGGTGTGTGACAGCGGGGGAGTGGCTTGCTTCCTCAGTGCCCTGCAACTCAAACCCTAGGGGGAGCATACAGACGGGCAGGTAGTGGGGAGCGTGGGCTCCAACCCCACAGCAGCATCTAGGGTTGAGTATTTACAGCTCCCGAAGCCTCAGTAGACGTGTGTTACTGTGTGCTCTTCAGTTTAGCCGTCCGTAGACAGCTCGTTTTAATCAGCTCAATTAGACCCTCTGCCTTATTGAAAGGACAGAGAGTTTTCTGTATCCTGGGTTCTTGCCCTAGTGTACTGGAAAAATCAGATTACACATGGGCTTGGAGAATGAGTGCAAGGTTTTATTGAATGGTGGAGGTTGCTCTCAGCAGATGTATGGGGAAACAGAAGGGGAATGGAGTGGGAAGGTGGTCTTCCCCTGGAGTTGCCTGGCTCTCCTTCAACCACCCTCAGCTGAATTTCCCTAGGCATCCGCATCCTTCTGCAGTTGATGGCCTGTCAGCGTCCGTGTGTTCTTCTGATGTGTTCCTCTCCATATCCAGCCATTTGTATGTGTGCCCACTAGGGTATTGGGGTTTATATAGGCACAAGATGGGGGGTGTGCGGGCCAGAGTGGTCTTGGAAAATGCAACATTTGGGCACAAAAACAGGAGTGCCTGTCTTCACCTGGGTCCATGGGTGGGGCCCTCACCAGGGACCCTGCCTTTCTCTACCCAGCACTTCCCTGCCCCACTCCTGTATCAATGACAGACCCCCTCCAGTCTCTACAAAAAAATTAAAAATTAGTTGGGTGTGATGGCACATGCCTATAGTCCTGGCTACTTGGGAGGCTGAGATGGGAGGATTGCTTGAGCCCAGGAAGTCAAGGCTGCAGTGAGCTGTGATCATACCACTGCACTCCAACCTGGGCAATAGAACAAGACCCTGTATGTAAAACAAACAAACAAAAGAAAACTGTTGTTTCTAAGCAGCCCACACCATTCTGTTCCTACAATAGAGTTTCATTCACCATTGAGACTGTCTGCAGATTTTTAGGGAAATCATCAGGATGTGCCCTTTATGTATAAAAACACTTCTGGTTCCAACGTCAGACTGAGCTAGTATGGAACGTTTTAAAAACTTTTTTTATTTTTATCTTTTAAATGTAGTTACATAAAATAGAGACAGGGTCTCCCTGTGTTGTCCAGGCTGGTCTCAAACTCCTAAGCTCAAGGGATCCTCCTGCGTTGGCGTCCCAAAGTGCTAGGATTACAGGCATGAGCCACCGCGCCTGGCTGGGAACCTTTTCTAACACAAACACCAGAAAACCCTGCCTATTATATTACAAGAAAGGAAGCAAGCAAGCACACAGGGAAAGAAAGTAAATTCATTGCTGGCCGGGCGCGGTGGTTCATGCCTGTAATCCCAGCATTTTGGGAGGCCGAGGCGGGTGGATCACGAGGTCAAGAGCTTGAGACTATTCTGGCTAACACGGTGAAACCCTGTCTCTACTATAATTATAAAAATATTAGCCGGGCGTGGTGGCGGGCGCCTGTAGTCCCAGCTACTCAGGAGGCTGAGACAGGAGAATGGCATGAACCCGGGAGGCAGAGCTTGCAGTGAGCTGAGATTCTGCCACTGCGCTCCAGCCTGGGTGACAGAGCAAGACTCCGTTTCAAAAAAAAAAAAGTAAATTCATTGCTGAACGTGTAAGAGGAAATCCTCAGGAGTCAAAAACAAAAAGGGAACCAGAGCAATAAGATGTGGCCTGATGTCTCTCTTGTCCTGGAGGTGGTTGTTGGATACAGACAGGACCCAGCTGCTAGAGACTTGGGTTTTACTACACATGTAATGATGGGAGATGGAACCTTGGGTCCATGTGGCCCTGAGAGTTGGAACTGAAGCCCATGTATAAAGACTGGGGGGCCGGGTGTGGTGGCTCACACCTGTAATCCCAGCACTTTGAGATGCTGAGGTGGGAAGATAGCTTGAGCCCAGGAATTCGAGACCAGCCTGGGCAACAAAGTGAGACCATGTCTCTACAAAACATAAAAAGATCAGCCGGGTGTGGTGACATTCCTATGGTCCCAGCTACTTGGAAGGCTGAGGCAGGAGGATCACTTAAGCTTGTAATGAGCCATGTTCGCCCCACTGCACTCCAGCCTGGGCAACCGAGTGAGGCGCTGTCTTAAGGAGGAAAAAAAAAAAAAAAGACTGGATACTCCTCCCAGACTATATATTCATTGAAGAGAGTTCTAGAAACTGTTCAGTACAACAGTCCAGAGAAATAGAAAGGAAGCTTGTCTCTGCCTGGGATGCATAGAAGTGAGGATCAGGGCAAGTCAACCATGGAAAATCAAAACTGTAAGCCTACACTGTGAATGGATTTGGGAACCCTATTTGTAGATTAGATTTGTAGGGATTTGTGCTGCCCTCCTGGTATTGATAGCTTCAGCTAAGAAAGCAGTGCAAAAATTGGTCCTGGGCAAGTAATATCCATGCACAACTTCTCTGTAGAGACATCGTTACAACCCAAGCCAAATGGAATGCTCACAACAGAAAAACATAAAGTAGTCAAGGAAACGATCTACCATATTTAACCATCAGCGACCTAATAAACAGGAAAATTAGCACCCACAATAACTTGAGACAATAGCATAATTTATAAAGAGATTGTAAAATAAATGTGGGCTGGGTGCAGTGGCTCCTGCCTGTAATCCTAGCACTTTCGGAGGCCAAGGCAGGAGAATCACTTGAGGCCAGGAGTTCAAGACCAGACTGGACAACACAGCAAGACCTTGTCTCTCAAAAACAAGAACAAAAAACGAAAGCAAATATGTTAAAACTATTTTAAAAGGAATGGGAATTACACAAGGATTTGGAGAAACGAACCCTTGTGCGCTTTTGGTGGGAATGTAAGTGCAGCTGCTATGGAAAACAAGATGAAAGGTAGTGGTGGAAGGACCTCTTACAAAGTGCCTAGAATTAATAGTCACCTTAATAGTTTTACCATATACAGAGATAAACTGATTAAAGTGACTAGTATATGTAAAAGTAGCCACTCATTTAAAAAAACCGTGGGGGTCGGCCAGGCGTGGTGGCTCACACCTGTAATCCCAGGATTTTGGGAGGACCAGGAGGGCGGATCGTGAGGTCAGGAGTTTGAGACCAGCCTGACTAACATGGCGAAACCCCGTCTCTACCAAAAATACAAAAATCAGCTGGGTGTGGTGGCGGGCACCTGTAATCCCAGCTACTCAGGAGGCTGAGGCAGGAGAATCACTTGAACCCATGAGGCAGAGGTTACAGTGAGCTGAAATAGTGCCATTGCACTCCAGCCTGGGCAACAGAGTGAGACTCCATCTAAAAAAAAAAAGACTGTTGGGGCCAAGAACTTCAGCTTCTGGCCAGGTTGGAATAACAGGGACTAGATTTACTCTTTCTACTGAAACAACCGAGAAAAGGGAAATCATATAGCAAATGTTTCTCAAGACACTGACCACCAGGCAACAAAAGATATATTCTTCTTTCTTTTGTATTTAGAGACTGTATTAGTCCATTTTCACACTGCTATGAAGACAAACCCAAGACTGGGTAATTTATTTATTTATTTTTGTTGCCTGAGATGGACTCTTGCTCTGTCACCTAGGCTGGAGTGCAGTGGCACGATCTCAGCTCACTGCAACCTCTGCCTCCCGATTTCAAGCAATTCTCCTGCCTCAGCCTCCCGAGTAGCTGGGATTACAGGCACACACCACCATGCCTGGCTAATTTTTGTATTCTTAGTAGAGATGGAGTTTCACCATGTTGGCTAGGCTGGTCTCAAACTCTTGACCTAGTGATCCACCCGCCTTGGCCTCCCAAAGTGTTGGGATTACAGGTGTGAGCCATCGTGCCTGGCAAGACTGGGTAATTTGTAAAGGAAAGAGGCTTAATTGACTCACAGTTCAGCATGGCTGGGGAAGCCTCAGGAAACTTACAATCATAGTGGAAGGCAAAGGGGAAGGAAGCAAGGCACCTTCTTCACAAGGTGTCAGGAAGGAGAAGTGCCCAGTAAAGGGGTAAGAGCCTCTTATAAAACCATCAGATCAGGCCAGGCGCGGTGGCTCACACCTGTAATCCCAGCCCTTTGGGAGGCCGAGACAGGCGGATCACAAGGTCAGGAGCTCAAGATCATCCTGGCTAACACGGTGAAACCCCATCTCTATAAAAATACAAAAAAATTAGCTGGGCGTGGTGGCGGGCACCTGTAGTCCCAGCTACTAGGGAGGCTGAGGCAGGAGAATGGCGTGAACCCGGGAGGTGGAGCTTGCAGTGAGCCGAGATCACGCCACTGCACTCCAGCCTGGGTGACAGAGTGAGACTCTGTCTCAAAAAAAAAAAAAAAAAAAAAAATCAGATCTCATGAAAATTTACTCACTATCACAAGAACAGCATGGAGGAAACCACCCCCATGATTTAATTACCTCCCCCTCTCCCTTGACACATGGGGACTGTGGGGATAATGGGGATTACAATTTAAGATGAGATTTTGGGTGGGGGCACAGCCAAACCATATCAGAGACAGTCTCACTTTGTTACCCAGGCTAAAGTCCAGTAGCACGATCATAGCTCACTGCAGCGTTGACCTCCTGGGCTCAAGTGATCCTCACATCTCAGCCTCCCAAGCAGCTGGGACTACAGGCAATTGCCACCACACCCAGCTATTTTGTTGTTGTTGTTGGCGTTGTTTTTGAGACGGAGTCTTGCTCTGTCGCCCAAACTGGAGTGCAGTGGTGCGATCTCGGCTTACTGCAACCTCTGCCTCCCGGGTTCAAGCAATTCTCTGCCTCAGCCTCCCAAGTAGCTGGGATTACAGGTGCCCGCCACCACGCCCAGCTAATTTTTGTATTTTGAGGAGAAACTGGGTTTCACTATGTTGGTCAGGCTAGTCTTGAACTCCTGACCTTGTGATCCACCCACCTCGGCCTCCCAAAGTGCTGGGATTACAGATGTGAACCACTGCGCCTGGCCCACACCCTGCTATTTTTAAAAATTATTTTATGTTGCCTAGGCTGGTAGAATAGAAATTCTTGAAAGATGAGAAATAATCAAGGCGATCCCCATGATTGCTGGAGAAATATTAGCAGCTGGGGCAATCCAGGTGGAGCCTAGCAGGCTCACTGAATTGAGGAGATGGAGCTGGAAGTCCAGTGAGGGCAAGACAGCTAGAGTCAACAGGAAAGAGTACCAGAAAGGAAAGCGATGTAAGAGAAAATGCTGGAGAACTGCAGACAGCCCTGGCCTTGAGTATTCAGTTAAGTACTAATCAGCACATGTGTGACATAAATACCTGAGCCTGAGGAAAGAACAGGCTGAAAGGGTTAAAGACAACAATTCCTATAGCTTCCACCACCCAAGTGGAAAACCTCATAACTCACAGGCAATCAGGGAGAGTTCTGAGTGCTTGCTAGTGGGGAAACATGAAGCCTACACAAAACACCACTCTGGTCTTAGTTTAAAAGTTTAAAAAGACAAAGTTTTAAAATAAGACCCAAGAGAGAGTCAAACTAGTTTCAATTATGTTAATCACATCCCAGGTAAAAAGCTTAAGAATATTTGGAAATACAAAGATATCCAGCATCCTACAAGGTAAAAATTATGGCATCCACTTAAAAATCGCCAGGCATGCTGGGCACAGTGGCTCATGCCTGTAATCCCAGCACTTTGGGAGGGCAAGGCGGAAGGATTGCTTGAGCCGAAGAGTTTGAGACCAGCCCTGGCAATATGGCAAGACCCCGTCTCCACAAAAAAATTAAAAAATTTGGCCAGGGGTGGTGGCTCACACCTATAATCCCAACACTTTGGGAGGCCCAAGGGGCAGATCACTTGAGCCCAGGAGTTCAAGACCAGGTTGGGCAACATGGTAAAACCCCGTCTCTACAAAATATTACAAAAATTAGCCAGGCATGGTGGTGCGTGCCTATAGTCCCAGATACTCAAGAGACTGAGGTGGGAGGATCACTTGAGCCCAGAAGGTGGAGGCTGCAGTGAGCCCTAATCATGACACTACACTCCAGCCTAGGCAACAGAGCAAGAATCTGATACAAATAATAATAATAATAATAATAATAATAATAATAATAATAACTAGGCATAAGCCAGGTGAGGTGGTGCATGTCTATAGTCCTAGCTAATCAGGAGGCTGAGGTGAAAAGATCACTCAAGCCCAGGAGTTTAAAGCCAGCCTGGGCAACATAGTGAGACCCTGTGAAAAAAAAAATTACCGGGCTTCCAAAGAAGCAGGAAAATATGACCTGTAAGGAGGAGATGAAAGAATTAGTAGAAAAGGTTTTAAAAACAGTTATTATAACTATATTCCATATGCTGAAGAAGCTAGAGGAAGAATTGAACATGTTAAGTAGAGAAATAGAAGATACTTTTTTTTTTTTGAGACCAAGTCTTGCTCTGTTGCCCAGGCTGGAGTGCAGTGGTGAGATCTCAGCTCACTGCAAGCTCTGCCTCCCAGGTTCACGCCATTCTCCTGCCTCAGCCTCCCAAGTAGCTGAAACTACAGGCGCCCACCACCACGCCCAGCTAATTTTTTGTATTTTTAGTAGAGACGGGGTTTCACCATGTTGGCCAGTGTGGTCTCGATCTCCTGACCTCATGATCCACCTGCCTCGGCCTCCCAAAGTGCTGGGACTACAGGTGTGAGCCACCACGCCCAGCCAGAAGAGGAGGCTGGGCATTGTGGATCATGCCTGTAATTCCAGCACTTTGGGAGGCCGAGGTGGGCGGATCACCTGAGGTCAGAAGTTTGAGACCAGCCTGGCCAACACAGCGAAACTCTGTCTCTACTAAAAATACAAAAAAATTAGCCAGGCATGGTGTCGGGCGCCTGTAATCCCAGCTGCTTGGGAGGCTGAGGCAGGAGAATCGCTTGAACCCAGGAGTCAGAGGTTGTGCCAAGATTGTGCCACTGCACTCCAGCCTGGGCGACAGAGTGGGAATCCATCTTGGAAAAAAAAAAAAGGAGATAATTTTTAAAAGACCCAAATTAAACTTCTAGATATAAAAAATACAATGTTTGAGATGAAATATACACAGGATTTATCTTATAGTGCCAGAAATGAAAAGAAAAACAAAACACAATGATGGGCATTAATCAAAGGGGCAAAGGAAACAACAAGTGCTCCAAATGGCTGACACTGGAATAATTTGCACAACAAAATAAAGTAATATTGAATTATAAGCTAAAGAATAAAATAAATACCCAGGAGTCCATATTGATATAAAAAGATTGAATAATAAATACGGGAGATGAGACAAATCTCTCATGCAGAGGGATTCCAATGCAAAGGGATTAGATACTCCACCCTAAAGAAAAGGAAGCATAATTCCCCACCTGTCTTAGTCTGTTTTCTGGTGCATAACAGAATACCACAGACTGGACAATTTATAAACAATAGAAGTTTATTTGGCTTATGGTTCTGGAGCCTGGGAAGTCCAAGAGCATGGCACCAGCATCTAGTGAAGGCCTTTGTGCTGAATCATAACATGGCAGAAGGGCAAGTGAACATGGATAAAGAGAGGAAATTTGGCTAAACTCAACTTTTTTTTCTTTTTTTTTAAAGACAGGGTCTTGTGGCTGGGCACAGTAGCTCACACCTGTAATCCCAGCACTTTGGGAGGCCAAGGTGGGTGGATCATCTGAGGTAAGGAGTTCAAGACCAGCCTGGTCAAAATGGTGAAACCCCTGTCTCTACTAAAAATACAAAAAAATTAGCCAGGTGTGGTGGCAGGCACCTGTAATCCCTGAGAGGCTGAGGCAGGAGAATCACTTGAACCTGGGAGGCAAAAGTTGTAGTGAGCCGAGATCACGCCACTGCACTCTAGCCTAGGGACAGAGTGACAGAGCAAGACTCTTTCTCAAAAAAAAAAAAAAAAGATAGGGCCTCACTATGTTACCCAGGCTGGAGTACAATCACTGTTCACAAGAATCATAGCACACTATGGTTTTGAACTCCTAGGCTCAAGCAACCCTCCTGCTCCAGCCTCCCAAGTAGCTGGAACTATATCTTATTCAGCTGATGGTCAGCTTCATCCTTTTTATCAGGAACCCACTCTTGGGATAACTAACCCACTCCTGAAATAACAGCATTAATCCACTATGAGGGCAGAGTCCTCCTGACCTAATCACCTCTTGAAGGTCCTGCCTCTTAATTACATTGGTAATGAAATTTCAACATGAGTTTGGAAGGGGACACTCAAACCGTAGCACCACTCCTCAAGTGCGGGTTGCACAGAGTGACTTCCTTCGAAAGAGCACAGTATGGCAAGGGATGGGGAGGGAGATTAGTAACTTTACAGTGCGGGTATGGCTGTATGTTATTCAGAACATCAGAGACTGACAAATTTTCTACGGGGCTTTGGAAATTTACTGTTGCACTTACGTTTGTGAAAAAATAGGTCTATATCCACTAGGAAAATTTGTGTCGGCGAGGGCCAGAGCCTCGATTATTTCCTTTTCTCCTACTCTGCTAAATATCTGAACCTTGCTCTCAACACACCCTTAGAATTCATGTCTTACAATGATGCTGAGGAACCCAATGAAAAAAATCGAGCTGTATTAGTTTTCTATTGCTGCTGTAACAAGTTACCAGAAAGTTAGCGGCTTAAAACACCTAACATACCTTTTTTTTTTTTTTTTTTTTGAGACAGAGTCTTGCTCTGTCACCCAGGCTGGAGTGCAGTGGCGAGATCTCTGCTCACTGCAAGCTCCGCTTCCCAGGTTCATGCCATTCTCCTGCCTCAGCCTCCTGAGTAGCTGGGACTACAGGCACACACCACCACGTCTGGCTAATTTTTTGTATTTTTAGTAGAGATGGCGTTTCACCGTGTTATCCAGGATGGTCTCGATCTCCTGACCTCATGATCTGCCCACCTTGGCCTCCCAAAGTGCTGGGATTACAGGCGTGAGTCACTGCGTCTGGCCAAAACACCTAACATACGTTTATTATGTCATAGTTCTGGAGGTCAGAAGTCCAAAATGGGTCTCACTCAGCGTTAAGGTGTCAGCAGAGCTGCATTCCTTTCTGGAGGCTCTAGGAGAGGATCCAGTTTCTTGCGTGTTCTAGCTTCAAGAGGCTGTCTACATTCATTGGTTTGTGGCCCCTTTCTCCATCGTCTAAGCTATCAATTGCTGGTCAAGTTTTTCTCACACCGTATCACTATGACACTCACTCTTTGGCCTCTCTTTTCATCTTTTAAGGATGCTTGTTCTCACATTGGGCCCACCCAAATAATGTAGGAGAATCTCCCTATTTTAAACTCAGTGTATCAGCAAACTTAGTTCCATCTGCAACTTTAATTCCGTCTTGCCATAAAACATAACATATTTACAGGTTCCAGGGATTAGAATGTGACCATGTTTGGGGGATCATTATTCTGCCTAGCATACAAGGTAACAACAAAGTTGGTGTGATGGTTAATATTGTGTCAACTTGACTGGATTGAGGGATGCCAGCTGGCTGGTGAAACACCTCCTGGGAGTGTCTGTGAGGGTGTTTCCAGAGGAAATTGACATTTGAGTAAATGGACTGGGAGAGGAAGACCTACCTTCAATGTGGGTGGGCACCATCCAATGGGCTGCCAGCATAGCTAGAACAAAGCAGGCAGAAGAAGGGATATTCAGCTGGCTATGTCCTCTAGCGTGCTCTCTCTGTCTTCCTGTGCCAATGCTTGCTTCCTCTCCTCTTGCCCTTGGACATCAGACTGCAGTTTGTTGGGCCTTGGACTCTGGAACTTAACACCAGCAGCATCCTGGGGGCTCTCAGGCTTTCAGCCTCAGACTGAAGGCTACACTTGGGCTTCCCTGGTTTTAAGGCTTTCAGACTTGGACTGAGCCAGGCTGCCACCTTCTCTTTTTCCCCAGCTTGCAGATAGCCTACGGTAGGACTTGTCTTGTAATCAATGTGAGCCAATTCTCCCTAATAAACCCTTTTTTATATATACATATATCCTATTGGTCCTGTTCCGCTGGAGAACCCTGACTAATACAGTTGGTCAAGTAACTGATTCTCTTATGAAGTGCCTGGCATTCACATTCACTTTCATGGTGTCACTGTATACTGAGATAAGCTGATAAAAGTTATTGATACATATACATTAGAAGTAACCACTCACTTAAAAAAAAAAAGAAGAACAAAGAAAGAAACCCCACAGGAAACAAAAAATTAAAATAAGTTTTTCCAGAATAGGCAAATTGTGCAGGCATTGGGAAGGTTGGTCATGTAAATGTCATAATACTGATCCTAGGGTTACAGGTGGCAACTTGGAGAGGTAAATCCAATGGAGGTAAATCTCGTCCAATGGAGTTGAACCAGAGCAACTCCATCTTGAGTAGGGGCTGGGTAAAATGCCACTGAGACCTACTGGGCTGTATTCCCAGACTGTTAAGGCATTCTAAGTCACAAGGTGAGATAGGATGTCAGCCCATGATACAGATCATAAAGACCTTGCTGATAAAACAGGTTGCAGTAAAAAAGCCGGCAAAATCCCACCAAAACCAAGATGGCGACAAGAGTGACCTCTGGTATGCCTCACTGCCACACTCCCACCAGCACCATGACAGTTTACAAATGTCATGGAAACGTCAGGAAGTTACACTATATGGTCTAAAAAGGGGAGGCATGAATAATCCAACCCTTGTTTAGCATATCATCAAGAAATAACCATAAAAATGGGCAAGCAGCAGCCCTTAGTAGGGTCAGTTTTTTGTTGTTGTTGTTGTTTTTTTTTTTTGAGACAATCTTGCTCTGTTGCCCAGGCTGGGGTGCAGTGGCGCAATCTCAGCTCACTGCAACCTCTGCCTGCCGGGTTCGAATGATTCTCCTGCCTCAGCCTCCCGAGTAGCTGGGATTACAGATGCCCACCACCACGCCCGGCTAATTTTTGTACTTTTAGTTGAGACAGGGTTTTGTCATGTTGGCCAGGCTGGTCTCGAACTCCTGACTTCAGGTGATCCGCCCGCCTCAGCCTCCCAAAGTGCTGGGATTATAGGCGTGAGCCACCGCACCCGGCCTGGAGTAGTCATTCTTTTATTCCTTTACTTTCTTAATAAACTTGCTTTTACTTTACTCTGTGGACTCGCCCTGAATTCTTTCTTGCATGAGATCCAAGAACCCTCTCTTGGGGGTCTGGATCAGGACCCCTTTCCTGTAACACATGTAAGTGATTCTTTTTGGAATGTATGTGCAGCAATCACCAAAACAACAGAAGCAGGGGGTGAGTGCAAAGCACATGAGGATGTTTCTGAAGTGTGTGCCCCAGAAGCTCGTGGCAGCTCAGGAGGCTCAGCTCATGTAAGTGGTTTTCTGGAGCACTTTGTACTGCAGGGTGAATCTCGTGGCAGCCAGGGCCACTGCAAAGACTGAAGCAACATTTGATTTGACAAATTCTTGTTTCATAAAAGGACTGTGTAACTCCCTCAACTTTTACATAACAGGATTGGATCTATGAGACCTAATGACGTGTACGGAATTAGATTTCATTTGTGGGAGACTGCAGCATTTTGAATAGCACAATGTATAAACCAGGAACTTTTGGGCTATGTCCCCAGGGACATAAAAGAAAAAAAGGATGCATGTAAGGGGGTGGTGGTCCCTGGAGGGAGAATTCCAAGTAATTCCCCTACTTCAACCAGAGTAGCAGCTGTGTGTGTGTGTGTTTTTTATCTGTTTGTTTGTTTTCTTGAGAAAGGATCTCACTCTGTCACCTAGGCTGGAGCCCATAGGCACAACCATGGCTCACTGCAGCCTCAAACATCCAGACTCAAGCGATCCTCCCACCTCAGCCTCTTGAGTAGCTGGGACTACAGGCACATATCACCACACTTGGCTGATTTTTTCATTTTTTATAGACAGGATCTCGCCATATTGCCCAGGCTAGTCTTGAACTCCTGACCTCAAGTGAGCCTCCCGCCTTGGCCTCCCAAAATGCTTGGATTATAGGCATGAGACAGCACACCCTACCTAAAAATCGGTTTACATTTTAAAAAAAAGTTAAATAGGACATTTTGCTAAGGGTCCTGGGAAAGTCATGATCCTGCCTTGGTACCAGGATCCAGGAAAAAGAGTCCAGTTCTACAAAGCTTTTTATGTACTTTGTGCTTTTAATTCTTACCAGTCCCCTGAAGAAGGAAGCTCCATTTTAGAGGAAGAACTACAAGGTTCAGAGAGATCACCAGCCTTGGTCAGGGCCTTACAAAGTAGTATACAGCAAAGCCAGGTCTCAACTTTCTCCCTGCCCTCTTCTGCTGCCTCTGATCTACATGGGGTGTGTTTCCATCACTATCACACCCGCCCCTCTCCACCCTCACTATCTCAGCTGAAACCTCAGACCACTAGGGAGCAATGCAGGCAAGTTACCCTTAGGATTATAGCACATCGAAGGTTCTTCTCAAGGACTTCCAGAAACATGCACATCCTGGGTTAGCTGGTGTGAGGCATATCCCAGCAAAATACAGGTATTAAAAATGGCAAATACTGACCAGGCATGGTGGCTCACACCTGTAATCCCAGAACTTTGGGAGGCTGAGGTGGGGGCATCACCTGAGGTCGGGAGTTCGAGACCAACCTGGCCAACATGGTGAATCCCTGTCTCTACTAAAAGTACAAAAATTAGCCGGATGTGGTGGCAGGTGCCTGTAATCCCAGCTACTCAGGAGGCTGAGGCAGACGAATCACTTGAACCTGGAGGCAGAGGATGCAGTGAGCCGAGATCGTGCCACTGTACTCCAGCCTGCGCCACAGAGTGAAACTCTGTCTCATAAATAATAAATAAATAAATAAATTAATTAATTAAAAATGGCAAATATGGCTTCTGTAAGATCATTTTGGAGAGGGTTCAGGGAAGCAGAGCTTTGCTCTGGATTGAGTGTCGTCAGGAAGCAAAGGTACGAGTACTATGACGTGGAATCTTAATAATGTTTTTGCTAGAAGGCAGGAAATCTAGAGTAGAGATATACCTATAATTGGTAAAGACAGCTTGTGACTCATATCAGCCAGCCTAAGGGTATGTTTGGTCCTTTTGAGGTTTAGACATGTTCTTGGTTTTGTTTGTGCTCAGACATGATTGGGGAATAGACTTGCTTTTGTCTTGTTCCATTGTGGTCTTACAGCAGTCTTGTCCAATGTTGTTATTCTGTGAAAACATGTATGTTCCACAGAACACCAAGGCCTGGCAGTGACTGACAGGCCAGCTCCTGGTTTTCTCTTTCTTACAGTTTAGTGACATTAAAAAACAAAATTTCAACAAATTTAGTTTAAAGATGTGGCCAGGCGCAGTGGTTCATGCCTGTAATCCTAGCACTTGGGAGGTCACGGCAGGCAGATCACTTGAGAACAGGAGTTTGAGACCAGCCTGGCCAACATAGTGAAACCCTGTCTCTACTAAAAATACAAAAATTAGCCAGGGGTGGTGGTATATGCCTGTAGTCCCAGCTACTCGGGAGGCCGAGTCAGGAGAATCACTTAAGCCTGGGAGGTGAAGCTTGCAGTGAGCCAAGATTGTGCCACTGCACTTCAGCCTGGGTGACACAGCAAGACTGTCTTAAAAAAAAAAAAAAGAGGCCAGGCACGGTGGCTCACGCCTGTAATCCCAGCACTTTGGGAGGCCGAGGCGGGTGGATCACGAGGTCAGGAGATCGAGACCATCCTGGCTAACACGGTGAAACCCCGTCTCTACTAAAAATATAAAAAATTAGCTGGGCGTAGTGGCGGGCGCCTGTAGTCCCAGCTACTTGGGAGGCTGAGGCAGGAGAATGGCGCGAACCCCGGAGGCAGAGCTTGCAGCAAGCCGAGATTGCGCCACTGCATTCCAGCCTGGGTGACAGAGCCAGACTCCATCTCAAAAAAAAAAAAAAAAAAAAAGATCTAATTGGCTTTTATTAGTGAACCATAAATTGGGCAGTGTCTCCTCTAAAGATTTCATGTTCCATTGGGCATGACAGATCAGTTTTTATAAGATAGTTTGAGCAAAAACAAGGAAATAGCATAATACAAAAAGCAGATCAGTTACCTTCAGGTTACTTTTCTTATAAAGACTAAAGCATAGGGAATTTCCTTATTATGTAGACCAAAACTGGCCAGTTTAGGGATTTGGCTGTCATCTTTCTCTCCTGACTTCTCCGAAGATCAGAAAACCAGTTTAGTTGTTTGGTTTGGTGACAAATAACTTTAGCATCAATAACTTCATTTTGGTTTGATCTTTTCTGTTGGGGCCCATTGCAGAAGCTCAGTCCAAAATAATGGCTTCCCATAAATTTCATTTAATAGTGAGATTAAATGTGGGTAGTAAAACCAGACTTTGGCTCCAGAACCTGCACTCATACTGAAGATGCTGTATTGCCTTGTTTGAAAGCACAGGCTGCTGAAGCCTGGGGATCTGTGCTCTTTATCTGTCTTGCCTAGTGTAGTACAGGATGCATGAATGAGGAACAGAGGAATCAAAGAAACAGATGATGGTGTGACAGCCACGGCTCAGTACAGCAAAGCCCTTTATAATAACTCAGGTCCGTTAAAAATGCACTGTGGGTCCAGGCGCAGTGGCTCATGCCTGTTACCCCAGCACTCTGGGAGGCCGAGGCAGGTGGATCACTTGAGGTCAGGAGTTTGAGACCAGTCTGGCCAACATGATGAAACCCTGTCTCTACTAAACATAAAAAAATTAGCCAGGTGTGGTGGTGCACACCTGTAATCCCAGCTACGTGGGAAGCTGAAGCAGGAGAATTGCTTGAGCCCAGGAGGCAGAGGTTGTGGTGAGCTGAGATCTCACCACTGCACTCCTGCCTGGGCAACAGGGCGAGAGACTCTCAAAAAAAAAAAAAAAAAAAAAAAAAAAAAAAAAAAAAAAAAAAAGGCATTGTGGAATTCTAGATACTGAAATAGATAAGCAAGCTGTTAAAATTAAGTTTAGCCTAAATCTGCTTCCTTACATATTTTAAGTTCAGCCTAAATGTTTCTCTGTACATAGTGAACTATAACCTAACTGGGTATGTAAACAGACTACATCCTACCCTCATACCAAATGACTGAGTTTTGGCCAATCAAATATGGCCAACTGTTCAAACTGTGTTCAAATAAGGCAAATGCAAAGCTGTACGCAATCCAGCTGTTACTTTACCTCACTTTGCTTTTTCTGTCCATAAATTCTCTCTGACCATGCGGCAGCACTGGAAACTCTCAGAACCTATCCTGTTTTTCTTTCTTTCTTTTTTTTTTTTTTTTTTTTTTTTTTTAAGAGATGGGATGTTGCTATGTTGCCCAGGCTGGTCTTGAACTCCTGGGCTCGAGTGATCCTCCCATCTCAGCCTCCCAAACGTGTGAGCCACTGCGCCCAGCCACAGAACCTTTTCTGGTTTGGGGGACTGAATGATTCAGAAATTGTTCTTTGCTTAATTAATCTGTTTAATTTGTCTACAGTTTTTCATTTAACTTTAGACCAATTAAACATTAATTAAGCAAAGAACAATTTGGTGTCAGAAGTAGGAACCAAAGTGGAGCTCCTAGGGTCTCCCAGGAGCGTCGAGTGACGAAATGAGTGACGTGCTGGACTTGTTTTGTCCATTCCTCTCTCACAGCAACTGGGGATTGTGGGTAAGCTCTCAGATTCCAAAGCCCCATGAATTTGGGTTTCTAGCTATCTAAGTTTCTTTGAGCAAATTTTTGATCCAAGCTGTCTTCAGAAGTCATGATAGAAAACTGGCAGTAAATGGCAATACTTCAGAGAGTAAGAAGTTCAGCTTTCAGAGATTTACAGGAATTTTTTGACACAGAGTTACCCCTAGACACTGCCGTGGGGCTGAAGCCCAAAAGTGTCCACTCCGGTTCCTGCACCTGCCCATCTGTGTGCTCCCGCTCCCATGAGGGGTTTGAGCTTGCTGTGGCTGAACAGAGAGCCACACCCCTGTCGCATGTCCTGGGAGGGGGACCAGGGGACGCTCCCATTTCAACACTGCACTTTAAGAAGTGCATTTAAAAATAAAGGCTCCAGCCCGGCGCGGTGGCTCATGCCTGTAATTCCAGCACTTTGGGAGGCCAAGGCGGGCAGATCACGAGGTTAGGAGATCGAGACCATCCTGGCTAACATGGTGAAACCCTGTCTCTACTAAAAATACAAAAAATTAGCCAGGCGTGGCAGCGGGCGCCTGTAGTCCCAGCTACTCTGGAGGCTGAGGCAGGAGAATGGCGTGAACTCGGGAGGCAGAGCTTGCAGTGAGCTGAGATTGCGCCACTGCACTCCAGCCTGGACGACTGAGCAAGACCCCTCTCAAAAAAAAAAAAAAAAAAAAAAAGAAGGCTCCAGGGATGTCTATTGATGTGCAAAAGTCTTTAAAAAGATTCAGTATTGTTATTGGCTCTTTTAAAAGAATTTATGAAAGGCAAATAAAAAAACCTTAAGAGACTAATTAATTAATTAAAAAATAAAATCCACCTGTAATCACCTGTAATCCCAGCACTTTGGGAGGCCAAGGCAGGAAGACCACGTGAGGCCAGGACTTTGAGACCAGCCTGGCTAACATAGTGAAACCCTGTCTTTTCTAAAAATACAAAAATTAGCCAGGCATGGTGGTAGGCACCTGTAATCCCAGCTACTAAGGAGGTTGAGGCACAAAAATCATTTGAACCGAAGGACGGAGGTTGCAGCAAGCCAAGATTGTGCCACTGCACTCCAGCCTGGGTGACAGAGTGAGACTCTTTTCTTCTTCTTCTTCTTTTTTTTGTTAAAATAAAAAAAAAATTAAATTTGCTAATTTTCACTTTGTTACTATCTGATATGGTTTGGCTGTGTCCTCACTCAAATCTCATCTTGAATTCCCACGGGTTGTGGGAGGGACCTGATGGGAGGTAATTGAATCATGGAGGGGGGTGTTTTCCGTGCTGTTCTCTTGATAGTGAGTAAGTCTCATGAGATCTGATAGTTTTATTAAGGGGAGTTTTCCTGTACAAGCTCTCTTCTCTTGTCTGCTGCCATGTGAGATGTGCCTTTCACCTTCTGCCATGGTTGTGAGGCCTCCCCAGCCACGTGGAACTGTAAGTCCATTAAACCTCTTTCTTTTGTAAGTTACCCAGTCTCAGGTATGTTTTTATCAGCAGTGTGAAAACGGACTAATACAGTAAATTGGAACCAGTAGAGTGCGGCACTGCTGAAAAGATACCCAAAAATGTGGAAGCAACTTTGGAACTGGGTAACAAGCAGAGGTTGGAACAGTTTGGAGGGCTCAGAAGACAGGAAAATGTGGGAAAGTTTGGAACTTCTTAGAGACTTGTTGAATGGCTTTGACCAAAATGTTGATAATGATATGGACAATGAAATCCAGGCTGAGGTAGTCTCAGATGGAGATAAGGAACTTGTTGGGAACTAGAGCAAAGATGACTCTTGTTATGTTTTAGCAAAGAGACTGGTGGCACTTTGCTTCTGCCCTAGAGATCTGTGGAACTTTGAACTTGAGAGAGATGATTTAGGGTATCTTTTGGAAGAAATTTCTAAGCAGCAACACATTCAAGAGGTGACTTGGGTGCTGTTAAAGGCATTCAAGTTTAAAAGGGAAACAGACCATAAAACCTTGGAAAATTTGCAGCCTGACAATATGATAGAAAAGAAAATCCCATTTTCTGAGGAGAAATTCAAATCAGCTGCAGAAATTTGCATAAGTAATGAGGAGCCGAATGTTAATCCCCAAGACAATGGGAAAAATGTCTCCAGGGCATGTCAGAGGTCTTCATGGCAGCCCCTCCCATCATACGTCTGGAGGCCTAGGAGGAAAAGATGGTTTTGTGGGCTGGGCCCAGGGTCCGCCTGCTCTGTGTAGCCTAGGGACTTGGTACCCTGTGTTCCAGTCTCTCCAGCTATGGATAAAAGGGGCCAAGGTACAGCTCAGGCTGTTGCCTCAGAGGGTGCAAGCCCCAAGCCTTGGCAGCTTCCACATGGTGTTGAGCCTGTGGGTGCACGGAAATAAAAAATTGAGGTTTGGGATCCTCCACCTAGATTTCAGAGCATGTATGGAAATGCCAAGATGCCCAGGCAGAAGTTTGCTGCAGGGGTGGGGCCCTCATTGAGACTCTCCACTAGGGCAGTGCGGAAGGGAAATGTGGGGTTGGAGCTGCCACACAGAGTCCCTATTGGAGCACTGCCTAGTGGAGTTGTGAGAAGAGGGCCATCATCCTCCAGACCCCAGAATGGTAGATCCACTGACAGCTTGCACCGTGCACCTGGAAAAGCTGCAGACACTTAATGCCAGCCAGTGAGAGCAGCAGGAGGGGTGCAAAAGCTGCAAAGCCACAGGGGTGGAGCTATCCAAGACCATGGGAACCCACCATCAGTGTGACCTGGATGTGAGACATGGAGTCAAAGGAAATCATTTTGGAGCTTTAAGATTTGGCTGCCCTGCTGGATTTCAGACTCTCATGGAGCCTGTAGCCCCTTTGTTTTCACCAATTTCTCCCATTTGGAATGGCTGTATTTACCAAATGCCTGTACCCCCATTGTATCTAGGAAGTAACTAACTTGCTTTTGATTTTACAGGCTCATATGTGGAAGGAACTTGTCTTGTCTCGGATGAAACTTTGGACTGTAGACTTTTGAGTTAATGCTGAAATGAGTTAAGACTTTGGGGGACTGCTAGGAAGGCATGATTGGTTTTGAAATGTGAAGACATGAGATTTGGGAGGGGCCAGGGCAGAATGATATGGTTTGGCTGTGTCCCTACCCAAATCTCATCTTGAATTCCCAGGTGTTGTGGGAGGGACCTGGTGGGAGGTAATTGAATCATGAGGGCAGGTCTTTCCTGTTCTGTTCTCATGATAGTGAGTCTCACAAGATCTGATGGTTTTATAAAGGGGAGTTTACCTGCACAAGCCCTCTTCTCTTGTTTACTGCCATGTGAGACATGCCTTTCACTTTCCACCATGATTGTGAAGCCTCCCCAACCACGTGGAACTGTAAGTCCATTAAGCCTCTTTCTTTTGTAAATTGCCCTGTCTCAGGTATGTCTTTATCAGCAGCATGAAAATGGACTAATACACTATTCCACCCTAAAGGCTAAAAGAAACCATCCTGGATAAAGTGTTTATAAAAGGTATGCCCTCTGACTAGGCATGGTAGCTCACTCCTGTAATCCCAGCTCTTTGAGAGGCCAAGGTGGGAGGAATCACTTGAGCCCAGGAGTTGGAGACCAGCCTGGGCAACATAGTGAGACCTCTTCTCTTAAAAAAAAAATTAAAAAGTTATGCCCTCAGGTAAAGTAGGTTTGCTGCCTTTTCAGAGATATCCATGCTGGGCTCATGCATAGCAAATCCTTTCTTTGCCCAATTCCTGAATGGGCTTCACCCAGAACTCAGTAGTTTTATTTTATTTTATTTCATTTTTTTATAATGTGCAAAGAGAAGGAGAAATAACTCAGTAAATTTAGCTAAGAAACAGTAGCTACATTAAAAAGACCACCTATTGAACTAAATCCCTCTCCAAAATACACCTTTCTGACATTTAGCTGGCCATCTTAAAACATTTTTGTAAAATAAATTTACATCTATAATGAAAATTTTCATTTGTAAGAGTTCTGAGAGGGATGACTGAGTCACTAAAAACTCTTACCATTGTTTTAAATTTACATAACAAGTCTTTGCTTTGTTTAAGGTGCTTTTCCTTCCCAATTTTTTTAAATTGGGCCTTCACACCCTTTTTCCTTGGTTTTGACAAATGATGGTACAATGTTTAGACCTCAAGTCTCAGCTCTGTGCTTTTGAGATATAAACTTTGTGTCTTCACTGAATAATTATTTATTTATTTATTTATTTTATTGTTTGAGATGAAGTCTCGCTCTTGTTGCCCAGGCTGGAGTGCAATGGCACAATCTTGGTTCACTGCAACCTCTGCCTCCCGAGTTCAAGTGATTCTCCTGCCTCAGCCTCCCAAGTAGCTGGGATTACAGGTGTGCACCACCATGCCCGGCTAATTTTGTATTTTAGTAGAGGCAGGATTTCACCATGTTGGTCAGGCTGATCTTGAACTCCTGACCTCATGTGATCCACCTGCCTCAGCTTCCCGAAGAGCTGGGCTTACAGGCATGAGCCACCATGCCTGGCTGAGTCATCTTTTCAGAAGGCAAATTATTGCCTAGTGAACAATTGCTTTGAGCAATGAAACAGGTAATTGGAAGATCGATTGTCTGAGTGGGGAAAAATTATTTATTTATTTATTTATTTATTTATATTGAGGCAGGATCACGCTCTGTTGCCCAGGCTGGAGTGCAGTGGTACAATCACAGCTCACTGCAGCCTTGGCCTCTGAAGGCTCAGGTGATCCTCTGCCTCAACCCCTGCCAAGTAGTTGGGACTACAGGCATGTGCCACCATACCCAGCTAATTTTTGTAGTTTCAGTAGAGATAGGGTTTCACCATGTTGCTCAGGCTGGTCTCAAACTCCTGGGCTCAAGCAATCCATCCACCCTGGCCTCCCAAAGTGCTGAGATTACAGGCATGAGGCACCATGCTTGGCTGAAAAAATTATTTAAAAGCCAGAAAATACAAATTCTTTATGAAAGCTTAAGATCGCTTTCTGTATGTATATCTATATGTCTATATGGGTTGTGTGTACGTGATAATATTTGGTAAATTAAGCTGGTTTTTAAATTATTGATATAATAGCAATGACTTCAAAATTATCAGTTAAATATAATTCAGAAATTGTTGCCTGGGTCTACTGGTTAAACAGGTTTATGCTGTCTCCAATACATGTTTTAAGGGCCATAAAACTGCTGCTTCTATAATATTTTTGATACTTGCTTGATTTGTCTGTGAGCTTGTTTTTGGTTTTGAGCTTTTGGATTCTGGAATCCGGACAGGTGGCCATATTAAGACCTAGGGACACGTTTTCAGCACCTAGACCACCAGCTAGCTACAAGGCAGAATCAAGCCCAATATAGGCCCCTTCCTCCCTGGTCCATCTTTGCCTCTTGGCTATTCTGGGAGGGGTTTGATCCTCTAGGCATCATTTTCACAGACCTGCCTTCTGTCCCGAGCTCCAAACTTGGCATATAAATTCTGGACCCAGAGGAACCCTGCCCTCTTTAGCCATCCTGGGTGCCACATGGCTACTTGAGACCCAAGATGACTGGGGAAGACATTAGGGAGGGTACCTGTGTTAGAGTTTCAAAATTATTTTTAGTAATCTAAAATCTTAAAGTCATGTTATGTTAAATTAATAATCATAAAATGTCTGAGTCATTTATAAATAAATTAAAATACCAAACATTAATTATTAAACATAAGTTTAAGTTGATATGCTTTGGCATCTTATTTTTTATATGGTATAGACAAGCTAAATATATTTAGATTTGCTAATAAAGAAAAATGTGAGGCTGGGTGCAGTGGCTCATGCCTGTAATCCCAGCACTTTGGGAAGCTGAGGCAGGAGGACTGCTTCAGCTCACGAATTTGAGACCGGCCTGGGCAACATAGTGAGATCCTATCACTACAAAAATAAAAAAAATTAGCTTGGACTACAGGCCACATTTTATATTTGTATGTTAAAATAATAGTAATAAAATCTGATTTTTCTCTCTCGGAGACAGAGTCTCACTCTGTCACTCAGGCTGGAATGCAGTGGTGCGATCACACCTCACTGCAGCTTTGAACTCCCAGGCCCAAGTGATACTCCTGCCTCAGCCTCCTGAGTAACTAGAACTACAGGTACACAACACCATATTAGCCAATTTTTTTATTCTTTATAGAAACAGGATATCACTATGTTTCCCAGGCTGGTCTCCAACTCCTAGGCTCAAGTGATTCTCCTGCCTCGGGCTCCTAAAGTGCTGGGATTACAAGTGTGAGCCACCATGCCCAGCCTGGTTTTCTCTTTTAAACAAAAATTGCATGCAGTATTAATAAAATACAATAAAATATTTTTGCTCACCTTTTGAGTAAACTGCAAAAATTTTTTTAAAAAAGAAAGGGCAGGAGAGACAGATTCTGTCTCATGCTATTCTCCTTTAGGTCTTTTGATTGTTTGGAAAATGGAGTCTTCTCTCTGTCAAAGAGTAAAGGTTTTTGCTTTTTAAAATCTGAATTATCACAGTGACCAGTGATCCTATTTTGATAAGGTCTTTTAATCCTTTAACATATTTGACAGGCTTCTCCAAACCAAATTGCAAATTAAAAATTGTCTCTTTTATTTTACCATTAACTTTGGGATGTATCATAGGGTCCTTGCGGCATTCAGAAGAAAGATAATAAAAGGGCTTATCTGATATGTTAAATTACATGGGAAGCATTGTCAAATAAGAAATAATGTTTAGGCCACGCGTGGTGGCTTACACCTGCAATCCCAGAACTTTGCAAGTGTGGATCGCTTGAGCCCAGGAGTATGAGATCAGCCTGAGCAACATGGGGAAATCCTGTCTCTATTTTAAATAAACAAATAAAAAGGAAAAAGTAATGATGTTTAACTTTGAGTTTTGTTTTTATGAATGTTATTAACATATGTTCCAAAATTGTATAAGATTCCCCAAATTCTGATATGTCTGGATGTGTGTGTGTGTGTGTGTGTGTGTATATAGGGTTTTATATATATATATATATATGGTTTTTTATATATATAATTATAGTTATGTTAAATTACTGCAGATCACAGAAATGAACAAATTTGTCAATTGTGTCTTTAACAATGACAATTAAGTTGGTTCTATAGTTAATTGCTTAATTCTGATGCAGTTTCTGAAAGTTCTTGTCTGGCATGGTGGCTCACACCTATAATCCCAGCACTTTGGGAGGCCAAGGTCAGAAAATCGCTTCAGCCTGAGAGTTCCAGACTAGCCTGGGTAACATAGGGAAATCCTGTCTCTACAAAAAATAAAAGTAAATTAGCCGGGTGTGGTGGTGCATGCCTGTGGGTCCCAGCTACCAGGGAGGCTTAAACCTGGGAGGTCAAGGATGCAGTGAGCCGTGATCACACCACTGCATTCTAGCCTGGGCGACAGGGTGATACCCTGTCTCAAAAAAATAAAAAATTAAAAATAAAGTGAAAACTCTTCTCAAGAAGTAAAATCCTAGAGTATCATGTCTTCAAGGAGATTCATGGAAAAAGTAAAAAAGACCCTGACAAGCACTTTTTTTTCCTGACAGGCACTCTTAACTACAGGTTTCTGGTAAGTTTTCAATCATATCATTTGGACTGGGTAAGAATTCCCAGAACTGTAATAAAGAGACTGACTGATAAAACTGCTCACCCAAGCAAGAGAGGAATTAATTGAATACCAAGACAATAGTTTCCCAGATTTTCATGCTAAATCAGACAGTCCGGAAATTGTTTAGATATGCAATTTGAATGAACCCATGGTCCAAGACAAATTACCTATGATAACCCATCTAACAAATAGTGCTATACATCTGACTTGGGGAAACAAAATCAGTATTTAAGAGGATATAAACCTAATGTTAAGCATGGATTCATAGAGAGCCCGGATGGTTGTCTAGTCCTTCCTGAGTCCTTAAAGCTTCCGTTATTAAAAGCTCTGTGCTCCATGACTCCTCATGGAAGAGATAAAATTATCCAAACAGGAATCATATATATATATAAAATTTGATGACTGTTCTAAATTGCTAAAATAAATTTATGACCAGTGTTTGGTTTGTTAAACCTATAATCCTGGGAAGACAATCAAAATTTCAGGTATATTTCTGCTACCTGATGGGCTATTTAAACATTTATAGATGGACTTCATTCAATTGTCATTTTCAATGTATGTTTTCTGGCTTTACAGAAACTTTCCCGTGTAAGCGGGCTGATGCTCTAACAGTAGCTAAAAGGTTATTAGGAAATGTGTTTCTCTCATGGACATTACTGGAGAAATCTCCAGTGATGGAGGTACTTGTTTCACCAGACAAGTTGTAAAATGGTTAAATAAGGTATTACAGATACAATAATATCTGGAAACGCTAACTAAATCAACTGTATTGCCTTGGTCAAAGGCATTAGGAATTGATAACAATCAGATCCACTTTCAGTGGAAAACATGAGTTGACCCCATATGAAATAGTCACTAAAAGGTCTATGCTCCAAATAATAGAATCGCATGTATCTTCCACTCCTAATCTCTGATGTGACTAAATGCTACAAGGCTTTCTTTCTTCCTTTTTCTTTTTCTTTCTTTCTTTTCTTTTCTTTTCTTTTCTTTTTTTTTTTTTTTTTTGAGACATGGTCTGGCTTTGTTGCCTACACTGGAGTGCAGTGGCACCATCGTGGCTTACTGCAACTTCCACCTCCCGGGCTCAAGTCATCCTTCCACCTTAGCCTCCCAAGTACAGTAGCTGGGACCACGAGCGTACACTACCATGCCCGGCTAATTTTTGTATTTTTGGTAGAGACTCAGTTGCACCATGTTGCCCAGGCTGGTCTCCAACTCCTGAGCTCAAGCAATCCTCCTGCCTCAGCCTCCCAAAGTGCTGGGACTACAGGTGTGAGCCACTGCACCCAGCCTTTCAATGCTTTAAATGCATTCTGCCAAAGTATATTTTCACCAGGTAAAGGAAACTTTTCATGATCCACTGACTAAGGACAGTTGAAGACTTCACTATCTAGAACTCAGAGATTGAGACTTTTGGAAACAACATCAGAGAAAAATTGCACTTGCCACCCACACTGCAGCAAAACTTTGTGACTTTGAGCTTTGGGTTTGTGATCTTGCAACTCAGAAGAGCCCCTCCAGAACTGTATACCTATCGGAGAACATAAGGTAAAGCTAACCAGAGAAGGTTCTCTCCAGAAGCAGACGACATCCTAGATGTGGACAGCTTTCCCAAAATCAGGGATCAACATTCCTCTGTCATCATGAGATTCTTACTTCTCCTAATTTTTCCCTTACTTATGCCTCTATGAACAATAGAACTGGAAAAAAGGTCTTGTGTGCACCCGTGGGGTATACTTTTATTTGTGGAGGATTTTGCAGCCTATCTTATACATGGACAATCCCATGCCTTGATAGATGGAAGATACAGGGCCAATGTCGGTGAGAAATTTTAATGGTACATTTGTTGCATCATAATCAGTCAGAAACAGAACACTGGTCCACTCTTAACCTACATCATAGATTAAAGAATACATTGCGGCAGGTACAGGAGGCAATCAGCCTGACCCTTCGCTGAGCTGTTAACACTTAGCTGTCCACAGACTGCAAGCTGAGTGAAATGAGCCACTCCAGTTCCTGCCCACAAGGGGTTCAAGGTCAAGGGAACAAGTACCATCTCAAGGCAACCATCAGGTAATGGTCAGGCAGTTGTTAAGCTGTCTCTCTAAAATAATAATTGGTCACATCTGGCATCAAGGAAAAATCAATCTCCCAATAGATAGAAAACACCTGAAGCTGGTGATCCGCAGCTTCCCACTAAGATCTCAGAATTTGGGCGAGTGGGTCTAAGCATGTGCATTAAGAGGCAAAATGGTGGAGTTTAACTGGTACACGACCTTTCGCTAGGAACACTCGGCTGGTAAGGGGAAAATGTCTCAAGTGAGCATGCACACTGCTTCAGTAAACACACCATGCATGCACCCCCTCCCAAGTGTTGGCAGGCTACTGCACATGCGGACAGCCTGCCCCAAGGAAAAATCAAGGGAGGAGAGATGCAAAACTCCAGAAGCATGCTAGTGTATAAAACCCCAAGTCTAAGGTCAAACAGGGCACTTGGATTGCTCAAGTTGCCTGCTTGGCCCTGTTCCAAGTGTATTTTACTTCCTTTCGTTCCTGCTCTAAAACTTTTTGAAAAACTTTCACTGCTTCTTAAAAAAAAAAGAAAAAAGAAAAAGAAAACATCGCCAGGGGGGCTTCAGTCTTCTAGATGGGCATCACTTGTTAGATCTCTTTTTCTATGGTTTGGAGTAAATGAGGCAATAATTAGAAATGTATCCCTTATAATAGTCTCTATAACAGATTCTACTACAAAGGTTTTCGTTAGACAACAGACTTTAATTTATTTTGCTAAGTTGTAGTAGGCTGGGCTCATGTCTGTAATCCCAGCACTTTGTGAGGCAGAGGCCAGCGGATTGCTTGAGCACAGGAGTTTGTGACTAGCCTGGGCAACATAGCAAGATACCATCTCTACAAAAAATAAACACAAAAATTAGCCAAATATGGTGTCACGTGCCTGTAGTCCCAGCTACTTGAGAGGCTGAGGCAGGAGAATCACTTGAGCCTGGGAGATTGAGGCTGCAGTGAGTTATGATCTCCAGCTTGAGTGACAGAATGAGATCCTGTTTCAAAAAAATTGAATAAATAAGGTTGTGCTAGATAATAGAATTGCTTTAGATTACTTAATGGCTGAATAGAGAAATATCTGTGCAGTTGCTGACACTTCTTTTTTTTTCATTTTTAAATTCTTTTATTACTTGTTAAGCATTTAATAATTTTCTTATTTTATTTTATTATTATTATACTTTAAGTTTTAGGGTACATGTGCACAATGCTGACACTTCTTGTACATAGAAGAATACATTGGGTATTACAGAGGTTCAGTTATAGAAAATTAACAAATCCCCTATAATTAATTTCACGCTTGGTTGAAAGGAATCGACTCTATCTAGTTCATTCTTTGATCTATTTGATTTTTGTTGGTTTGGTTCATGGGGACTCTATGGCACATACTCCAAACTCTTGATATTATCTTCCTGATAGTCATTTTAATAATAGTATTCTCCCTGGTACACTGTATTCTCTCAAAAATTTTAAGTGTTTGCACACAGCCATCATAGAATGTCATATGGTCTCTCTTCAACTGGAACAACAAAATTTTAAACAACATAACCATGAGGACACTGTAACCTGTAAGTTTTGTGTTGAAACTAGAAACCCAGATGATGGTAACTGAGATTGCTGCTAAAGCCCTGAGTTTTGGTCACATTCCTAAGTGAGAGCTTAACTAAAAGGGGAGGGTTTTTAAACAAAATGATGGCAGCAAGTCATAAGTTTGGAGTGAGCTCATGTACTAGACCCCAACAGACCAGAACAGATTACACCAAAATGGAGTCATTCATGCTAAATGCAAAATAATCAAACTAAAACTTTAAAGAAGCAGATAGATCCTAAAACAGACCAAGAGATTGTAGAATAGAAAATAGGAGATTTTAGCACAAGGAGATCCCCTCTACTCTAACCCTTACCAAAAGGTAATCTAAAGCCCTCACAAAACTCACTGTTCTGCTGTTTCCAAGTGGGATTTGAGACCAAATAAGTACATTTACAATGATGACAGAATGATATCAATGCCTAAAGTTTTGAGAGGTTGACCAAAAGCGGGGAACTGTTAAATTAAGTTTAGCCTAAATCTGCCTCCTTATATTCAGCCTAAGGATTTCTCTGTACATAGTGAAGTATATTCTAGCTGAATGTGTAAACAGACTGTAACCCACTCTCATACCAATCACTGAGTTTTGGTCAATCAAAGACGGCCAACTGTTCAAACTGTGTTCAAATAAGGCAAATGCCAAGTTGTAACACATCCAGCTGTTTCTGTATCTCATTTCTGTTTTTTGTATGTCACTTTCCTATTTCTGTCCATAGGTCTTCTCTGACCATGCAGCAACCCTGGAGTTTTTCTGAACCTATTCTGGTTTAGGGGGCTGATTGACCGATCGTTCTTTGCTCAATTAAACTCTGTTACATTTAATTTGTCTAAAGTTTTTATTTTAAAACAGCTAAGCAGGCTGGGTGTGGTGGCTCATGCCTGTAATCCCAGCACTTTAGGAAGCCAAGGTGAGTAGATCATTTGAGCCTAGGAGTTTGAGACCATCCTGGGCAACAAGACAAAACCCTGTCTCTACAAAAAAATACAGAAGATAATTAGCTGGGCGTAGTGCTGTGTGCCTGAGGATTGCTTAAGCCCAGGAGGCTGAGGTTGCAGTGAGCCAAGATTGCACAGCTGAACTCCAGCTTGGGCAGCAGAGTGAGAACCTGTCAAAAAAAAAAAAAAAAAAGCTAGGCAGACTGGGTATGAAGAAGCAAGAGCTGACTCGAGTATCAGATAAGGGATAGAACAAGATGATGATGGAGGTTTATTCTAGCCCGGAGAATCTCAGGTGCTATTACTGATAGCCTTGTCCTGATTTGGTATGTGGCATGAGGTCACAAACTCTCATCGTATTCATCTTTGCGTTTTTAAAAAAATTTTTACTCTGTACTTCAATAGATGCAAAGATCTTGACATTTCTCATAGCAAGGGGCAAGCACCTGGCACAAAAGAGGCTCTCAAAAGAAAAGTTCATTTCTTCTCCTCTTTGAACTTTAAAGCGACTTTCATCTGACTTTTGACTTGAACTTCCACTTTGCTCAGGAAAGACTGTAATGAAATGGATAAAAGACTGTAATGAAATGGATAAAATAATATATTTTGATAAGAAAAAAATGGATTTCTAACCCTTCTCTCCTTCTTTGGATCTCCTGTTTGCACATGGAATAATAGTAACTATAAAGATGCAGTCGACTGGCCAGTTGGTTAATTACAGCAAGTCCTCAAATAACATCATTACACTCAACATCCTTTTGTTATAACGTTGTTGAGAAAACAAATCGATTCCCAGCCAGGGCCACTGTCTGTGTGGAGTTTGCATGTTCTCCTCATGCCTGCGTGGGTTTTCTCCAGGTATCCTGGTTTCCTCCCACATCCCATGGATGTGCACTTTAGGTGGACTGGCGTGTCTAAATGGTTCCTGAGTGTGTGTGTATGTGTGTGTGTGTGCACGCGCGCTCTGTGATGGGACAGCATACTGTCTGGGGGGACGCCCACCTGGCGTCCTGAGTTGCTAGGACAGGCTGCCACCTGAGACCCTGAATTGGAATAAGCAGCTTGGAAACGGAATGAATGAAAATTAGTGAATACAAATTACTGTAAAATAAAAAATCCATACAGTATATGATAATCATACAAATGCAGGACAATAAATGACGTGATCCAAAAACGCTCAGCGAGCCTGCCAGATTGGTTCTTATTTTTGAACTGTAGAGCAGGAGGACGTGCTCCTGAAAATTTTTGCTTTACGAACATTTATTCCGTGATTTAACCCATCACCACGACGACCGCCCTCACTCACTGATTAACCAAAAATTGGGTCAATTATTCTCGTTTCTATTAATCTTTGTAAAAGGTAAGTGTAGCTCACATTTATTTCAGTGTTTAATATTAGAAGTGTTTTGATCTTGTTTAGAAGTTTGGTGATGTTTTTGTTACCAGGAATATGCCAAATATGCCGTAGGAACTTAATTCTTGTTTCTATCAATTAGACTATGGAGCTGCAGACTTTTTTTTTTTTTTTTTTTTTTTGTAAAGAAACAAAGTCTTACTCTGTTACCCAGGCTGGCGTCCCCAGTGGTGCAATCACAGCTCACTGCAGCCTCAAACTTCTGGGTTCAAGCAATTTTCCCACCTCAGTCTGCTGAGTAGCTGGGACTACAAGTGCATGCTACAGTGCCCACTGATTTTATTATTATTAATTTTTAAGCTAACTATGTGAGACTTTCGTTCTACTGCTGGTATGTGCAAAAACAGGGAAGAGCTAAACGGCATTTCTTTTTTCTTTTTTTGAGATAGCGTCTCACTCTGTTGCCCAGGCTGGAGTCCAGTGGCCCGATCTCAGCTCACTGCAGCCTCCGCCTTCTGGGTTCAAGCCATCCTCCCAGCTCAGCCTCCTGAGTAGCTGGAATCACAGGCTTGTGCCACCACGCCTAAGTTTTGTATTTTTAGTAGAGACTTGTGGGATGTATGCAATGTGGCTTCAAACAAGGCCCAAGAAAATGGTGCAGACTGCTTGTGGGGATGCTGCTACTATTGACTTCACAGCAGTTGCCCTGAAAATTGGAGTGTGGTTCAACTTGATGATACAGCTCTGTGTAGTGTTCTAATATTTACTAAAGTGGTTAATGAAATAAATTGGACACAGGAGTTGATATCCAGTATCCTCAGGTTACTGATTTTATTTTTTTTAATATTATTTTTTGAGACAGAGTCTCAGTCTGTCTCCCAGGCTGGAGTGGAGTTGTGTGATCTCGGCTCATTGCAGCTTCCACTTCCCAGGATCAAGTGATTCTCGTGCCTCAGCCTCCCGAGTACCTGGGATTACAGACATGCGCCACCACGCCCGGGTAATTTTTGTATTTTTAGTAGAGACGGGGTTTCGCCATGTTGGCCAGGCTGGTCTTGAACTCCTGACTTCCACCAGCCTTGGCCTCCCAAAGTGCTGGGATTACAGACATGAGCTACCGTGCCCGGCCCTGATTTTAAGAACGTTGTATACTGTGAAGCACCACATTAAAGTACTCTAATCTTACTAATTTTTACTGTTTTTGAATTCTCAGCCAGGTGCAGCAGCTCATGCCTACAATCCCAGCACTTTGGGAGGCTGAGGTGGGCGAATTGCTTGAGCTTAGAAGCTCAAGACCAGCCTGGGTAATGTCGCAAAACCTCATATCTACATTTTAAAAAGAAAAAAATGAATTCTCCAGTTCCCCAGGCTCATACTCAAAGAGTGATTTAAAAAACTGACAAAAGGCTCTCTCCTTGTCCAAACTTGGCCTCCACTCCCTCCTGTCCTTGGCCTGCCTGGCCCAGTTTTAATAAGAATCCTGTTAAGTTATCCCCCATCCTTCATATCTGATCAAGTTTCTGATCCTTCACCTCTGATATGTAAGTCCTTGGTCTGCCTCTAGCAAGAATCCTGTGAGTTCAGTTTAGCTAGAATCCCCCTACCCATGATGTCTGCTCTAATTATTTTTTCAGCCATGACCCCTCACTCTTCTTGTTGGCTATAAATCCCCACTTCTTGCCCTTGCTGTTTGGTTGAGGCAGACCTCTCTCCCCTCTTCCAATAGTCCTGAATAAAATCCTCTTTACTGTTTTAAAAAGTGTCAGAATATACACATATATTTAGCAAACCTAGAGCCAGGAAATACAAATGAAGAGTGAGTTCTTTCCTTCCTTTCTCTCTACTTCCTTTCTTCTTCAGTCTCTTTTTTTTTTTTTTTAAAGAGACGAGGTCTCACTATGTTGCCCAGGCTGGTCTCGAACTCGAGTTCAAGCAATCCTCCTGCCTCTGCCCCCTAAAGTGCTGGGATTACAGGTGTGAGCCACACACCTGGCCTCATTCCCTTCTTTCTCATGCCCCCTTTCCCTCTATCTCCTTCCTTCCCTTCCTTATGTTAAATACAATTTTTAGGAGTTCATTATTTGGACTGGGCTCTGGCATTAGACCCAATGGACCAAACCAAAATGGAGTACAAATGCTGAAGTTCTACACCACCAAGCCAAAACCAATATTTTTTTTTTTTTTTTTTTTTTTTGAGATGGAATTTTGCTCTCGTCACCCAGGCTGGAGTGCAATGGCATGATCTCGGCTCACTTCAACCTCTATCTCCCAGGTTCAAGCAATTCTCCTGCCTCAACCTCCTGAGTAGCTGGGGATTATAGGCGCCCACCACCACGCCCAGCTAATTTTTGTTATTTTTAGTAGAGACAGGGTTTCACCATGTTGGCCAGGCTGGTCTCGAACTCCCGACCTCAGGTGACACACCTGCCTTGGCCTCCCAAAGTGCTGGGATTTACAGGTGTGAGCCACTGCACCCAGCCTGAAACCAGGATTGTTATCAAACCTTCAAGGAAATCAGGAGAGAGTGAAATAATAACCAAATCTCCAAACAGGCCAGTTTTAGACCTACAGGACTACAGGTGCACGCCACCACACCTGCCTAATTTTTAATTCTTTTGTAGAGACAGGGTCTCACTACGTTGCCCCGGCTGGTCTCGAACTCCTAGGCTCAAGTGATCCTCTTGCCTTAGCCTCCCAAAGTGATTACAGGTGTGAGCCACCACACCTAGTCCAGCCATTCTATATTGTTCTTCTGTGCTCTCTTAATGTTTAACCATGCCTTTTATTTAAATAATTCCAGGAACTGGCCTTAGGAGATCCAGAATATCAAACCAAGGTTGAGAGTGTCCCATCTCAGGAAAGAATGAACAATTGATTTACAGCCTTGTTGCCTCCAGCTAGACCACCAGGTGGCCCATTACCCAACATAACCATTGCAACTAGATAATGCTGACCTGCATACCCTACCCCTCAGAGCTTTGCCCCGTCCTGCCTGCATATCTACCCCCGATATTTATTCTTTATTTTTTAAATAATTTTTAATTAAAATATGGAATGCTTCACAAATTTGCGTGCCATCCTTGCGCAGGGGTCATGCTAATCTTCTCTGTATCGTTCCAATTTTAGTATATATGCTGCTGAAGCAAGCACTAAGTGTGATGTTTTATATTCCTCTGAAATAGGAAATATTTACTTACTGTTTAACTTACTTGCTATTATCTGCAGCGTCACAACAGGAAACAGAAGGCACACTCCCCACTTCAGTAATTTGAAGACGACACAATAAATCATTAACTTATTTATAATGGTGTGGGCAGGATGTAGAAAAATTACAATGGTTAGCGTAAGACGGAGGGGCTAGGACAAGGGGAGGCAGTGGTTACCGGGACTTGGAACAAGAGGGCTGTGTACACCAGACACTATGGCCTTTGGTTGAAGGCCACTGCCAGCCTTAGTTAAGTCTGCGGGGGTAGGGGTGGGGTGCTGTGGGAATAAAGACCCCAACTTCCATCTCCTCCCTCTCTCCACGTCCCACTCAGAAACCAGAGGGCAGGGAAGTGTGTGGAGGAAGTCATGAGGCTAGTTTCCTGAGGCTCAGACAGGCGGATAGGGAATTGGGATGGAAAAATGGAAGATATCTCTCATATTCATTTAGGCAAAATGAAACGACTGAACTTCAGAATGCTGCCTTGTGTGTGACTTTGGGCATGTGGGTTTACCTGACCTGTTTCATCATCTGTAAAATGCTGGGTAACAGTTTCTACCACGTATAGTTATTGCAGGGACATATGTGGAGTTGCCTAGCACCCCGTATCAGTTAGCTATCATTGTCCCTAACCCCCAAAACTGAGTAGCACACACCACTACATTTTTACTTTTCACATTTCTGCAGGTTGGCTGATCTGGCTGGGTTCTGCTTCGAGCTGGTGGCCAAGGCTCACAGGCAGCTCTGGCCAGCCTGTCTCTTGTCCTCTTGGACCAGCAGGCTGGCTGAGGTGTATTATTCTCATGGAGACAGCTGGGATGCAGGAGAGCAAGCCCAGGTGTGCAAGTGTGTCTTAAGGCTTTAGCTGTGTTGTAATAATTTTTCTGGAGCTTTGGTAACAAATTACCACAAACTTGGTGGTCTAAAATTTTTTTTTTTTTTTTTTTTGAGATGGAGTCTTGCTCTGTCACCCAGGCTGGAGTGCAGTGGCACATGTCGGCTCACTGCAACCTCCGAGTCCCAGGTTCACGCCATTCTCCTGCCTCATCCTCCCGAGTAGCTGGAGCTACAGGTGCCCGCCACCACTCCTGGCTAATTTTTTGTATTTTTAGTAGAGACGGGGTTTCACCATGTTAGTGAGGATGGTCTCGATCTCCTGACCTCGTGATCCGCCCTCCTCGGCCTCCCAAAGTGCTGGGATTACAGGCGTGAGCCACAGCGCCCGGCCTAAAATATTTTCAAAGTAATGGCAAAAACTGCAATTACATTTACACCAACCTAATAACACAAATTTATTGTCTTATGGTTCTGGAGGTCAAAAGTCAGAAATGGGTTTCACTGGGCCAATCAAGGGAGGGAGGGAGGCATGGGCCCAGTCAGGGAGTCGGCAGGGCTGTGCTCCCTTAGGGAGAATCCGTTTCCTTGTTCCGTGGCTCCGTCCATCTTCAGAGCTGACAGTAGAGCATCTCCAATCTACTGTTGCTTCCATTTTTACACCAACTTTTTCTGATTTTTGACTCTCCAGCCTCTCTAGATTATAAGGGAGGCTGGAGAGTCAAAAAAAAAGCCTCCCTTTGTGATTACACTGGGCCTAGCCAGATAATTACATCTCCAGAACGTTATTTAATTACATCTGCAAAGTGTCTTTTACAATGTTAAGTTACATATTCACAGGTTCTGGAGATTAGCTCGTGGACCTTTTGGGGGGTGGGGGAGGGCATCATTCAGCCTACCAAATAGATCATGCCTGCTAAATTCCATTGGCCAACATCAAGTGAGGGAAGTACTCATAAATGCAGAAAAGGGAGACAATAAATATTTCTTATAGTAATGTAATCTACCACACATCTGGTAAGGCATTTTTTTTTTTTTTTTTGGAGACAGAGTCTTGCTCTGTCGCCCAGGATGGAGTGCAGTGGGGTGATCTTGGCTTACTGCAACCTCTGCCTCCTGGGTTCAAGTGATCCTCCTGCTTCAGCCTCTGGACTAGCTGGGATTACAGGCGCCCACCACCATGCCCAGCTAATTTTTGTATTTTTAGTAGTGATGGGGTTTCGCCCTGTTGGCCAGGCCGGTCTTGACCTCCTGACCTCAAGCGATCTACCCGCCTCGGCCTCCCAAAGTGCAGGGATTACAGGTGTGAGCCACTGCGCCCGGCCAAAGTTTTTAATAAACGCTTACTGAATATGAGTTGGACTATGATGACTCATGGTGCTATACTTTTCGAGGGCTTCCTGAAAAACTTCCTGAAAACACTAGTGAGCACTGATCATCTTATTATGATCACAGCCACACTGTTGTCTGGACTTGAGTTACTGCTAGGTCTGCAGGCAATGGTCAAGGTGGATGAAAACTATAATTTGAGGTATTTATTTACTCATTCCATTTATAGTGCTGTTGTGTACTCTAGAATCACATTGAAAGTTAGGCTCTGAATTTTCCTTCTTCCTCTACTCATTATTCAGAGCAAGATGACACATTATCTGCTTTAAACCCTCTGACGGCGCGGAAAAGAGGCTGCAGGATCTTAGAGAAACAGTTTCCTTTTAATCCTCTTATCCCTTTGCCAGAAACGGCCCAGAAGTCAGCTGAGGAACCATATATCCAGGCAGGGAAGCCATGTACTGCTCTGCTTTGAGCAGGTTAGAGCAAACCTGGAGTGCTTTGTCTACCAGTGGACACCACTCTGTAAGAGTGGCACACACAACGCCGGGTACGGTGGCTCATGCCTGTAATCCCAGCACTTTGGGAGGCCGAGGCGGGCGGATCATGAAGTCAGGAGATCGAGACCATCCTGGCTAACATGGTGAAACCCCGTCTCTACCAAAAATACAAAAAAAATTAGCCAGGCGTGGTGGCGGGTGCCTGTAGTCCCAGCTACTTGGGAGGCTGAGGCAGGAGAATGGCGTGAACCCGCGAGGCGGAGCTTGCAGTGAGCTGAGATCGCGCCATTGCACTCCAGCCTGGGCAACAGAGCAAGACTCCGCCTCAGAAAAAAAAAAAAAAAAAAAGAGTGGCACTCACAAATTAAGAGTGCAGAAAGACAACATATAGTTAGGAGATTCAAAACTGTGGCACTGACTGAGGCAGGGTTGAGAGGGTTTCCGCTTGGAGAAGAGAGGACCTTCAGATGACCAGAAGGTAACATGATTTGTGTGGCTAGAGGGAGAATCAGGTAATATTTTCCTAGCTCTGTCCACCGAAAAGGCCTATGACCAAACAAGTGGCAATGAATTTGCTTATTGCCCAGACTGGTTGCTAAATACCATTTCCAACAAAACCAGGGCTCCTTGGAGAAATGACTGATTTCAGATCTGGACTGAAAATGTACAACATGATGCTGGAAATCTTACCATACCAGAAAGCGAGGAAACTGACAAGATTAGAATAGTTTCAAAAGGACTCAGGAGACAAATTGAGTTGAGTTCCACTGACCGAAGACAGAATTAGGTATCATTGATTAGAAGGCCAGGCACAGTGGCCCACCTCTGTAATCCCAACACTTTGGGAGGCAGAGGCAGGCAGATTGCTTGAGCTCAGGAGTTCAAAAGCAGCCTGGCTAACATGGCGAAACTCCGTCCCTACAAAAAATACAAAAATTAGCCAGGCGTGGTGGCATGTGCCTGTAGTCCCAGCTACTTGGGAGGCTGAGGTGGGAGGATGGCTTGACCCCAGGAGGTTAAGGCTGCAGTGAGCCGTGATCATGCCACTGTATTCCAGCCTAAGTAACAGAGTGAGACCCTAACTCAAAAAAGAAAAAAATAAAAAGGTAGCATTGATAAGACGAGCTGCAATGGATTGAAATAAATGTTTAAAGCCACAAGTCCATGGTTTAATGTATCTAGGCAAAAATAATCAATGGTTGCCATTATGACAAAAAAGACGTTCAAATGGGGTCTTGCTAAGTTACCCAGGCTGGTCTTGAACTCCTGGCCTTCAACTCCTTGAACTCCTCCCACCTTGGCTTCCTATAGGTGTGGGACACCGCACTCGCCCCCACGTAGTTTTCTGTTTTTTCTTTTTTTTGAGACAGTCTTGCTCTGTCACCCAGGCTGGAGTGCAGAGGCGTGATCTCGGCTCACTGCAGCCTCCACCTCCAGGGCCCAGGTGATCCTCCACTTCAGCCTCCCAAGTAGCTGGGACTACAGGCACCTGCCACCATGCCTGGCCAATTTTTCTATTTTTTTGTAGAAGCAGGGTCTCCCTATGTTGCCCAGGCTGGTCTTGAATTCCTGGGCTCAAGTCATCTGCCTACCTCAGCCTCCCAAAAGTGCTGGGATTACAGGCATGAGCCACGATGCCCAGCCCCCAAGAAGTTTTGAAACAAAAATAAAGGTGGTGATGGGCACACTGAAAGCCCAGACTCACCGACAGAATATATGCATGTAACAAACCTGCACTTGCACATCCTATTCAAATTTTTTTTTAAAATTGGAATTTGACAAAACCACTAGAATAGTGGGTCTTAAGTTTTAGTATGTGCCAGAACCACCTAAGGGGCTTTAAAAAACACCTATGGCTGCGCTCTACCCAGTTTTATTTTTTAAATATTTATTTGAGACAGAGTATCACTCGGTCCCCATACTGGAGCACGATCTTGGCTCACTGCAACCTCTACCTCCTGGGTTCAAGGAATTCTCCTGCCTCAGCCTCCCAAGTAGTTGGGATTGCAGGCATGCGACACCATGCCCGGCTAATTTTTGTATTTTTAGTAGAGGTGGGGTTTCACGACCTTGCTCAGGCTGGTCTCGAACTCCTGACCTCAGGTGATCCACCTGCCTCGGCCTACCAAAGTGCTGGGATTATAGGAGTGAGCCACTGTGCCCGGCCCAGAGTTTTAATTTATTTGTTTAAAAAAAAAGTTGGCTGGGCCAACAGAGCGATACTCTATCTCAAAAAAAAAAAAAAAATTGTTGTGGGTACATAGTAGGTGTATATATTCATAAAGTAAATGAGATACTTTGATACAGACATGCAATGTGTAACAATCGCAACATGGAAAATGGGGTATTCATCCTCTCAAGCATTTTTTTGTATTTTTATTTTTTCTTTTTAATTACCCACACTACACAGACATACCCTCAAGCATTTATCCTTAATGTTACAAACAATCCAGTTATATAGTCTTTATTTTAAAATGTACAATTAAATTACAGACTATAGTCACCCTGTGTGCTATCACATACTATATTTTATTCTTTTTTGGACCCATTAACCATCCCTACCTACCCCTCACCCCCTTACTACCCCTTCCCAGCCTCTCATAACCATCCTTTTACTATTTCCAGGAATTCAACTGTTTTGATTTTTAGCTCCCACAAATATGTGAGAACATGTGAAGTTTGTCTTTCTGTGCCTGACTCTATCCACAGTTTTTGATTCAGAGTCTGGGGTGAAGACTGTATTTGTAACATCTAACATCGGAGATGATTTTGATGCTGCTGGTTGGGAACCATGTTTTTTTTTTTTTTTTTTTTTTTAAGACAGGGTCTTGCTCTGTCACCCAGGTTAGAGTGCAGAGGCATGATTGGCTCAATGCAGCCTTAACCTCCTGGGCTCAAGTGATCCTCCCACCTCAGCCTCCTGAGCAGATGGGACAGGTGGGCAGCATCAGTCTGATTTTTAATTTTTTTGTAGAGATGGGGTCTCACTATGTTGCCCAGGCTGGTCTCAAACTCCTGGGCTCAAAGGATCCTCCCAGAGTGTTGGAATTACAGGCGTGAGCCACTGTGCCTTGGCAGAACCACACTTCTTGCTGGGTGCAGTGGCTCATGCCTGTAATCCCAGCACTTTGGGAGGCCAAGGTGGGAGGATCGCTTGAGGTCAGGAGTTTGAGACAAGCCTGGGCAACATGGTGAAACCCCGTCTCTACCAAAAAGAGAAAAAATTAGCTGGGCATGGTGGCAGCTACTCAGGAGGCTGAGGTGGGACGATCGCTGGAGCCCAGGAGGCAGAAGTTGCGTGAGCTGATTGTAACACTGCAACTCTAACCTGGGTGATACAGTGAGACCCTTCACACACACACACACACACACACACACACACACACACACCCGCTTTCTCTAGGTCTATTAATTTACAGGAAATGCAGCATACAGGAGAATACACTTAATGACGCCATGAGATTGCAATCAGCAAAATCAAGACTGGGAAACTCTCCAGGACAATGACTTAGCTTCTCCAATAAACACACTGCAAGGGGACAAAGAGACTCTAGATTTAAAGAGAGTTTAGATGTCTTTAAAGAGCTATATAGTGCATCTACAGATAAAATGTCTAGGATTTCCTTCAAAATTATTTGGGAGAGGAAGTAGACAGGTATACATTGTTAAAGCTAGAGGAGCACAAGGGTGGTTCATTCCACTATTCTCACTGGTGTTTGAAACTTTGTATGACAAAAGTAACAGTAATGTGTTTAGTACACTCGGGCTGCTCATGAAGGACGAAAAAGTAGGGATAGTAGATACTTTAATACTTGGGCACCACATTCCACGTTTGGCATCTTTGTTTTGCCTTTTTCTCAAGTTGGTTAGAACAGTATTATTAGAGTTTAGCTATTTTTTTTTCTTTTTTTGAGACAGAGTCTTGCTCTGTTGCTCAGGCTGGAGTACAGTGGTGCAGTCTCTGCTCACTGTAAACCCCCCTCCTAGGTTCAGGCGTTTCTTTTGCCTTGGTCTCCAGGGTAGCGGGGATTACAGGCCTGCGCCACCACGCCCAGCTTTTTGTATTATTAGTAGAGATGGGGTTTCACCATGTTAGCCAGGCTGGTCTCCAACTGCTGATCTCAAGTGATCTGCCTGCCTTGGCCTCCTTTACAGGAATGAGCCATCACACCCGGAGAGTTTAGCTCTTCTATTTCAGAATGTTTTCCTAAATGCAGTTACTATTTAATGAGTGACTATGCCAAATGCTTTGATAATAGTATTTACTTTTCACAATATTAGCAGGTCTTGTTTTATAGATGAGGGTGCAACTTATTTGCCTCCCAATCCTTTTGGCCTTGGGCTAGGGGACTTGCTCTGCTTTCAGCAGTAATGGGGGTTCTATCTGATGCCATCAAAGCTTTGCCTTCAGCAGCTCTTAATCTCCAAATTGGTTCCCTCCTAAAGACAAAAATAAAAAACCACCTTCTTTAAACCTTACCTTTAAAAGTCTACTCCCTTAGCTGGGTGTGGTGGTGCACACTTGTCTCGGCAATTTGGGAGACTGAGGTGGGAGCATCGCTTGGGCCCATGATTGCACCACTGCACTCCAGCCTGGGTAACAGAGTGAGACTCCATCTCTTAAAAAACAGAAAACCTAAAGAAAACCCATATAGTGTACCTGCCCCCTCCTCCCCGCCACCCCTCCAAAGCAATTCCTTTATGGTAGAAGGCCAGGCAAGGTAGCTCACACCTGTAGTCCCAGCACTTTGGGAGGCCGAGGCGGGGGATCACCTGAGGTCAGGAGTTCGAGATCAGCCTGACCAACATGGAGAAACCCTGCCTCTATTAAAAAAATACAATCTTAGCTGGGCGTGGTGGCACATGCCTGTAATCCCAGCTACTCGGGAGGTTGAGGGAGGTGAATAGCTTCAGCCCAGGAGGTGGAGGTTGTGGTGAGCTGAGATTGCACCATCGCACTCCAGCCTGGGTAACAATAGTTAAACTCTGTCTCGTGGGGGGAAGAAAAGTTTATTTTGTAGGTTTTGCCCTCATCTTGGATTTGTCTCGTTTCTACATGACAGCATTTTGGGCAGGAATATCACAAGAATGAGACTCTGTCCTCGATGTATTATGTCCAGTGACCCATGTTAATAACCTGGATCACTATTAAGTCATTTTTTAAAATAATTTTGAGGGAGAGGAGGCTAACTGGAGGCTAGGTATATTAACTCCTCTTCAAAAAGTAACATGAAGAAAAAGCCTGAGGATGCATTAGAGATTTAGAGACTCAAGAACCATGACAACAAAATGCAACCAATGAATCTTGGACCAAGAGAAAAAATGTAAGGGACATTAAGGGACAACTGATGAAACTTCGGTATGAACTGTGTATCAGACAACAGTATTTTATCAGTTAATTTCCTGATTTTGATAATTCTGTAGTTACAGAAGATAATGGCCCTGTTCCCAGAAAACACATTGAAAAAAAATTTTTTTTGAGACAGGGTTTCACTCTGTCGCCCAGGCTGGAGTGCCATGGTGTTATCTTGGCTAACTGCAACCTCCGCCTCCTGGGTTCAAGCAATTCTTCTGTCTGTCTCAGTCTCCCAAGTAGTAGGACTACAAGCACGCAACACCATGCCTGGCTAATTTTTATATTTTTGGTGGAGACAGGGTTTCACCATGTTGGCCAGGCTGGTCTTGAATTCCTGAGCTCAGGTGATCCTCCTGTCTTGGCCTCCCAAAGTGCCGGGATTACAGGCATGAGCCACCGCACCCACTCTTCTAATTTTTGAACCATGATTCCTTTCTATTCAAAAGGAATAAAAAGTTAACGACTGTGTTAAGTGCTATACTGGGGGCCATCTGCAGGATTGCTCAAAGATAAACAGGCATATGTAAACAAGCTATATAGGATGTACGAAGACCAACTGCACAATTGTACTGACTTGTCGTTTCAGTAAATGGATGCATACATGTTCGGGATACTAATCTGTTATTCAAAATATGGTCACTGAGGAAACTCAAAGATTAGCATATAAATCGGTAATTACTACACTAGGTGCTCTATTGCAAGAACTCTAAGTTTTATTGTGTAATGTTGAATCTTGAAAGTAATTTTTAAATTCATGCTGATAGACAACTGAAAGGATTATTCACACTGTTGGTTCTGAAAAAAAATTTATCATACATTCATTCAACAGTAACCAGCCAGCCATTTAAAGCCGATCTCTGTATTACCATGTATTAAAGCAAACTGCAGACTACTACTCAGGGCATGAACACTGAAAACCTAAAAAGGCATTTTTATATGATCATAGAAATCTCTTGAGCAGATACAAGAACTGTTAACAGCAGCTGCATTAGCAAGTAGATTCCAAGGTATGGTCCAACCATGTATATTTGTAAATAAAATTGTATTTGTTATGGTACTCTCTTGTACTGTTCATATTCTTGACTTTTAATCTTCACATCCCATGCATGTTTTATCCCTAGTTTCATGGATGACACTGAAGCACAGTGATTAATGAGTTGCCCAACATAAACCATATACTAAATCCCAAACTCACGTTTCTGGGTAAGTGAACACAAGATCCTGTTCTCATACTCAAGACAGGAATGGCTTGCCAATGCAAACTCCAATTCAAAAAAACATTTGTTAAGAATCTGGTCCTAAGTGGGCATATGCAATAAACTCAAAACAAGCCTTTCCCTCAGTAAGTATTTTATTGAGATTTAAAGCACAAAATAGGTGAACAAATCGGGAGGAAGGTGGTAACACAGGAATGGGAACGTAAAAGTCAAAGTAGGCAGGACTCAAACTGGCCATAAAGGCACTACGGCATGTTCATAAACACCATCAAGTAAAAGAAAGGGGAATCAAGATGTTCTCACTTCTTTTCTGCTCCACCTTAATACTCCATCTAGCCACTGGTATGGAGCATGTCATCAACTCATTCTTCTCACAAGCTAGCAAGGGAATTAAACATTTTATCAGTCAACCCTATGCTCACCAAGTGAGCCAATGTTACACAGTGATTTTGTGCATCCAGTGACTGAGAACTACAGGCAAGGATAGGCCCTGACTGTTAATAAATTGGTCGTGGCTATTACTAGAAAATTATGGGTGCAGGCATTTACCTATACAATGACCTGCTTACTGTGGCAGCTAACAATATAGTCAAACCAGTCTATTACCATATGATGTCCTATTAACAAGAGAGCCCAGTTGAAGGATGTTTCATACTTTTAGAAAGCCTAATTTCTTACTGTAATATCCTCCCATCCCTCTTTTAAAAAGGCTGTAGTTCAAAAAGCTTTTATGTTCTTTCCCTGAAAACAAGAGAACTTTGGTCAAAGCCAATTTTTAAGAGTCATCACTTCTGCTGAGTAGGCAAAACAATGAACTATAACAACAGACATCATTTTCTTTCCTTAAATTCTGAGGTTTATGCTGGAAAAATAAACCCATTTCTTTATAAACATCTAATTAAATAAAGTATCAAAGAAAATAAGATAATGGAAGAAGCATCCGCCTTTTGGGGCACTATATTCCTAAGGTTGGGCTTTAAGATTTTTTAACAGGAAACCCAGGAATTTCTGAAAAACAAGGCCTTTTTCACATTACCAAGAACTCACAGCTACTCTGTGAATGCCCTAGATATTTGACTCAAATTTTTCACTCAATCTTATTAGGTATATTTCTGGATTATTTGAATCTACAAACCAACCCTAGAATATCATGCTTTCCAGTCACACCTGTGGCACAATGAGCAGTGTACGACCATGCCCCATCACAATCCAACCCTTGGTACCCTACATTGTGACACCTCCTAGAAAGGTATTAAAGCTGAGCCAATTAATCTATATTTTGATTTCAGACTAAGATTAATAAATGCTTTTAAATAAAGTAACTTTTAAGGTATCTGAACAAAGGGATGTAAGGTTAATTCACTTCTCAAACTGCAATTTCAACTCATCAGGCTTATGGATGTATGGACTAATTGCTAACCTAGTAACTCCTACAAATTTGCAGTATTCAAATTTGGTTTCCACAGTACTCATTACACTTTACTCGTAATAAAGTACAAAAGTTTTGCGTTTACCCATTTCACTGTTTTTCAAACCAATTACACAAAGCATTAAAATTTACAAGTATGATCTAACCAATTATCAAATAATCCCACTAACTACAAAGGGGACTGACTACTGGGTGGAACTTAACTGGCAACTGACTTTACTGAGATTAAGTGCCTGTTAAACATAATGATCTTTCAGCAGAAAATGCAGTATGTGCTTTTACACTTTGAATAAACTCAATTTCAGAACAAAAAGAGGCTACTTCCATTTCCACATGACAAACATTAAAGACAACTGAACCACTCTCAACACTAATTATGCTGAGAACTTCCAGAAAGTGGATTCTCTAAACAAGATCCCAAGTATTAGGAGCTATTTCTTAAATAGTTTAAATTTGCCTTTGAAAAAAGTTCCATTACTTAAAAGTATTAATTTAAGCAAAATCATGGAACACATTGACTAAAAAATACCTTTTATTTTTACTCAACTTGTTAAAGGGGCAGATAAAGACTTTGGCAAATTTGATTAACTGCACAAAATAATGTTATCCAAACTGAGTAATTTATTGCTGGTCTGAGGCTTGCCTTGTTTACACTTAAGTAGAATTTACGTTGTTTCCACAAATGGCAGATATCAACATTTAAAGGAATTTAATAGTGACCTATTCAATAAGGCAATCATCTTGGTAGCAAACTTTTATTTAAATCTTACATAACTCAAGCTTTATAAAAAGCCAACATAATTGAAAATTGGGTTCTCCCTCTAAAGCCTTAAGTATTCAAAGCTCAAAACAGTTAATTTAAAAATAAGCAAACAAATAAAACAAAAAAACCCTGCCAGCAGATCCTGCTGAAATACTAAAAAAAAAAAAAAAAAAAAAAAAAAAAAAAAAAAAACAACACTAAATGAGCTTAATCTTTACAAAAGTTACGTTAGCTCAAAAGCTATAAAATCAAAGTTATCTTAATTCTACAAAGAAGGGAGAGGGTCTTCATGCCACCATTTCCTTAGAGCCTCATCTTTTTCATCCAATTTGGCCACAAATCAAATTTCTGTGTGCCCCTGTTTTCAAGAGATTCCTCTTGCAGAAGAGGCCAAGTATAAACATGGAAGAGTAACTGCCTAAGTAGGAAAGTGTTCCATAATAATGTGCAAACAAGGAGTTCTGAGTTAATCTCTGGAACTCGACCTGGACCTTGATCTTGACTTTGAGCGAGATCTAGAACGGGATCTTGAAGTAGCTCTTTTTGGTGGAGGGGACACAGAACGGGCCTTTGAGGGTGGAACAGGTAGCGGCGAATTGGAACGGGACTGGCTCCTTGATCTGGATTTTGACTTTATATCACCCTTTCCATTTTCTTTAGGGGATCGGGACCGAGACCTGCTTCGAGATTTCTCATACTCATCCTTAGATCTGCTTCGAGAATGTGAATGGGAGCCCCGATCAGACTTGGGCTTAGATTTGCTCTTTGATCTAGATTTCCTGCCTTTTGATCGAGAACGTGATCGACCTTTGCTCCGCGACCTGGAACTGGACAAGGAAAGACCGATTTTCTCAATACTTAGTGAGAATGTACACATACTCCATAAACAAGTACGGTAATATTCACAGTGACTCAACACAACGTTATTTACCGGGAGCGACTTTTTGAGATACTTCGAGATCTACTGCGGCTGCTCCTGCGACTCCTACTTCGTGACCGTCTTCTAGATCGAGACCTATTAGGAGAAAAACAATGAAGTCTTAATCCCAATCCAACTTAAATACATCCGTGCCATCTGGCAAAAATAGATAAGCCAAAGAATAATGTTTTTCTTTACTACGAAATTAAATACACTGTTCAAAACATCCAGAAAAGAACGCAATGATGCACAGCCAAAACAAACTAAAAGCTGGCTTTAATTCAAGTAGGCAACAATTGACATCACTCAATTACTCCCTTTTTATTGGCAAATATTGTTTCCTTCCCACAGTGTCCTTCAACAAGTTACCTGGATCTGCTTCCAGAGTAAGATCGCCTATGGCTTGTGCGTGGCTTATCTTCAATAAGCCTAATATTTCTGCCATTTATTTCTGTGCCATCCAGTTTGTCCAAAGCACGCTTCATGTCAGAGTAGGAGCGAAACTCAATTACACCCTCATTTGTTCGTTCCTTGTGGGCATCCGCATAGGTTACTTCACCTGCTTGTCGCATAAAATCCTGAAAGACAAGATTGGTCAGACTCGGAAATCTTAAAACATCTATATACCATAATAAATTCCCAGAAATAAGAATATAAAAGGAGTTTACTTTAAAGCATTAGTCATATCATTTCTATCTTGAATTACAAAACATACCTTTAAATCTTGCCAACTGCACCGACTAGAAAGATTTTCTACAATAAGCCTGTATTCTGTACGAACAGGTGGTCCGTATTTGTCTCTGCCAGATGTTCTCCGACTGCTGTATCCACCTCCACCACCTTTATCACATGAAGGGAACAATTAGATGCCTTGTAATGATAAAAACGCATAATGTCTTTGAAAGTTAGTACAAACATATCAACTTTTATTTACTGGAGTAGGACTTTGCTATTATATTGCTAAACCTTCGACACATTTGTGATTTGCCATAAAATTAAATTAAGGGCAAGTCAAATAGACTAAATCCAACTAAACCTCTCCTACAATCTGTTAGAGAGTGACTGCTCCTTTATTCGATTTACCTCGCTAAGTTTTATTTTACAGAACATTGTAAAATATAAAACTTAACTGATTACATGCATTTCTACATTTTACAAAAATGTTTACTAGTTTTACACTAAGTACTTACATCACAGTGTGAGGTTTTTGGTGGTGGTTTGGCCACAAAACACGCAAGGTAACAGTCACCTAGTTCAGATTAACCAGTTTTGTCTAACCCTTGGAATCCTCACCATCACCCTGCGTCTAATGGCAAAAGGCTGCTGTCGTCATGGCTTCCGGTAAGGTCAGCCAAAGGGTCATAGGGCAAGGGTCACACAATGTATGGAAAAGCCAAGGCCAATCAGGAAAGGCAGTCATCTTAGCCTCAGTGGACACAGCCTCAGCCCCATTGGTCACTTTCAAATTGAAACATCAAGGACTTGTTAAAAAGTTTGAATTCAACATGCAACAATTTAAACATCAAACATTTAACATAACCAAAAATCCCCCCAACCTCCTCCCAATAACATGCCCCAATTAGTTCAAATACAGCATAAAGCTTATTTAGATCTACTTTGTGGTACAATACCACATTACTTAAAAATAGTACATTCTTTGGCCCCCATCAAGTTCCATAGCTTTAAGACCTATACTTTATGCTCCTCCCCTTCCCCGTCCCCCGCGCCCCCTACCCCACCTCCACCCGAGCCTGCCCCCGAACCTCTAACTAATGCACTGATAGGTAAGTAAGGAGAATACAACAAATACAGCCACCCCTTACTTCCTCTGTGGGAAGAACCCGTGACAGTGCTGACAAGGGGCCAGAAGAAGCCACCCACCTCCCAACTTGGCAAATAAACAAAACCAAACACCCAAACCCAATCCCCGCGCTCCGGCGTCCCATGGCTGCCCCGGGCAGACGTGAAGGCAGCGGGGCTCGGGGACACCCAAGTCAAACGACCCCCGGCCCTCGCGCCTGCCCGGGCTGGGAGGCCCCACCCCACCCACCCCCGCCCCCAGGGTCCCCAAGGGCGCGGAGCGCGCGGGGGTGGGACTCACTGCGGCTTCCGTAGCTGTAGCCGTCGCGATCGCGACGCGGGCCCCGGGCGTGCTCTACGATCACGCGCTCGCCGCAGAGCTCCTTGCCGTTCAGCTCGTAAACGGCGTCGTCGGCGTCGCGGGAGTCCTCGAACTCCACGAAGCCGTACCTAGGGGCGGTGCGAGGGCCGGACAACCGCGGGGGAGTCGTTAGCCAGGACGCGCACGTGCGCGCGCCCGTACCCCACCGCGCGCCCCCGCGACGCCGCGCCGTCGCCATCTTTGAGGCCCTGCCACGCGGCGCCGCGGCCTTGGCCGCTTCTTTCCTTGGAGAGTTCCCGCCGCCACCAGGCCTGGGACGCTGGGCGCGGGCGCCCAGGCCCGACTCACCCATTTTTGAGGTCTACTTCGAGGAGGCGGCCATAGCCACTGAAAAAGCGCTGGATGTCCTTCTCCCGGACGTTGTAGCTCAGGCGTCCTATGTAGACGCGCGGCATGTCCGTGGCGGGCGGGGACCCAAGGGCTGGTTGTCGAACGGCGGACCGCAAGCCAGTAACCGCGGTGCGGGTGCGGGGACGGCAAGAGCCCGAACACGCGCCTCACACCACAGGGGCGGCCGAGTCCAGCCACACAATGGCGCGCGCGCGCGCCAGGCTTTCGCTATATGGGCGGCCGGTGGGGCGGGGCCTGGAGCGTGATGTCAGCGCGCAGCGGCACGTCCGTCCCGCGTCGTCCCTGGGCTAGATGGTGACTGGCGAGTCCGTTGCCCGCGACGTTTCGGTGTAGTGCGGTCTTGCTAGCTTCTAGGATTTTTCTCTAGCCCTCCCCACCGTCTTTGAAAACACAATGTCTCTAATCCAGCCGCAGAACTGCTTTCTAATTTGTACCTTTTATAAAACTGTGCGCGATCTCTTCGGGGTTGAAGCTCGGGAGGCGGGCTGAGCGAATCCCCGTTTTTCATTGGTTCTCGAGGTTATCATAATAGGTCGCCGCGGTCTCTGCTTGGTGGCTTAAAACGAGGCTGCGGATTTCTCCCAGCGATTGGTTGATGCTCGTTTTGATGGGGACCGCGGTCTCGGACCCAGTCGCTTGTCTTGTTTCGCAGAATCTGAGGATCGCGCGCCGAGGTCTTGCTGACCGGGCGGAGGTCGCGTTGCGAGCGCGCAGACCCGCCGACATCAGCCTCTCCGGGTCTCACTCGCAGCCTTCGCCTCCCCGGACGTTCCCCTCTCCCTCCATGGGTCTTTCTTGGAGCCCTGGCAGCTTGACTCACTTGTGGATTGGGCTATCCGTGGCAATCCTACGCTCACTGTAGGTGCTCAAAAGGGAGCGTGGACGAGACCCGGCAGCCCTCCCACAGCGACGAACGATTTTTTTTCTCCCGTGTATGGAAAGTCCTTTGTCCCAATACTATCATTTCCTCCACTGACTTGAAAGTGCCTTATTTTGTGAGTTTATCAATGGAGATGCTATTTAAAGCTGTAGAACCAGATTGAAAACCTCAAAGGAGTAAGTTTAAGTGGAGAGCGGAAGACCCAGGCCAACGCCTGGGGTACTCTGAAATTTAAGCGCAGGAAAGGAGACTGGGAGGAGTGACTAGCGAGGTAGGGAGAAGACCAGGAGAGTAGGTGTCACCGCCGAAGCTAAAAAAAAAAAAAAAAAAAAAAAGGGATATCACTGAGATAACACCAGCTCTTTAGATATTTATGTATTCCTGCTCTGTTTTGAGTGGTGCAACCTCAATATCCTTAAGCTTCGGGTTGAAAAAGGGGGGTTTTGTCCTCCTGGAGCTATTTGGAAGTCTAGAGGGAAACGTTGTTTGTCACGACTGGGGGAGGTAGAGGCCGTGCTTAAAGTTAGATAAATAAAAAATACGAGTCTGTAATCCCCACACCTTGGGAAGCTGAGGCAAGAGGATCTCTTGAGCCCAGGTGTTCGAGGCTGCAGTGAGCTATGATCATGCCACTGCACTCCAGCCTGGGTGACAAAGCAAGACTCCAACCTGCCTGAAGGAAAGAACAAAGCTTCCGCAGCGTGGAAGGGGACCCGAGCGGGTTGCCACTGCTGGCTGGACCGCCAGTTTTTAGTCCCTTATTTGGCCCTGCCTACATCCTGCTGATTGGTCCATTTTACAGAATGTTGATTGGTCCGTTTTTACAGAGTGCTGATTGGTGTGTTTACAAACCTTTAGCTAGACAGAGAGCACTGATTGGTGTGTTTTCAATCCTTTAGCTAGACGGGAAAGTTCTCCAAGTCCCCACCCAACCCAGAAGCCCAGCCGGCTTCACCTCTTCACCTCGGTAGGCAGAATAAGGGTTCCCCCTAAAGATGTCTATGTCCTAATCCTAATCCTAATCCCTGAAACCTGTGAAGATGTTACCTTGTATGTCAAAAGGGACTTTGCAGATCTGATTAAGTTGAGCATCTTGAGATGCAGAGATGCCCCGGGATTGTCCAGGTGGGCCCCATGTGATCATAAGGGTGATTACAAGAGGGGGACAGGAGAGCCACAGTCAGAGAAGCAGATGTGACAAAGGAGGCTGGGATTGGGGTCAGAGTGATTGGCTGTAAGAAAGTCACAACCGAAGTTAATGGCTTTGAAGATGGAGGAAGGAACCATAAGCCAAAGGGTGCCAGTAGCCTCTGGAAGCTGGAAGACACGAGGGAACAGATTCGCCCCAGAGCCTCCTGAAAGAACGCAGCCCAGGCCAGGCTCTGTGGCTCACACCTGTGCCATCTCGGCTCACTGCAACCTCCGCCTCCTGGGTTCAAGTGATTCTCCTGCCTCAGCCTCCCGAGTAGCTGGGATTACAGGCATGCACCACCACGCCCAGCTAATTTTGTATTTTTAGTAGAGACGGGGTTTCACCATGTTAGGCTGGTCTCGTTTCGAACTCCCAACCTGAGGTGATCCACCCGTCTCTGCCTCCCAAAGTGCTGGGATTATAGGCGTGAGCCATTGTGCCAAGCCCAACACCAGCTCTTTGGATATTTTTGTATTCCTGCTCTGTTTTGAGTGGTGCAACCTCAATATCCTTCCGCTTCGGGTTGAAAAGGGGGGGCGGGGTTTGCCCTCCTGGAGCTATTTGGCAGTCTGGAGGGAAACGTTGTTTGTCACGACTGGGGGAGATAGAGACCGTGCTTAAAGTCAGATAAAAAATATGATTCTGTAATCCCTGCACCTTGGGAAGCTGAGGCAGGAAGATCTCTTGAGCCCAGGAGTTCGAGGCTGCAGTAAGCTATGATCATGCCACTGCACTGCAGCCTGGATGACAAAGCAAGACACTGACTCAATGAAATAAAGAAAAGCAAGGAGCAAGGCGTAGTAGCTCACGCCTGTAATCCCAGCACTTTGGGAGGCCCAGGTGAGAGGATTGCTTGAGCCCAGGAGTTCGATATCAACCTGGGCAACATGGCAAGATCCCATCTCTACAAAAAACTTTTTTTTTAAAAAATTAGCTGGGCATGGTGGCACATGCCTATAGTCACAGCTATTGGGAAGGCTCTCAACAGGGGGCAGTGGTTCTCAACAGGGGGTAGTTCTGTCCCCCCTGCGGACATCTGTCAATATCTGAAGACTTTCTGGTTGTCACAGCTGGAGGAGGGAAGGAGCTGCTCGTATCTCATGGGTAGAGGCCAGGGATGCCACGAAACATCCTGCAAGGCACAGGACAGCCCCACCACGAAGGATTATCTGGTCCCCAATGTCAATAGCTGAGGTTGAGAAGTGCTATTCCAAATGAATCCTGTACAGAAGTTTTTTTCTTTTCTTTTTTAAATAGAGGCAGGGTCTCCCTATGTTACCCAGGCTGATCTTGATCTCCTGGGCTCAAGGAGTTCAAGCCTCATCCTCCCAAAGTGCTGGGATTACAGGCATGAGCCACCATGCCCAGCCTATGGAAGTTTTTAAAACGAAGTTTGGACTAGCTTGGCAACATGCAATCCAATCTCCCAGTTGGAAGAGCCTCAGAGGATCTTTCAGTCATCTGATTCATGATTCTTTCTAACTCTGTCACTGACAGTTTCCAATTCTGGATTCTGTTCCTGGAGCAACTACTGCTATATTCACTCCACTCCATACAAATACACCTGAGTTGCTACGAGAGGGGATTTGCCGGGCACCGTGGCTCACACCTGTAATCCCATCACCTTGAGAGGCAGAGATGGGATCACTTGATCCCAGGAGCACAAGACCAGCCTGAACAACATAGCAAGACTCCATCTCTTAAAAAAAAAAAAGGCCAGTACTGGCGGCGTATACTTGTAGTCCCAGCTACTCCAGGGACTGAGGTGGGAGGATCACTTGAGCCCTGGAGGTCAAGGCTGCAGTGAGGTATGATGGCTCCACTTCACTCCAGCCTGGGTGACAGAGCAAGACTCTTGTCTAAAAAAGAAAGGAGAGAAAGGAAAGAAAGAAATAAGAAAAGATATGAGCTCCCATGCTGCACATCTACCATTTCTCCTTTGAGTTGTTCTCCCAACACATCAGCAGAGTTGGGTCCTCAGGAAGACTCCACAGAATGGTGACAATCCAGCACCTCTCTCAATTATGATATTTGAAACTGTTTTCTCTTCCGCAGCAGTGCTCTTGGGTTTTTTGTTAGGGGTAGCCACTGGGCTTTGGGAAAGAGAAGTGAGAGGAAGAGTGGATGATATCAGCTGCATCTTTCTCTTTGACAAACGAATTCCCTATCCTTCAATAAATACTATCCCACTAACTCCCCAAAGCAATGTCCAGTCCCACCAATACCGTAAGAGTGTCATTTCCTGCTTCAACTCTTGCAAATAATTTTAATAAATTTTTTAAAAATGAGAGTTTGATGAGTAACAAATGTTATCATTGTCAAATTCTCCTTTCCCTAACTACATTCCATGGACTTAAGCCTCTCTCTATACATATTTATGTATACATGCACATATAAATCTTGCTGCTGCCCACTCTTTGGGTCCGCACTACCTTTAAGAGCTGTAACACTCACTGCAGAAGGTCTGCAGCTTAAGACCACGAACCCACTGGAAGGAAGGAACTCGGGACACATCTGAACATCTGAAGGAGAAACTCCGGACACACCATCTTTAAGAACTGTAACACTCACTGCGAGGGTCCGCGGCTTCATTCTTGAAGTCAGCAAGACCAAGAACCCACCGGAAGGAACCAATTCCACACACACTACCACAGGGACTCTGAAATTTTGTTAAATTTAGGAATGGAAGCTGGGTGCAGGGACTTGTGCTTGTAATCCTAGCGCTTTGGGAGGATGAGGTGGGAGGATCTCTGGAGGCCAGGAGTTCAAGACCAGCCTGGGCAATATAGCAAGTCTACAAAAAATGAAAAAAGGCCAGGCACAGTGGCTAACGCCTGTAATCCCAACACTTTGGGAGGACGAGGTGGGCAGATCACTTGAGGTCAGGAGTTCGAGACCAGCCTGGCCAAAATGGTGAAACCCTGTCTCCACTAAAAACACAAAAATTAGCCGTGTGTGGTGGTGCAGGCCTGTAATCCCAGCTGCTCGGGAGACTGAGAATCGCTTAAACCCGGGAGGTGGAGGTCGCAGTGAGCAGAGATTGCACTACTGCACTCCAGCCTGGGCGACAGAACGAGACTACGTGTCAAAAAAAGAAAGAAAAATGTTAGTAGGCATGGCGGCACGCACCTGTAGTCCTAGCTACTTGGGAGGCAAAGGCAGGAGGATCACTTGAGCCCAGGTGTTTCAGGCTGCAGTGAGTCGTGATTGTGTGACTTCTCTCCAGCCTGGGCCACAGAGTGAAGACCTGTCCCCCTCCCTTCCAAAAATTTAGGAATGGCAACTGGGAAGTGTCTAAAAAGGTAAGGAAAAAACCCGAAAAGAGTGTGGTGTCACAGAAGCTAGGAGTGGAAAGGGTTTCAGGGAGGTAGTGGTTAATTGACAAACAGCAAGTTCATAAACCTTTGACCCAGTAACCTTAATCCTAGAAATCTATTTGACAAGGGGCCAGTTTGTAAAATCATAGGTCCAGGGATGCTTATTCAAGCCATGGAATACTCTTCCACAATGAAAATAAGTAAGATTATTCTCATTTCAAATAAATATTTATCGAATGCCTACTGTTCTCAGCATTGGGAAAACCATAGTAACGTCATGTGTCAGCTTTGCAAACTAGGGCCCCAGTCAAATCTTGGCCTGCCACTTGTTTTGTAAATAAGGTTCTGTGGGAACACAGTATCACCCATTCATTTACACATTGTCTATGGCTCCTCTCAAGCTACAACAGCAGTCTTGATTTGTTATTATATTGAGTGGTTGCAACAGAGACTATCCAGCCTGCAAAGCCTGAACTATTTCCTCGCTGGCTCTTCACAGAAGAGGTTTGCTTACCTCAATCTGTGTGACTGACCACTAATGATGCTTCTGAGTGTTGTTAAGAAGGCAAGTTTTAATATATGCATGATCCCATTGTTTTTGTAAATAACACCACCTCAAGCCCCGCCCCACCCCGCTTTTTTTTTTTTTTTGAGTCAGAGTCTCACTTGGTCATCCAGGCTGCAGTGCAGTGGTGCCATCTTGGCTTACTGCAATCTCCACCTCCCGGGCTCAGGAAATTTTCCCACCTCAGCCTCCTGAGTAGCTGGGACTACTGGCATGCGCCACCACGTCCAGCTAATTTTTTTTAGAGATGGGGTTTTGCCATGTTGCCCAGGCTAGTCTCGAACTCCTAGACTCAACTGATCTGCCCACCTCGGCCTTTCAAAGTGCTGGGATTACAGGCATGAGCCACCTTGCCTGGCCTAAAACCCCCAGCTCTTGATACGACTACACATGTGTGTATTGGATGGGTTTGCGGTTGCTTTTGAACATCAATGGGGGTAGGTCCTATACAGTCACATCCCTCCAACTCTCCCTGCATTTCTTACCCTTCCTTCTCCCACCAGCTCTTGAATGTGCCAAACATACACTGACCTCAGGGCCTTGTCACGGGACAGCTCCCTGCATCTGGAACTATTTTTCTGTGATTTGCTCCCCTCATTTTCTTTTGGTTTCTGCTCAACGTTATTGCTGTGGCTTGAACATGTCCCTCAACAATTTCTGTGTTGGAGACTTTATCCCCAGTGCATGATATTGGGAGGTGGGGCCTAATAAGAGGCGATTGAATCATGAATGGGGGTGGAGCCTTCATGAATTAATGTCGTTATTACGGAAGGAGTGGGTTGGTTATTGAGAGGGTGGATTGTTATAAAGCGAGTCTGGCCCCGGTGCCTCTCTGTCTTGTGTAAGAAATAAATTTCTTTTCTGGCTGGTCCAAGTGCAATGATGTTTGCAACTAATTGATCACAATCAGTTACAGATTTCTTTGTTCCTTCTCCACTTCCACTGCGTCACTTGACTAGCCTTAAAGAGGGAGAGAAATAAATTTTTCATTATAAATTACCCAGTTTGTGGTATTCTAATTTCATTATAAATTACCCAGTTTGTGGTATATCAGCAGGAAACAGACTGTTATCAGAAGCGCCTCCTCAACCACCTATTTAAAAATAGAGTTTTTCCCCTGCACTCTGTGTCTCTTCTTCCCCTGTTCCACTTTTTTTCGTAGAAATTTTCATCACCCGAGATATGTATTTCTGCCTCTCCCATCCCCAACGAGAATGTCAGTGTCAGTGGAGCAGGGATGCTGTCTGTCTTTTTACACCTTCATGTCCAGTCCTTAGAAAAGTCCAAAAATGGGCCGGGCACAGTGGCTCAAGCCTGTAATTCCAGCTCTTTGCGAGGCTGAGGCGGGCGGATCACCTGAGGTCAGGAGTTCGAGACCAGCCTGGCCAACATGGTGAAACCCCCGTCTCTAGTAAAAATACAAAAATTAGCTGGGTGTAGTGGTGCATGCCTGCAATCCCAGCTACTCAGGAGGCTGAGGGAAGAGAATCACTTGAACTGGGGAGGCACGGGTTGCAGTGCAATGAGCCAAGATCACAGCACTGCACTCCAACCTGGGCGATAGAGTGAGCAAGACTTCATCTCAAAAAAAAAAAAAGAAAAAAGAAAAAAAAAGAAAAAAGAAAAGTCCACATACAGCTAGACACAATAGCACATACCTGTAGTCCCAGCTACCTGGGAGGCTGAGGCAGAAAGGTGCTTGAAACCAGGGTTTCAAGGCTGCAGTGAGCTAATGCACTCCAGCCTGGGTGACAGAGTGAGACCCTATCTCTAAAAACAAAACAAAACAAAAACAAAACTGCAGCACACATAGTAAGTGCTAATTGAGAGCAGCGCCACTCTGGGACATTGTGCAGAGCACGTGAAGCGAGACTCTCCATTCAGCAGATATTAGTGTGCTGATGGGTTCACCAGGATGTGCTGGTGGGATGGAATCTTCCACCTTCTGGTTAGTGCTGCCCAGACACACCACCTTCAGAGGGGAGCAAGGATGTCCTCACCAGATCCCACATTTCCTCCGCCAAGACTTATCCAAACAGAAAATTCCAGTGTGGCTCTGGAGCCACTGGAACTCTCAGATTGTTGTTGGCAGTGTAAATTGGCACAATCACTTTGGAAAGCTGCATGGTGGTGTCCATTAAAGCTGAAAGCTGGTAGTGGCTGTCACCGTAACCTAGGGAGGGGAGGGCTAGGAAGGGGTATGAGGGGCTGCTGGAATTCTGATCACATTTTGTTTCTTGAGCTGGGTACGGGGGTGCTCTGTTTATGAAGAGGCGCTGAGCTGTGTGCTGATGATTTGTGCATGCTACTGTATGCATGTTGTACTTCACCGGAAAATTAAAACAAAAAAGATGATAAATCTCTAAAGAAAATTACAATTACACACTTCACCTAGAGCCCTCTGGGTCATGCTGGTAACTAAAGCTCTACTGATAACTTTATTTATTTGTTTTTTCTGAGATGGAGTCTCGCTGTGCCACCAGGCTGGAGTGCAGTGACACGATCTCAGCTCACTGCAACCTCCACCTCCTGGGTTCAAGCAATTCTCCTGTTTCACTGCAACCTCCACTTCCTGGGTTCAAGTGATGCTCCTGTCTCACTGCAACCTCTGCCTCCTGGGTTCAAGCAATTCTCCTGTCTCAGCCTCCTGAGTAGCTAGGATTACAGGCGTGTGCCATCACTCCTGGCTAATTTTTGTATTTTTAGTAGAGTTGGGGTTTTACCATGTTGGCCAGGCTGGTCTCAAACTTCTGACCTTGTGATTTGCCCACCTCGGCCTCCCGAAGTGCTGGGATTACACCACGCTCGGTTGAGAACTTGATTTACAGTCTTTGTCCAGAAATGTTAATTAATCTGAATCAATTAGTTGTTTATGGTTTGGTTGAGGGGGCAGGGGGCTTGTTTTCCAATGGGTTTTCTGTTGGCTAGGACATGATCCATGGTGCTGAAGGTGTGGCTTTGTTGCCACCTGGTGGCTATCAGTGTGATTACGGTGGCAGAAAAATTAACAGCGGCTCATTCCTGCCTGAAAGAAGCTCACAGCTATTGATAGAAGGTTCTTGAAGGTCCCCGAATCCAAGTCTTCTAATTGTCAAGCCTCTTATTCACCTAGAAGTTTTCTGGCCCTCACTTGGCTACACCCCTGTTGGAGAGTTCACTGTTTAACTGGGGGTCCAAGTCCATTGTTGGACATCTTTCACTGTGTGTTATTAATTCTTTATATAAACAATTGCCTTCCTTGAATTGTCTACCCACTGGTCCTGGCTGTGCCCGAGGCTGTGCAAATACATCTGTTTCCCACAAATGGGTCTTTCAGATGTTGGGGTCAGCACTCAGATGCTCTATTCATGTCCTCTCTTCTGGCTAAATGCCCATAGTCTCCCTGATATGGTTAGGCTCTGTGTCTCCACCCAAATCTCATCTCAAATTGTAATCCCCCCGTGGAGGGAGGCACCTGGTGGGAGACAATTGGGTCACGGGGGTGGTTTCCCCCATGCTGTTCTCGTGATAGTGAGGGAGTTCTCATGAGATCTAATGGTTTATAAGTGGCAGTTTCTCTTTTGTGCTCTCTCTCTCTCTCTATCTCTCTCTATCTCTATCTATCTCTCTCTCTCGATCTCTCTCTCCCTCCCTCCCTCTCTCCCTCCCTCCCTCTCTCCCTCCCTCCCTCCCTCTCTCCCTCCCTCCCTCTCTCCCTCCCTCCCTCCCTCTCTCCCTCCCTCCCTCTCTCCCTCTCCCTTCCTCTCTCTCCCTCTCTCCCTTCCTTCCTCTCTCCCTCTCTCTCCCTCCCTGTCTCTCCCTCTCCCTCTCCCTCTCCCTGCTTTCTCCCCTCTCTCTCTCTTCTCTCTCTCTCCTGCTGCCAGGTAAGACGTGCCTGCTTCCCCTTCACCTTCTGCCATGATTGTAAGTTTCCTGAGGCCTCCCCTGCCATGCAGAACCACGAGTCAATTAAAACTCTTTTCTTTATGAATTACTCAGTCTCAGTATTATCTTTATAGCAGTGTGAGAATGGACTAACACATCCCCAGATATCCCTCCTGTGATCTGGTTTCAAGTCTGTTCATCCTTCTGGCTGCTCACTGCTGACGTGCTCAGTTTCATGTGTGGCCCTCAGAGCTGACCTTGGCCTTCCTGGACTTGTCTGGATATGACTGTTGGTGCCACAGTTTGTTGTTCTCTACGCCAGGTAAGAGCTGCGGCCTTTGGTGGTGGCTGGAGCCCAATTCCTCACTCAGTCCTACTTCTCCTGCTGCTTGGAGCCAGATTGGAATCAAGAAGCTCCTGGAAAAAGCTGGGAAGGGTGATGAGTGCCCATAGTCCCAGCTGCTTGGGAGGCTGGAGCAGGAGGCTTACTTGAGTCTAGGAGTTTGAATCCAAACTGGACAACATAGCAAGACCCCATCTCTTTTTGTTTTTTGTTTTTTTGAGACAGAGTCTCACTCTGTCGCCCAGGCTGGAGTGCAGCGGTTGGATCTCGGCTCACTGCAACCTCCGTCTCCTGGGTTCAAGTGATTCTCCTGCCTCAGCCTCCTGAGTAGCTGGGACTACAGGTATGCGCCATCATGCCCAACTAATTTTTGTATTTTTAGTAGAGACAGGGATTTCACCATGTTGGCCAGGCTGGTCTTGAACTCCTGACCTCAAGTGATGTGCCCACCTTGGCCTCCAAAAGTGCTGGGATTACAGGTGTGAGCCATTGTACCTAGACAAGACCCCATCTCTTAAAAAAAAAAAAAAAAAAAGAAGCTTTTGAAATTGTCCATTGTGGCAAATGTGGAAGCAGGCCAGTCAGCAGAATGGAAATCCAGTAGGTACTGGTGGGTAGACTCAGGATCATTGCCCGGGTTTCCGGGGCAGTGGTGAAATAGAAATGCTGATGAGAATGCCAGGTGTGGTGGCTCACACCTGTATTCCCAGCACTTTTGGGAGGCTGAGGTGGGCGGATCACCTGAGGTAAGGAGTTCGAGACCAGCCTGGCCAACTTGGTGAAACCCCGTCTCTACTAAAAATACAAAAATTAGCCAGGCATGGTGGCAGGCACCTGTAATCCCAGCTCCTTAGGAGGCTGAGGCAGGAGAATGGCTTGAACCCAAGAGATAGAGGTAGCAGGGAGCTGAGACTGCACCATTGTACTCCAGCCTGGGCACAAGAGTGAAACTCTGTCTCAAAAAAAAAAAAAAAAGTTGATGAGGAAAATCCTAGTTGGCCACATGTCAGGTGAAGAGCATGAGGCCATGGGGAAGATCAGAGACAGTTACAGCCCACAGCATACTTCAGTTAGCAGCATTGTCTTCAAGCCTGTCAGAATCCTGCAGGAAGCAGCACTGAGGTCCCCTCTCAGATCTTTCCTGAAGCTGGTGCATGCAGGTTTCCGGCCTGGCCAGGCTGTGGCTTGCAGACCTTTTACTCATCATTAGTTCCACATGCTGTCATCTGGACAGATATAATGGAAGCATGTTCCTGATTGCCTCGGGGGTGCATGTGCTTTTCACTGCAGCCCTTATTCTGGTAGCAAAAGCTGCCTCACATGGTGGCCCTCTAATGTCACAGGCAGGAAAAGCTGAGCGGGTCTGCCACATGGCAGAGGTACAGAATGTACCTCCTTGGAGAGTGAGGGGAAATGAGTTGTTTTCAGGCACCCCAACTAGCCCGGGCACAGTGCTCATCTCAGGGGACATAACCAGATGAGACAGGCCCAGGTGGGCCATCCAAAAATCGCAGTCCCAAGGCAGTGGTCTCAGGCATTGGCGAGCACCACTGAAACACGGATATGTGGGTCCCATCATCAGCATCAGGCTCCCTGGGTGCATGCAGGGCCTGGGGCCCTGCGTGTTAAAATCCTCCTGCAGAGCCGAGAGGCAGATGCTCAGGGGACCACACTAGGAAAGGTGGAACTGAAGGGACAGCAAGCAGATAAGTGGCTGCCCCAGCTGGCGACTGGAGGAGGGAATTGACTGTCGAGAGGCAGGAAGGAGTGAGGGAAATGTTCCAGATCATGATTATTGCGATGTCTACACAAACGTATATATTTGTCAAAACTCATTGAACTGTCTACTTAAAATAGGTGCACTTTACCATATGTAAATTATGTATCAATAAAGATGATAAAAAACAAAGCTGGCCAGGCGCAGTGGCTCACGCCTGTAATTCCAGCACTTTGGGAAGCCGAGGTGGGTGCATCACCTGAGGTCAGGAGTTTGAGACCAGCTTGGCCAACACAGTGAAACCCCGTCTCTACTAAAAAATACAAAAATTAGCCAGGCATGGTGGCAGGCACCTGTAGTCCCAGCTACTCGGGAGACTGAGGCACGAGAATCGCTTGAACCCGGGAGGTAGAGGTTGCAGCCAGCCACGATCGTGCCACTGCATTCCAGCCTGGGTGACAAGAGCAAAACTCCCTCTCAAAAAAAAAAAAAAAAAAAGCTAAGAAGGTCATCCCATGTTTTTGTCCTCAGAGAGCCTTGGTTAAGCCTCTTTCATCCCACCCTAAGGCCCGGTGCAGTGGCTCATGCCTGTAATCCCAGCACTTTGGGAGGCTGAGGTGGGCGGATCACTTGAGGGTCAGGAGTTTGAGACCAGCCTGGCTAAACATGGTAAAACCCCGTCTCTGCTAAGAATACAAAAGGGCATGGTGGTGCGTGCCTGTAATTCCAACTACTCCAGAGGCTGAGGCAGGAGAATCGCTTGAACCCGGGAGGTGGAGGCTGCAGTGAGCCAAGATCACACCACGGCACTCCAGCCTGGGCAACAGAGGGAGACTCCATTCCCCACCCCCCACCTAAAAAATTCACCCCACCCTAGGCAGATGCCAGAACTTCCTTCACATCTGAACAAAACCGAAAACTGGGACCTCCAGGCCTGTAGGGGACGCTGTCTCCCGCAGTGCCACAGTGTCTCTCAACGGATCATTGAGAGAACCCACTTTGTGCCACAGGCACCCTATGGGGAAGAGGGTTGGGAGTACAGCCGTGTGTCCCTTAAAGACGGGGATATGTTCTGAGAAAAGTTGTATTAGGTGATTTCAACCCTGTGTGAACATCATAGAGTCCACTATACATCCCTAGATGGGATAGCCTCCCACACACTAGGGCTGGTGCAGCCTGCCACCCCTAGGCTACAAACTGCAGCATGCAACTGACCCCATAACATAGACGATGGTAACACAGTGGGAAGTGTCTGTGTATGGATGACGCCAGACTGGCAAGCCCCAGAATTGGGGCTTAGCTTGGGAGAGTTCTTGTCTTTGTCCAGGAAAGAATTCAAGGGTGAGCCGGTGATGTTAGCAACTTTTATTGAAGCAGCGTACGTCAGCCACAGAGGTACTGCCACAGGCAGTGTGACAGAATAGCAGCTCAGGGCCAGGGGCAGTTCTGCACTCATATTGATATTCACTTTTTTTTTTTTTTTTTGAGATCGAGTCTTGCTGTGTCACCCAGGCTGGAGTGCATTGGCGCGATCTCGACTCGTTGCAACTTCTGCCTCCAGGGTTCAAGCGATTCTCCCACCTCAGCTTCTGTAGTAGCTGGGATTACAGGCGCCTGCTACCATACCCGGCTGATTTTTGTATTTTTAGTAGAGACGGGGTTTCACCATATTGGCCAGACTGGTCTCAAACTCCTGATCTCAGGTGATCCTCCTGCCTCAGCCTTTCGAAGTGCTGGGATTACAGGCATGAGCCACTGCAGCCGGTCAAGATCCACTTTTAATTACATGCAAATTAAGGGGTGGATTATGAAGAAATTTCTAGAAAAATAGCAGTAACTTCTGCGTAGACGGGTCATTGCCATGGGAAGGGGTGAGAACGTCCGGGTGTTGCCATGGCAACAGTAAACTGACAGGGCACTGGTGGGTGTGTCTTACAGAGCATCCTTTTACCTCTTTCCTGTTTCAGCTAGTCTTCAATCTGGTCTGGTGTGCAAGCTCCACCTCGAGTCCAGTCCTGCCTCCAACCTCATCTAAACATAGAAAAGTATGTTGAAAATACGGTTATAATCTTATGGGACGATCTTTGTGTGAGTGGCTCCTCCTTGACCCACTGCGTTGTGTGGCTCATTGTAATGACTGTAGCTGGAGTTATACTGCCTGAGTCTAGTTCCCTCATCTGCTAGCTTTATGACCCTGGACAAACTTCATAACTTTCTCGTGCCTCAGTTCCTTGACTGTAAAATGAAGAAAGCAATAGTGCCTATCTCAAAGAGTTGTGCAAAAATTTTAAAAATTTATTTCATTGTAAAACACTTGGAACAGCAGCTAGCATACAGTAGGCATGAAGTGAGCGTTCGCGATTATTATTTAATAAATGCAACTTTCATCCATGCTGTTTTTCCCTCCTAATTTTGCCATGGAGATCATTTTTATGGAGAGCTCTTAGTTCTCCATCTTTTATGACAGGCTGATTCTGGTCCCATTACAGCCATCTTCTTGGATAGAGGATGGCTACATGGGAGGTGGGAGCTGGACCTGGAGCAGAAAGAGCTGGAAGGTTGGAGTGTAGCCTCGGTTTGGGACAGTTTCACTCTGTGATGAAGACCAGGACGCTTTCTTTTTATTTTATTTAGTTATTTGAGATGGGGTTTTGCTCTGTCGCCCAGGCTGGAGTTAAGTGGCATGATCATGGCTCACTACAGCCTCCATCTCCTGGGCTCAAGCGATCCTCCCACCTCAGCCTCCCGAGTAGCTGGGACCATAGGCATGAGCCACGACATCTGGCTAAGTTTTTGATTTTTTTTTTTTTTTTTGAGATGGAGTCTGGCTCTGTTGCCCAGGCTAGAGTGCAGTGGCACGATCTCGGCTCACTACAAGCTCGCCTCCCGGGTTCATGCCATTCTCCTGCCTCAGCCTCCCAAGTAGCTGGGACTACAGGTGCCCGCCACCATGCCTGGCTAACTTTTTGTATTTTTAGTAGAGACGGGGTTTCACCGTGTTAGCCAGGATGGTCTCGATCTCCTGACCTCATGATCCACCCACCTCGGCCTCCCAAGGTGCTGGGATTACAGGCATGAGCCACCGTGCCTGGCTGATTTTTTTTGTAGAGACAGGGTTTTGCCATGTTGCCCAGGCTGCTCTCGAACTCCTGGACTCAAGTAATCCGCCTGCCTTGGCCTCCCAAAGTGCTGGGATTATATACGTGAGCCACCATGCCTGATGCAGGACCTTTTCTTGAGCCCTCTGGCCCTTGCTAATGCCTAGCAGGCTGGGGTTCTGCTTGCTTTACCTCTGTGAGCCCCTCAGCCGACACCTCAGAAAAATGGGGATGAAGCTGGCTCCCGGGGCAGTGTCAGGATCAGGTGAGAGGGCATGAAGAACTCTTGGTGCTTGTCTCTGAATTTTTCCAGAAGCAGCCTCTGAGACAAGATTCTCAGTATTATTTTACAAGTAGTTGATTTGGGAGGTGATCCCAGCAAGCACCAGTAGGAGAAGATGTGAGACAGGGAATGGGAGGAAGTCAGCCAATGTGTTTGTGGGATGAGGACAGCCCAGAGCAACTGGAGCTTCATGCCTCTGTGAACTCTGGGAGACGGGGCAGAACACACCTCGGACAGAGGGGAGAGGATGGCCTCCCAGCCAAGCAGGGAGAAAGCTGGGTGTTCATACGTTAACTGCCCAGCTGCCCTTGGTTGAAGCTTGCTTCCAGGAGTGTTCACTCTGGCATTTCCTGCTTGCTTGATTGGCTGAATCTTCTTCCACAGCCAGAAATTAAGAAGCCCCAGGGCTGGGAGGTAGGAGTTGCGAGCAAGCCTTTGGCTTGTGAAGGTGAGTGCTGGGAGGACAACAGTGCAAATTGTGTATGCTAAAGGCAGTCAGCTCCTGATAAGAACTAGTTAATGTAGTCAGGAGCAGTGGCTCATGGCTGTAATCCCAGCACTTTGGGAGGCCAAGGTGGGCGGATCACCTGAGGTCAGGAGTTTGAGACCAGCCTGACCAACATAGCGAAACCCCATCTCTACTAAAAATACAAAAATTAGCTGGGTGTGGTGGCACATGCCTGTAATTCTAGCTACTTGGGAGGCTGAAGTAGGAGAATCGCTTGAACCTGGGAGGTGGCGTTTGCAGTGAGCCGAGATTGCACCACTGCACTCCAGCCTGGGAGACAGAGTGAGACTCCATCTCAAAAAAAAAAAAAAAAAAAAAAAAAGAACTAGGTAATATAGTTGGGCGTGGTGGCTCAGGGCTGCTAATCCCAGCACTTTGGGAGGCCAAGGCGGGAGAATTGCTTGAGCCCAGGAGTTTGAGACCAGCTTGCGCTATACAGCACAACCTCATCTCTACCAAAAACAAACAAACGAACAAACAAAAAAAAAATAGCTGGGCATGGTGGCGGGCACCTGTAGTCCCAGCTATGTGGGAGTATCGCTTGATCCCAGGAGTTCAAGCCTGCAGTGAGCTAGGATCGTGGTATTGCACTCCGGCCTGGGCAAGAGAGCAAGAACCTGTCTCTTAAAAAAAAAAAAAAAAGTGTAGATTTAAGCATCTTACCTGTCTCACAGGAGTAGAGAAAAAGACCAAGTTTAAGGAGCTTCTCATAAACGGGCCACTTTTGCCATGTGGTGCACTCCAGCCAACTTTCAGCTCCTCCTTCAGATGTGAACCTGCCCTCCCACAAAGACTGAGTAACAGAAGATCATGACACCAGCCTCAGATTTTGGATGAACTCATGAATGCCTGTTCACCACAGTGAAAGGTCTTCTGGTGCCTGTAGGAGAAGGGCACCCGTGCAGGACTGGGGACCTGACCAGGTTCAGGTCTCTCTAAGACAACATGGCAGATGTAGGTGTTTGCGGAGTGGGGACTATGGGGATAGTCCAGTGGCCCACTGCTAATGGAGGTTGTGAGCTCTTTCTTTCTTTTTTTTTTTTTTTTGAGACAGACTCTCGCTTTCTCACCCAGGCTGGAGTGCAGTGGTGTCATCTTGGCTCACTGCAACCTCTGCCTCCCGGGTTCAAGCGATTCTCCTGCCTCAGCCTCCCAAGTAGCTGGAACTACAGGCGCTTGCCCACCAAACCCGGCTAATTTTTTGTATTTTTAGTACAGATGGGATTTCACCGTATTAGCCAGGATGGTCTTGATCTCCTAAAATCATGATCTGCCCACCTTGGCCTCCCAAGGTGCTGGGATTACAGGCGTGAGCTACTGCGCTGGCCGGTTGTGAGCTCTTTCAAGAGTGAATGCTAATGTTTCAAAACATTGGCCATCAACATTTTTTATGTGGCTTGGAGCCGTGGTGGGCTTTGGAATTATCCAACTTTGTACCTTTCCAGCAATGGGACAAGCCATCTCCTGCCTCTGAGCCTCATTTCTCATCTGTAGCATGGACATCGTAGTAGGACACCTTCCAGAGTCGAGTTGAGAAGTAAGTGTGGTGGTGCATCGTCAGTGCCTGGCACGGTGTGGACCAGGAGTTGGCAAACTTTTCCTGTAAAGGGCCAGGCAGCCAATATTTCAGCTTTGTGGGCCACATGGTCTCTGCTACACCTACTCAAATTTGTAGCATTAAAGCTGCTATAGGCAATATATACATCTTATAAAAATAGATGCTGAGTGGGCGTGGTGGCTCACGCCTGTGACCCCAGCACTTTGGGAGGCTGAGGGGGGCAGATCACATGAGGTCAGGAGTTCGAGACTAGCCTGGCCAAAATGGTGAAACTCCGTCTCTACTAAAAATACAAAAATTAGCCAGGCGTGGTGGCAGGCATCTGTAGTCCCAGCTACCCAGGAGGCTGAGGCAGGAGAATCACTTGAACTGGGAGGGGGAGGTTGCAGTGAGCCAAGATCATGCCACTGCAGCCTGAGCAACAGATCGAGACTGTCTAAAACAAAAAACAAAAAACAACAAGCAAATGCTGACCCTCTGTATAGGGAATGGGCAGAAATGGGAAGAACTGGGGAGATTTTATCTCTTCCTCCTGAAGGGAACAAATGGTTCTTACCTATCTTTGTGTCCTCCTTCAGGCCAGCATGGGGCGTGGGACATGTAGGTGCTCAAGAAACGTTTACTGAAGGGAGAAAAACAACCTATAGCATGAAGAAGAGAATGGTGTTTGGAGTCAGACAGACCTGTGTCCAAATCAGTTTATTCTCTATGTGGCCTGGGCTAAGCCCCTCTTTTTCTCTGAGCCTCTTCATCTATAAAATGGGTGTTAAGAGTAACATCTACTGCATAAGTTGTTGTGTGGGTATTAATGGGCAAAAAGTGTGCATGATGAAAAATATTTTTAAAAAAGAAAGCATGAATAAAGGCTATGCCTTCCATGATTTTTAACTCATGGCTCTCAACCCTTAGTTCCTCTGGCTTGAGGGGCATTTATGTCTCCTCCAATCTGTACAACCAGCCTTCTCTGGCCCCTCTTGGACTCTGGGAGGAAGTGAGGGAGGGCATCTCATCTCTGCAAGAGGGAGGAGTGGTTGTCTGTAATAAAGGGTGGGGGAGAGTCAGGCTTCCTGTTCTGAATTCAGGACCAGGCAGGCAGTAACTGCAGACAATCAGTTTTTGCCTCAAGGGCTCAGTGTTGGCTGTAAAGAATTAATGGCCAAGAAAGGTGTCTACCAATTATTTTTCCACTCAAGGTGCAGAGATTACAGAAACACAGCCAAGCCCATTTCAGATCCAGTCCTCCTAGCGCTGGCTGGCAATTACCACCCTACAGACCTCCGTCCCAGGGGAATGCTGGGAGTCAGGGGTCTCTCCTTAGAGGGTATGCTCAGACTTCCAAGTGTGTGCAGAACATTCTATGTTTCCACAGAGAAGAGGGGGAAAAAGGAAGGACGCATAGGTCTCTTGGTTCAGTTGTCCTAAAAGCAGGCCCTGAGACAAGGATTCAAGTGCATGCAGTGGTTTTGGGAAGTCACCCTGGGAAACGCCATTAACAGGGGAGAGAATTGAGATGGGGAAGGGACAGAGCATATGGGTATATTATCCAATCAGTTACACTTTGGACAACTGGAGCTTCATCTCACCTGGACTCTGGGAAATGGTGCAACATATATATCTCAAAATGGTCCCATCTGAGGGGCGAGGGAGCTGGGGTATTTATACACCAACTCCTGTGGATCAGTAGTTGAAGTGTTACTCGTGGAGGGTGTTCAGGTTCTTGGCGTCTTGAACAAAGAATTGGACAAAATGCACAAAGCAAGGAAAGAATGAAGCAACAAAAGCAGAAATTTAAAATGAAAGTACACTCTACAGTGTGGGAGCAGGCCCTGGATACAGAATCTTCTCTGGTCCAAATATCCGCTAGAGGTTTCCCATTGGCCACTTGGTGTTCACCTCATGTAAATGAAGTGGTGGCCCATAATCAGAGGCTGAAGTGAAATCACAAAGTTACACTCCTATGCAAACGTCTTGGTACTTTCATTTCCCATCTGCCCCGCAGAAAAGGTGGGTGTTTGCAAAGGGTGTAGACTCTGGTCCTTTTTTTACTTAGGTATGGAAAGTTATGGTTTTTCTTTCAATTTAGTTCTAGGGAGTCAGCCTGAAAGGGCCTTAGGTTCCCTGCCTCCAGACCCCATTCTCCTGCCTCAGAAGGCTGCTGGGTGGGGGTGTGGGGGTGTGTGTGTGGGGGGATGGGGATGGGGGGGCTGTTAATTACCCAGCACTTCCAGTATCTCTCATTTGGTGGCCAAGAGAGTCCTGAGGCAGGAAATGCAGGTGATGGCAGCTGTTGTGCCCTGAAATGGTTAGACCTAGGGAACAAGCCAGGTACCCACAGAATCCACTACAATACAGGTTAAAGGTCCTCTCTGGTCCAGGCACTTCACACCTGAGGTTATTTATTTATTTATTTATTTTGAGAACTGAGTCTTGCTCTGTTGCCCAGGGGCAGGCTGGAGTGCAGTGACGCAATCTCGGCTCACTGCAACCTCCGTCTCCCAGGTTCAAGCAATTCTCCTGCTTCAGCCTCCCAAGTAGCTGGGATTACAGGCACCTGCTACCATGCCCAGCTAATTTTTGTATTTTTGGTAGTGACGGGGTTTTGCCAAGTTGGCCAGGCTGGTCTCGAACTCCTACCCTCAGGTAATCTGCCCGCCTCGGCCTCCCAAAGTGCTGGGATTACAGGCATGAACCACCATGCTCAGCCCTGAGATCTATTTTAATCCCCATGTATATCCAAGACTGAACCTTAGTTAACCTCCTTTCCCCAGGCTTCTTCCTCTGGGCTGGAAATGGGGAGGTGAGTGAAGCTCTCATCCTAGGTGCAAAATGTGGGTGGCACCAGAAAACACAGCCATCAAATAATATTTTGATGCAGTATTAAAAAGGAATAAATGAATGCAAAAAAAACCCATGGTGAGCAAAAGATTAAACATTTTAATCAAGACAGGATCAGAAATAGTGCTGTGCTGAGCCATATTGAAGCCTGAGGCAAAAGGAAAAATCAGTAACCCTGATCTTGTTCTTCATGGATTTTTTTTTGCATTCATTTTGATTTTTTTTAAAAAAATTACCACATTAAAACATTATTTATATTTTTTAATGATTTTTTTTGGAGGCGCAGCCTTATATTTGGTGTCTGAAGTGAGTACCTCACTTGCTCACTCTAGTCCTGACCCTGCTCCCTCCCCCATCTTTCCCATCTTACTGCACAGTGCTCAGTCCACTTAGCTGCTCAAGTCAAAAATCTAGGGTTCCCTTGCCCCCCACCCTTTCCCTCCCCTCTCCCTGCTATACCATTTCTGGACTTTCAGTTCCACCTCTAAGCATCTCTCAAATTTGTCTTTTTTTTTTTTTTTTTTTTTATTCTCCATTGCTACAACCCCTCTGTAAGGACCTCATTCATGGCCTCCTTTGGGCAGACAGGAAGAGCTTCTTGGATTCTCCCTGCAAGCTGTGGTGTGTCCACTCACATCAGTGGCTCCAGCAGACATGATAGTGGCTCTTTGTCTGGCCCTCTGATTTCCACCTCTAAGTTATCCCACATCTGCGTGAGTTCTTGTTCCAATATGAAATCTGATTCCCACAGTGCTTGTAGAGGCTCTGTTTTTGTGACTGCCCCTGATGGATCCTCCAAGGCTACGACCATCTCTCTGCTATCTTGGCTGCTCCTTGGTCACCCAGAGGCACAGTCTCAGAGCTTCAATGAAGAAAAACCCTTTCTGATTTCTCCTTTTCCTCTCACCTTCTGGGATTTCTATTTTCGTTTTTTCGAGACTGAATCTTGCTCTGTTGCTTAGGCTGGAGTGCAGTGGCATGATCTCGGCTCACTGCAGTCTCCACCTCCCTGGTTAAAGCGACCCTCCTGCCTCAGCCTCCTGAGTAGCTGGGACTAAAGGTGTGCACCGCCATGCCTGGCTAATTTTTATATTTTTTGTAGAGATGGGGTTTCACATGTTGGGCAGGCTGGTCTTGAACTCCCAACCTCAAGTGATCCTCCCGCCTCGGCCTCTCAAAGTGCTGGGATTACAGGTGTGAGCCACTGAGCCCAGCCCTGGATTCCTATTTTCTTTCCATCCCATACTGGGGCAAGGGCTGAGGGAGGTCGGGGCACTGAATCCCTGAGCGTTCCAGGCAACGTCTTTCTCTTGGTTGCATTTTCTCTGAATCTCCCTGCCTTCTTGGTTCCACTTCTGGGCTTGGAAGAGATCACCTTCTTCTGAGCTCTTTTACTGAATGCCATCTAATGACTGCTTATAATATATACCAGAGCTCAGACCTCCCAGATTTGCCTTTGCATGGAAAGGGAAGTTTTTGAAATTAAGAACCTCTCCGTATTCCCCACCAGGCTAGGTTTTAAGACTATGGCCTCTGTACAGACTCAAAGCTAAAGGATGGCCTCTTTATTTCAGGTGGGGTCGGCATTCCTCTTGATTTAATGGGGCTGGGGGTGGTGGAAAGAAGAGATTCAGAGCATCATGACTCACAGGGATGAAAAGTAGATGGATCTATTTGATAGTTTCAAAAATATTACCCCCTTTACACAGTCAAATGGTTCCCCAAGTTCTCAATACCTTTGCTCTTCTCCTGGGCATTCATTATTTCTGGAGAGTTCTGGCAAATTCTGTTTAGCATTTCCTCCCCTCATCGGGGCTATATTTTCTCTCCTTTCAGAGGCCATCTTTGTCTTGGGCACACCAGTGGCTCCTCGGCTCACTTCTTTAATTCTGAATAGATAAAGAAGTTCCTTGAATCACTGACGGTGAAATCCAGACATTGGGTGGGCACTTCACCAAGGAAAAGGGAGACCTGGATTCCAATCCTGGACTTGACTGGATCTAATACAGTTTCCGAGTGGAGAATAGGGAAAAGGGTACCCCCGAAGTGTATTGTTGGAAGGATGAAATGAGATAATGCATGTATAGTGAAGCTTCACGTAGCAGCTGGCACAGTGAATTTACTCAGGGTCTGTTTCCTCCCCTCTTTCTCCACCTTCTGCCATTCTCTGCTTTCTGAGATGAGTCTCACTGTTCTGGAATTCTGGGCTTCCCTGAGCAGAGCTTAGTTTGTTCACCCACTCTGCAAAGTTAATCCAGCTCTAGGGCACCAGTCCATTGGACTGTTGTTGAACAGTGCAGTGGTTAAGTGGGCAGCTGCTAATCAAATGACTAATTATTAGTGTGACATTCTCAGCACAGAGCCAGGCATGTTGGTCCTCCAGTCCCATGTGCTGAGGATTTCTCCAATGCCATCTGATCTTCATCATTGTTGTACACATACATACACACACTCACATCTTGGATCCTGGCATTTGGGAATCTTGGGTCAGTAGAGGTGACGGGTTAAGGGAGGTGAGTGTGGGAGCACGGGAGAGACTAGAAGTCCCTCTAGGTACCTACAAGTACCCCTCCCCACCACCCACTGATATGGTTTGGCTGTGTCCCTACCCAAATCTCACCTTGAATTGTAATAATCCCCACATGTCAAGGGCAGGGCCAGGTGGAGATGATTGAATCATGGGGGTGGTTTCCCCCATACTGTTCTCTTGATAGTGAATAAGTCTCATGAGATCTGATAGTTTTATAAATGGGAGTTCCCCTGCGCAAGCTCTATTGCCTGCCACCATGTGAGACCTGACTTTATTCTTCATTGGCCTTCTGCCATGATTGTGAGGCCTCCCCAGCCATGTGGAACTGTGAGTCAATTAAACTTCTTTCATTTATAAGTTACCCAGTCTCAGATATGTCTTCATTTTTTTTTTATTTTTAGCAGAAACGGGGTTTCACCATATTGGCCAGGCTGGTCTCGAACTCCTGACCTCAAGTGATCTGCCCACCTCGGCCTCCCAAAGTGCTGGGATGACAGGCGTGAGCCACCGCTCCTGGCCAGGTATGTCTTTATTAGCAGCGTGAGAACAGACTAATACACCCTCCTTAGACACTCACCTGCCCAGCCCTTATAGCCTGGGGCTTCCTTTTTGTCACACCTATTTTGAGTCCTGAGCGCAGGCAGATGAGTGGAACATAGTGCTATAAAGCTCAGTGTGGCATGGTCTCTGCTGACCTCTTTACCTTGGTCCTGAATTGCCCCTTCCCTCTGTCCTTGTGCTCCAGTCACAATAATCTCTCTCTCTCTCTCTTTTTATTTTATTTTTTTTGAGATGGGGTCTTACTCTGTTGCCCAGGCTGGAGAGCAGTGGCTCGATCCTAGCTCACTGCAGCCTTGAACTCAAGCTCAAGCAATCCTCTCTCCTCAGCCTCCTGAGTAGCTGGGACTACAGGCACATACCACCATGCACGGCTAATTTTTACCTTTTTTGTAGAGGTGGGAGGTCTCACTCTGTTGCCCAGGCTGGTCTCAAACCCCTGGCCTCAAGCAATCCTCCCACACTGGGCTCCCAGAGTGCTGAGATTACACGCATGAGCCAGTGAACCAGGCCACAATAACCTCCTTTTGGTGACTAGAAAACAGCAAACTTATTCTGCTCAGAGCCTCATCACCTGCCCTGCTGGTCCCACTGTGTCGATGCCTGTTCTCTTCTCTTCCCATGGCTGGCTTTGCATCCTTCAGATCTTAGCTCACATATCCCTTCTTCAGGGAAGTCTTCCTGACTATCCTCTCTAAAGAGGACCCTACGGAGATTATTTACTATAGCACTTCACGCACTTCCTTCCTTCACAGCATCTATCACAACTGTACTTTTTCTAACCCACTTCTTCATTTGCTTTTCTACTCCCCCACCAGCTTGTACACTCCATGAGGGCAAGAGCTATTTTGCTTCTGTTCACTACTCCACCACCACCTAGAAGAGTGCAGGCACAGAGTATGTTCTTAATAAGTATTTATGCAATGAGTGATCTCCATGTTCCTTTTCATTTTATTGTCCTAAATGAATTTTGCAGACAGCCCAATGGGCCATCAGATTGACTCACTTTGAGAATAATTTCTGGGGCCAAATCCCCTCACTTATTTATTTATTTATTTATTTAGAGACAGAGTGTCACTGTCATCCCCTTCTCACTCTTTAGAAGCAGCTGGGGTTGGATCTTTCAACATGTGATGCCTGAGCCTCCTTGAGACCAATCCTGGACTCACATTGCCATGGCCAGCCCAGCAGGCACCTACCTTCCTTCCTTCCTTCCTCCCTCCCTTCTTTCTTTCTCGCTCTTTCTTTCTTTTTCTTTCTCCTTCCTTCCTTCTTCCCTTCCCCTCCTTTCTTTCCTCCCTTCCTTCCTTCTTTCTTTCTTTTTCCTTCTTCTCTCTCTATCCTTCCTTCCTTCGTTCGTTCCTTCCTTCCTCCTTATTCCCTTCCCCTCCTTTTTTCCTTTCCTTTTTTCTTTCTCTCTTTCTTTCTTTCCTTCCTTCCTTTCTTTTTTCTTTCTTTCTTTTTGTTTTTCTCTCTTTTCTCCTTCCTTCCTTCCTTCCCTCCTTCCTTCCTTCCTTCCCTCCTTCCTGTCTTTCTTTCTTCTTCTTCTTCTTTTTTTTTTTTTTGAGACAGAGTCTCGCTCTGTTGCCCAGGCTGGAGTGCAATGGCATGATCTTGGCTCACTGCAACCTCTGCCTTTCAGGTTCAAGTGATTCTCCTGCCTCAGCCTCCCAAGTAGCTGGGATTACAGGCTCATGCCACCATATTTGGCTAATTTTTGTATTTTTAGTGGAGATGAAGTTTTGCCACGTTGGCCAGGCTGGTCTTGAACTCCTGACCTAAGTGATCTGCCCGCCTCAGCTTCCCAGAGTGCTGGGATTACAGGCGTGAACCACTGTGCCCAGCCTGCTTCCTTTGTAATAAGCAACTCTTCCTACATCTGGTAAGGGAGAGTCAGGGAGTAAGAACTAGTCTTCACTCATAACTGACTCTATGAAAACTGTGTGAACTTGGACAACTTAATCTCAATGGGTGGCAATTTTCCAATTTTTAAAAAGGGAATAACAGTAATAAAGAATTTCTCAACCCCAGTTCTACTGACATTTTGGGCTGGATAATTCTTTCTCAGGTAGTGTGTGTGTCCTGTACATTGAAGGATGTTTGGCAGCATCTACCCACTAGATGCCAGTAGCAAACCCAGTTAGGACAATCAAGAATGTCTCCAGACATTGCCAGACATCGCCAGGGGGCAAAACCACAACTTTTCCTTTCCTCTTTCCCCCATTTTAAACCACTCCAATAATACCTGCCTTATTGGATTATTGGTAGTTTAAATGAGATAGGTCATGTTAAGTGCTTATTATTATGCTTTGAACAGAAGAAGGATTTAATCAATATTTAAAATCTATTACCATTATTACCAATGTCATTACATTGAAGGCTGCAGGACTTGCAGGGAATTCTGGCAGATCCAGAAAAATTCACTCTAGTGCCCATGGTGTGCTGAAGCTGTCTTGTCTGTGCTTCCAAACATTGATTGCTAAATTTTCAGGAAATTTGCAAACCAGTTGTTAAACATAGCCATCCTTGAAATGGGCAATTGTAGGAGTATTTACACCATGGGAATTGGCAAATGCTACATAGCAGGGCTTTATTTTCTGGGAGCTACCTGGCTACCATAGTGTTTCTTTATTAATGCACTAAATGACAAGATCTTGTGGTGAGTCAGTTAACTACTGATATTTTGAAATATTGATGACCATAAATGATATTTTGAGATATCAACAACTGTAATATGATATGAAAATCAGTGATTTCCACTGGAGGCAAAGTTAATGATATTGGTTTGTTGCCCCCTTTCAGATTTGAAGGAAATGTTAAATTTGAGTTAGAAATAGGAAAAAATAAAGATATAGTTTCGTTTTTCATCCACGGACTCCCTGAATTCTGTCCATGGACCTCAGTTAAGAACTTCTGCTTTAGGCCTTGCACAGTGGCTCATGTCTGTACAATCAGAACTTAGGGAGGCTGAGGTGGGAGGATCACTTGAGTTCAGGAGTTTAAGAAGACCACCCTAGGCAACATAGTGAAACCCTGTCTCTACAAAAAAAAAGGAAGGAAGGGAGAAAGAGAAATAAAGAAAGAGAAAGAAAGAAGAAAAGAAAGACAAGCTCTAGTGCTGTAGTGGTATTGTGTAAATTAACCTGGGCTTTTAGGATCAGACAGGCCTGGGTTTGAAGCCCAAGTCTGCCAGTCACTTAGGTGAGCAAGTCTTAGTTTCCTCAGTCTCTAAAATGGGACTCTTAACTTCACAGGTTGTTGGAATTAAATAAGCGGATGTATTTAAAGCGCTTTAAGAGGGACCTGGCACCAGTAGAGTGTGTGTTTGTGTGTGTGTGTGTGTGTTTGTGTGTGTGTTTATGTGTGTGTGTGTTTGTGTGTGTGTTTGTGCGTGTTTTGGGGGAGGGACTTTATCACTTTTCTCCCCATCCCCGGTATCTGCAGAGATCTCTGGATTTGAGCGGTTAAGCCTTAGCCTTAGTGACAGATCACGTCCCAGATGGCGCTCCTGGCTTATCTTTATTTCCAGTTTCTGTCTGGATGAAATATCTGTAATGTGTACACCGGAAAGAACAAATAGAATTATGAGTCACTTTTCACAAAATGTGTAGTGGATTTCACATACTTTCAGGCTTGATTTTCCACCATGTTTCATACTGTTACAAAACGCTTTTTTCCCCTACTTTAGGACACTGTGGCATAGGTCCCAGTGGAGAAGGGACATGGTATTCCCTTCACCCCTGCCCTCTCTGCCTTCCCCATGGCACAGCAAGCGAAGAAACTTATTCTCTCCCACCCTTAGCCTGGAAGCTCTGTTATTCCCAGGCACAGGACCATTTTTCCAGCTCATTAGAACCTGGGGCTAAGATAAAGGAGGGCAGAACCATTAGGTATCAATTTATATGTAAATGTGAAAGTTGCCGAAGTGAAGCAAGAGACATTTGGCTCTTGTTTTTTAGGAAACATTCCAGCTGGGACCTTCTGGAAAGCGGGCACCAGCGCCTAGAACCCTGAGTACACACAGGAACTCTAGCCCCCTCTGTCTCCTTGTCTTCACCCATGGGGAGACTGAGGCCTAAGGTTACAGAGTGAGTAATGTGCAGGGCTGATTACAGCTCCGTGACTGCTCCTGCACAGCAGGGCTACCGTATATGCAAAGAGTAGCAGCTCAGGGCAGTTTTGCAGTTATATTTATAGCTATTTTTAATCACATGTAGGTGAATGGGCGGTTTATACAGAAATTTCTAGGGAAGGGGTAGTAACTTTTGGCTCGCTGGGTCATTGCCATGGCAAAGGGTGGTAACTTTCAGGTGTTGCCATGGCAACGGTAAACATGGCACCCTGGTGGGTGTGTCTTAAGGAAAGCTGCTTCCACCCCATCCCTGTTTTAGCTAGTGCTCAATTCTGCCTGGTGTCCGAGCCCTGCCTCCAGAGTCAAGTCCTGCCTCTTACTTCAGGCCTAGGACTTAAAACCCATAGGTGGACCCCAAAGCCAGTGTTTGGCTACTTTAATGGGGCACCCTGACCAGAGGGTGCCCTCTGACCAGCCTGCAGCCTCACATTCTCCTTTCTCCCTACTTAGTTAAGTTCTGCCTATTGAGGCTGACAAAGACTCTCTTCTTAGACCAAAACTATCACTGGGCTCCTCTGAGCCCTCTGCTCATCTAGCCCTGAGCTTGAGCTTCTCTCTATCCTCATAGAATCCAATGTGAGCAAGAATCCTGCTAAGTCAGTTTAGCAAAAACTCCCCACCTTCAGTATCTTATCACCCTGGCCTGCCTTCAGCAAAAATTCTGTTGAGCTCCTCTCCCTGCTCCTTGGCGATAAATCTCTACTTGAACTGGTTGCAGTCAGAGTTGAGTCCAGTCTCTCTCCCTCGCTGCAGGACCCCATTCCAGTGGTCCCTATACTTACAGTCATGTCTCCTCTTCAAAAAAGTTTGCCTTATTGTCTTTAACAAGTGTCGTGAGTAATTTTTTCTTTAGTAAGACTCACCTTCTGGCTTGGGAGCTTGAAGCCGAGGGGAACAGTGTACTGTAGACTCCACTGATAAAGATTAAAATAAAGAGTTATTGTGCCCAGTGCTATGCTGTGTATGTATGGAGGACAGTCAGTAGCAGAGGAGCCCTCCCGCCTTGGTCCTGAGCTCTATATCAAGGTATTAATAATTAGAATGGAGAGCTGGGTGCAGTGGCATGCACCTCTAGTCCCAGCTACTCAGGAGGCTGATAGGGGAGGATCGCTTAAGTGCAAGAGTTAGAGGCTGCAATGAGCTATGATGGAGCCATTGTACTCCAACCTGGGTGACATAGCAAGACTGTCTCTAAAAAAAAAACAAAAAAAGAAGGGTGGCTGGGCACGGTGGCTCATGCCTATAATCCCAGCACTTTGGGAGGCCGAGGCAGGTGGATCACCTGAGGTTGGGAGTTCCAGACCGTTCTGACTAACATGGAGAAACCCCATCTCTACTAAAAATACAAAATTAGCTGGGCGTGGTGGTACATGCCTGTAATCCCAGCTACTCGGGAGGCTGAGCAGGAGAATCACAGGGAGGCGGAGGTTGTGGTGAGCTAAGATCGCACCGTTGCACTCCAGCAACGAGAGCGAAACTCCGTCTCCAAAAAAAAAAAATTAAAAAAAAGGGAGGGCACTGCGAATGTGGATCAGTGCAGAACCTTCTCCCTAAAGCAAAAGAAAAGTGGGCTTTATCCCCGCTCTGGGCTTTTCTTCTCTGTGGTCAGTCATCTCCACCCAGCTCATTGCCCCAACCTCTTGAGAATAATAGAGTCAGAGGGATGAGTGGGAGATGGAAGGCTGTCGCCCTAGGGGAAGCAACCTCAGCCCTCTCACTTCTTCAGCCACCTGGAAAGTAGTTTTCCAAAAAGGAAAAGGCATCCTCACCTCTGCCAAATGTTCCAGCGCCCCTAGCCCTTGAAGAGGGCCCACAGCAGTGTTCTTGCTTCTTAGATTTGTGGTAAAGAGAGAGGCCAGGGGCTGGAGATGGCATGTGCTGGGGGAGGCTGAGCATATCTTTAAACCAATGTGTCATGTTTAAGGGTTTGATCTTGGCCTGGTGCAGTGGGTCATGTCTATCATCCTAGCACCTTGGTAGGCTGAGATGGGAGGATTGCTTTAGGCCAGGAGTTTGAGACCAGCCTGGGCAACGTAGTGAAACCTCATCTCTACTAAAAACAAAACAGAAAATTAGCTGGGTGGGGTGGCCTGTGCCTGTGGTTCCAGCTACTCAGGAGGCTGAGGCAGGAGGATCATTTGAGGCCGGGAGATGGAGGCTGCGGTGAGCTGTGATAGCACCACTGCACTCCAGTCTGTGCGACAGAGGGAGTCCCTGTCAAAAAAAAAGTTATATATATATTTGTTTTGTTTTTTTTTTGAGATGGAGTCTTTCTGTCTCCCAGCTGGAATGCAGTGATGCAGTCTCGGCTCACTGCAACCTCAGCTTCCCGGGTTCAGGAGATTCTCCTGCCTCAGCCTCCTGAGTAGCTGGGATTACAGACACCCGCCACCACGCCCGGCTAATTTTTTATATTTTTAGTAGAGACGGGGTTTCTCCATGTTGGTCAGGCTGGTCTCAAATTCCTGACCTCAGGTGATCTGCCCACCTCGGCCTCCCAAAGTTTTGGGATTACAGGCGTGAGCCACCAAGCCCGGCCAATTTCTTTTCTTTTCTTTCTTTTTTTTCTTTTTTTGAGACGGACTCGTGCTCTGTCGCCCAGGCTGGAGTGCAGCGGCGCGATCTCCGCTCACTGCAAGCTCCGCCTCCCGGGTTCACGCCATTCTCCTGCCTCAGCCTCCCGAGTAGCTGGGACTACAGGCACCCACCATGATGCCCAGCTAATTTTTTGTATTTTTAGTAGAGACGGGGTTTCACCGTGTTAGCCAGGATGGTCTGGATCTCCTGACCTCGTGATCTGCCCTCCTCGGCCTCCCAAAGTGCTGGGATTACAGGCGTGAGCCACCGCGCCCGGCCTCTTTCTTTCTTTTTTTTTTTCTTTCCTTCCTTCCTTCCTTCCTTCCTTCCTTCCTTCCTTCCTTCCTTCCTTCCTTCCTTCCTTCTTTCTCTCTCTCTCTCTTTCTTTCTTTCTTTCTTTCTCTTTCTAAGAGTTTGACCTTGATCTTAAGAGCAATGGGAAATCCTCAAAGAGGTTTAAACAGGGAAGTGATGAGGTCAGATCTGTGGTTTAGAAAAATCTCTCTGGCATCTATGGGAGATAAATGGGGGCAGTGGACAGAAAGATGAATGAACAGGCTGCTTCAGTCATTTACAAGAGATGTAATGGTGCCCAAATCAAAGCAGGGGTAGGGGAGATGCAGACAAGAGGATGGATGGATAGAGACTTGGGAGACAGAACTGACAGCACCTGGTGAGCGACTGGATGTGGGAGTAGGAGAGAGTAATGATATCCAAGATTATGGCTTTAGCAAGTGGTGGGTGGCGATGCTGACATTCTCTGAGATTGGACTGCAGGAGAAGAAGCAGTAGCTTTTGGGGGAAAGATGATGAGATTAGTTTTGGCCATGCTGGGTCTGATGACCTGTGGGACATCCAATTAGAGATGTTTGGTTGGAGTTCAAGACAGCAGCTTGGGAGACATTAGCATCTAGATGGTAATTAAACTGAGAAAAGGACAGGTTTGAGGACAAAATCCAGAGGAAGATGATGGGAGGGATGGAAAGAGGACTGAGAAGTGATGATCGCAGAGGCAGGATTTGGGAGCAGGGTGCCATGGAAGTTGATTGAAGGGAGTATTTCAAGGAGACATCTGCCAACAATGCGAAATGCTGGTGAGAGGTCAGATAAGATTAGGGTCTGGCAAAAGTAGGAATTGGGAGTTGAGGCCAGGAGTTCTAGACCAGCCTGGGCAACATATTGAGACCTCGTCTCTACAAAAAATAAAAAAAATATTGAGGCGCAGTGTCACATGCCTGTGGTCCCAGCTACTTGGGAGGCTGAGGTGGGAGGATGGCTTGAGTCTGGGAGATGGAGGATGCGGTGACTTGTGATGGCACCACTGCACTCCAGTATGGACAACAGAGTGAGATCCTGTCTCAAAACAAAAAACAAAAAAACCCAGTAGGAGTTGGGGTGGGTTGAAGAGATAATAGGAGGTAAGGATATGAGACCTGTAGACTTGTTTTCTTCCTCCCTCTCTCCCTCCCTCCCTTTCTCCCTTCCTTCCTACAAAGACAAGGAAATAATTACCTGGAATCCTACCACCATGAGATGACCATTATTAACATTTTGGTGCCCAGCCTTCATGTGCATCTCTTTAAGCACCACACGCTGCATACTACAGAAAATTTAACTTATTTTAATTTTATTTATTTATCTTTTAAAGAGACAGGGTCTTGCTCTGTTGCCCAGGCTGGAGTGCAGTGGTGCAATCACAGCTCACTGAAGCCTCAAATTCCTGGGCTCAAGCCATCCTCCCATCTCAGCTTTCCAAGTAGCTAGGACTAGAGGCATGCACCACGACACCAAACTAATTTTTTGTTGTTGTTGAGACTAGGGTCTCGCTATGTTGTCCAGGCTCGTCTTGAACTCCTGAGTGTGTCTGGCCAGAAAATTTAACTTAAAGGAGATGATATACGTGCTGTTTTTTAAATCATGGATATTCCCCCTTACCCCCATAACAACACTCAACCCTTTATTTTTTGCCTTTACCCATAAGCTGTGTTAGCAATCTGTGTTCTTCCATTTTTTTAAATATATATAATTCTATCCAGAGAGAGAGAACAAGAGAGAGAGAGTGTATGTGTGGTGTGTGTGATTGTTTTACAAAAATAGGATTATATTATTCACTCTTGCTTTTCTCCCTCAACCGTTCCTCAGTGAAATCCCTTTAAACTCTCTGGAGAGGCTCTGACTTACTCCTTTTAGCGGCCACGTTCTAGCCCATGGTGTGGACGTGCCACGCTCTACTCAGGTGAGTACTCATATCCACCCCCATTTCATGGATATGCACTTTGGTTCCAGTTCTTGGTCACTAGGAACAGCATTGCAATAAATGTTCTCACACGTGTTATTATAGACAAATACTTTTATTTCTATGGGATAAATTCCCAGGAGTAAAATTTCTGGGTTGAAGAGTATATATATATTTTCCCCTACAGTTTTATTATAGAAACTTTCAAATATATGGATAAGTTGAAAGAATCGCACATTTTAACACTGATATACTTATCACCTTGCTGTCTTTGCTTAATCATCTATCCATTTATCTAGCCATTCATCTTTTCACTTATCAATCCATCTTATTTTTTGGCACATTTCAGTGTAAGTTGTAGACATCAGCATATTCTACCTCTAAACACCTTGACCTGCATAACTTCAGCTCAACATTTGTTTACAGGTATTTTTCAGATATAATTTATATAAAGTGAATTGCACAAATCTTAAGTGTACCTTTCAACAAGCTCGGACAAAGGCAAACACTTACGAGTCCCAAATCCCAGTTAAGTTATAGGACAGTAACATCAACTCCAGAAAGTTCTCTCAAGCCTCTCCTCAATCGATCCCTACCCCACTCCCCAAAGCAACCACTGTTCTGATTTTTTCATGATATATTAATTTTGCTGTTCTGGAATTTCATGTAAATGAAATCGTATAGTGTATATGCTTTTTTTTTTTTTTTTTTTTTTTTTTTTTTTTTTTTGAGACAGAGTCTTGCTCTGTCGCCAAGGCTGGAGTGCAATGGCGCGATCTTGGCTCACTGCAACCTCCGCCTCCCGGGTTCAAGCGATTCTCCCTGCCTCAGCCTCCTGAGTAGCTGGGATTACAGGTGCCTGCCACCACGCCTGGCTAATTTTTGTATTTTTAGTAGAGACGGGGTTTTGCCATGTTGGCCAGGCTGGTCTCAAACTCCTGATCTCAGGTGATCTGCCCACCTTGGCCTCCCAAAGTGCTGGGATTACAGGCATGAGCCACTGCGCCCGGCCATATATGCTTTTTAGTAAGGCTCTTTGACTACGTGTAATGTTTTTGAGGTTTATTCATATTGTTGTTTGTGGCTTTTTAGTGCTCAACCATATTCTATTTTATGAATACACCACAGTGTGTTTATCCATTCTTCTGATCTGTTTTTGGCTTTTGATTATTACGAATAAAGCTGCTATGAACACTTGCATGCTAGCCTTTTTGTGGGCATGTTTTCCTTTCTCTTGAGTAAATATCTAGGAGTAGAATTGCAGGTCACAGGCCAGGTGTATGTTTAGTTTTATGACACCGTCAGATTTTTTTCCTAAAGTGATTGTACCATTTTACACTCCCCTCAACAATGTGTGAGTTCTAGTTACACTACATTCTTAACAATAATTGATGTTGTTAGTTTTTAAATGTAGCCATTTGGTAAATATGTAGAGGTATCCCAATGTGATTTTAATTTGTTTTTCCCTGGTGACTAATGAAGGATGAAGCTTTTTTCATGTGCATAAGGGCCATTTCCGCATTTTCTTGTGTAAAGTGTTCGTTAAGGTCTTTTACTCATTTTTAATGGGCTGATCTTTTTTGAGATGGGGTCTTGCTCTGTCGCCCAGGCTGGAGTGCAGTAGCACAGTCTTGGCTCACTGCAATGTCCACCTCCTGGACACAAAAGATTCTGCTGTCTCAGCCTCCTGAGTGGCTGGGATTACAGGCGCCCACCACCACGCCCAGCTAATTTTCATGTTTTTAGTAGAGATATGATTTCACCATGTTGGCCAGGCTGGTCTCAAACTCCTGACCTCAGGTGATCTGCCCGCCTCAGTCTCCCAAAATGTTGGGATTACAGGTGTGAGCCACTGTGCCTAGCCTAAAAAAAACCTTAATAAAGCAAAATTAAATTAAAAAAGACCAGGCTGGGCATGGTGGCTCACACCTATAATCCCAGCACTTTGAAAGACTGAGGTGAGAGGATTGCTTGAGCCCAGGAGTTCAAGACCAGCCTGGGCAACATGGTGAAACCCTGTCTCTACAAAAAATAGAAAAATTAGCGAGGTGTGATGGTGCACGCTTGTAGTCCCGACTACCTGGGAGGCTGAGGTGTGAGGATTGCTTGAGCCCGGGAAGTCAAGACTGTAGTGAGCCCAGATCATGCTACTGCACTCCAGCGTGGGCAACAGAGTAAGACTCTGTATCAAAAACAACAACAACAACAACCACAACAATAAAACCACAAAAAACACAAAACATTTTTAGCCTTCCTCCTGCCTGAGGAGGTGGAGCAGCCCAGCTCTGCAGCCGCCACAGCCTGTCCTCAGGATGAAGCGGAGTGCCTGCACCCAGAGCCAAGTCCTTGTCTGCTGGCAGCAGTCACCAGCCCAGCCAGTGCTGTGCCATCCCCACCCACACTGTGCCCATCAGCGACATGTGCAGCTACCTCATGGCTATTGCACCATGCCCGGAGGATGCTCTTCACCACACCCCAGGGATCTTGAATCATTTATGATCAAAAGTTTCTGTTGGATCATTGCAGTTCTCCCATGGCTCACACACAGCCCTGCCATCTGCCCGATATCCCAGGAGTCACTAGCCCTGGCACTTCAATAGAAGACTCCTAAGTAGAAGTAAACAACTTGAACAATCATGACAGGGAACACGCAGTTTAGGATGATGCTCAGTTTGAGACGGACATCTGACTTTCCTGCAAGGATCAGAAGAAAAGCAGCAATGCTGATACCTGTGTGTACCTAATTTGGCCAATAGGATCAATAACAAAAAGACAGAAAAGGCAATACTAGCAGTCCCCATTACAGTCTCCACCTGCTCCTCTTCTTCTGGCTGCCAAATGATGGGAAGGTGAGTTTCATCAGACCGTTTCTTCTCCCTGTTTCCTGTTCCCTGTTCCCCTTCCCAGTTAGCTTAGATTGAAGACTCCTGGTGTATATCTGTAGAGCTAAGCAGCCCATAGAGGAAAACAGTTAAAAACATTTTTTAAAGTGACACATAATAATTGTGCATATATATGAGTACATAGCGGTGTTGTGATACATATAATATATAGTGATCAGATCAGGGTAATTAGCACATCCATCATCTCAAACGTTTGTCATTTCTTTGTGTTGGAACATTCACTATCCTCCTTCTAGCTGTGTGAAACTATATACAGTATTATTGCTAATTACAGTCATCCTACAGTGCTGTAGAGCATTAGAACTTACTCCTCCTATCTAGCTGTAATTTTGTATCCTTTAACAAATATCTCCCTAACCCCACCTTCCCCCATCCTTCCCAATCTCGAGTATTCTCTGTTCTACTTTTTACTTCTATGAGATAAACTTTTTTTTTTTTTTAAAGCTTCCACATATGAGTGAGAACATGCAGTGTTTAACCTTCTGTTCCCCTGGCTTATTTCATTTAACATAATATTCTCCAGTTCCATCCATGTTGCTGCGAATGACAGGATTTCATCCTTTTTTTGGAGGAGTGGGGGGCAGACAGGGTCACGTTCTGTCACCCAGGCTGGAGTGCAGTGGCGCCATCTCAACATACTGCAACCTCTGCTTCCTGGGCCCAAGTGGCTACTTTTTGTATTTTTAGTAGAGACAGGATTTCATCATGTTGCCCAGGCTGGTCTTATACTCCTGAGCTCAAGCAGTCCTCCTGCCTTGGCCTCCCAAAGGACTGGGATTACAGGTGTAAGCCATCATGCCTGACCTATTAAATTTCATTATTAATTTCTGTCATCACCCATTGGTCATTCGGGAGCATGTTGTTTGACTTCCATTCATTTGTATGGTTTTAAATGTTCCTCTCGTTATTGATATCCAGTTTTATTTCATTGTGGTCAGATAAAATGCTTAGTAGAATTTCAGCTAAAAAGTTTTTTTTGAGACTTGTTTTATGTCCTAATGTATGGTCAGTCATGGAGAATGTTTCATGTGCTGATAAACAGAATGTGTATTCTGCATATGTTGGGTAAAATGTCTGTTAAGTCCATTTGGTCTATGATGCAGTTTATTTATTTTTTGTTTATTTTTATTTTTGAGGCAGAGTCTCGCTCTGTCACCTAGGCTGGAGTGCAGTGGCACAACCTCAGTTCACTGCAACCTCCGCCTCCCAGTTTCAAGCGATTCTCCCACCTCAGCCTCCCAAGTAGCAGGGACTACAGGTGTATGCCACCACACCTGGCTGATTTTTGTATTTTTAGTAGAGATAGGGTTTTACCATGTTGGCCCGGCTGGTCTCAAACTCCTGACCTCAAGTGATCCGCCTGCCTCAGCCTCCCAAAGTGCTGGGATTACAGGCATGAGCCACCATGCCTGGCCTGTGTTACAGTTTAAATTAGATGTTTCTTTGTTGATTTTCTGTCCACATGATCTGGCCAATGCTGACAGTGGGACATTGAAGTTCCCAGGTATTACTGTATCGGGGTCCATTTCTCCCTTTGGATCTAATATTTGCCTTATATATCTGGGTGCTCTGGTGTTGGGTGCATATATATTTACAATTGTTATATTCTCTGGCTGAATTAATCCCTTTATTATTATATAATTTCCTTGTCTCCTTTTACAGCTTTTTACTTGAAGTCTGTTTTGTTTGACATAGTTGCATTAGTCCGTTTTCACGCTGCTGATAAAGACATACCCAAGACTGGGAAATTTACAAAAGAAAGAGGTTTAATGGACTTATAGTTCCACGTGGCTAGGGAAGCCTGACAATCATGGCGGAAGGCAAGGAGGAGCAATTCATGTCTTACATGGATGGCAGCAGGCAAAGAGAGAGCTTGTGCATGGAAACTCCCGTTTTTAAAACCATCAGACCTCATGACACTTATTCACTATCACAAAAACAGCACGGGAAAGACCTGCCCCCATGATTCAATTACCTCCCACCAGGTTCCTCCCACAACATGTGAGAATTGTGGGAGTTACAATTCAAGATGAGATTTGGGTGGGGACACAGCCAAACCATATCGTAAGCATAGCTACTCCTGCTTGCTTTTGGTTTTGGTTTGCTTGGAATATCTTTTTTCGTCTCTTCAGTTTCAGCCTATGTGTGTCTTTACAGGTAAGGCGAGATTCTTATAGGTAATGTGTAGTTGGTCTTTTTTTTTTTTTAAATCCATTCAGTCTATATCTTTAAATGGGGGGAATTTAGTTTATTTACATTCAAAGTTATCATTGATAGGTGAGGACTTATTCCTGTCATTTTATTGATTGTTTCCTTGTTGTTTTATCTATTGTTTGTTCCTTACTTCCTCTCATTATTTTTGTGTTTGAGTCGTTTTGCATAGTTTGTTTGATAAGGTTTGATGATTTTCTCTTTCTCCTTTGTGCATCAGCTCTTAACAATGGGTTTTATAGTTTTACATGCTTTCATGATGATGCCTGTTGTCTTTTCACTTCCAGGTGTAAAACTCCTTTGAGTATTTCTTGTAAGGCCTATTAGTTTTTGCTTGTGTGTGAAAGATTTTATTTTTCCTTCATTTTTGAAGGATAGCTTTGCTGGGTATAATATTCTGGCTTGGTAGTTTTTTTTTTTTTTTTTTCTTCAGTACTATTTTTTTTTTTTGAACAGGGTCTCACTCTGTCACCCAGGCTGGAGTGCAGTGGTGTGATCACAGCTCACTGCAGCCTCAGCCCCCTCAGGCTCAGGTGATCCTTCCACCTCAGCCTCCTGAGTAGCTGGGACTACAGGCATATACCACCATGCCTGGCTAATTTTTCTATTTTTGTAGAGATGGAGTCTTGCTATGTTGCCCGGACTGCTCTTGAACTCATGGGCTGAAGCAATCTGCCTGCCTTGGCCTCCTAAAATACTGTGCTTACAGGTGTGAGCAACCATGCCTGGCCTTCTTTCCGTACTTTAAATATATCATCCCATTCTCTCATGACCTGTAAGGTTTCTGCTGAGAAATCCACTGTTAGTCTAATAGAGATTCCTTTATATATGACTTAATGCTTTTCTCTTGCTGCTTTTAGAAGTCTTTCTTTGTTTTTGACTTTTGACAATTTGAGTATAATGTGCCTTAGAGAGGACCTGTTTGGGTTGAATCCATTTAGGGTTATTTGATCTTCTTGGATGTCCATCTCTTTCCAAAGACTTGAGTTTTCAGCTATTATTTTATTAAATATGCTTTCTAAACCTTTTCCCTTATCTTCTCCTTCTGGAATACCCATAATGTGAGTATTTCTTTACTTAATAATGTCACATAAGTTGTGTAGGCTTTCTTCATTTTTTTTTCCTTGAGACAAAGTCTTGCTCTGTTGTCCAGGCAGGAATGCAGTGCCATGACTGTGGCTCACTGCAGCCTTGACTTCCTTGTCTCAGGTGATCCTCCTGCATTAGCCTCCCAAGGAGCCAATATTACAGGCATGCACCAACATGCCAAGCCAATTAAAAAAAACCCTTTTATTGGTAGAGATGGGGCCTTACTATGCTTCCCAGGCTGGTCTCAAACTCCTGGACTCAAGTGGTCCTCCTATCTTGGCCTCCCAAAGTGCTGGATTGTGGGTGTGAGCCATAGCACCCAGCCACTTTTTAATTATTCTTTTCTTTTTTCTCTTCTCTTTTTTCTTTCTTTCTTTCTTTCTTTCTTTCTTTCTTTCTTTCTTTCTTTCTTCCTTCCTTCCTTCCTTCCTTCCTCCCTCCCTGCCTCTCTCTCTCTCTCTTTCTTTTTTTTCTCTTTCCTCTCTCTCCCCCCTTTCTTTTCATCTTTCTTTCTTTTCTCTCTCCCCTCTCTTTCTTTTTCTCTCTTTCTTTGTCTCTCCCTCTCCTTCTTTCTTTTTCTTTCCTTTGTTTCTGCCTTTCTTCCCCTCCCTCCCTTCCTCCTTCCTTCCTTTCTTTCTCTCTCTTTCCTTCTTTCTTTCTTTCCTTTCTTTCTTTTCTTTCCTCTCTCTCCCCCTCCCTTTTTTTCTCCTTCTTTTCTGTCTCTTCTTTCTTTCTTTCTCTTTCTTTCTCTGTCTCTCCCTCTCCCTCTTTATTTTTCTTTCTTTCTTCCTTCCTTCTCCTCCTTCCTTCCTTCCTTCCTTCCTTTTCTCTTTTTCTTTCTTTTGGTCTGCCTGTATTATTTCAAATGACCTGTCTTAAAGCTCAGAAATTCTTTCTTCTGTTTGGTCTGGTGTGTTGTTGAAGCTCTCAAATATATTTTTTATTTCATTCATTAAGTTCTTCAGCTGTAGAATATCTGTTAGGTTCTTTTTTATGATATCTATCTCTTTGTTGAATTTCTCATTCAGACCATGAATTGTTTTCTTGATCTCATTGAATTGTATATCTGTATTCTATCGTATCTCATTGAATTTTCTTCAGATTATTATTTTGAATTCTTTTTCTGGCATTTTTTATATTTCCTTATGATTGGGGACTGTTACTGGAGAGCTACTGTGTTCCTTTGGAGGTGCCATGAGTCCTTGATTGTTCATGTTTGATGTGTCCCTACATTGATTTCTATGCATTTGATGGAAAAGTTGCTTCTTCCAATTTTAGGGAGTAGGTTTTATAGGGAAAGTGTTGTTAATATACATGGCATGTAAAGGAAAAGAAGTCATTATATGAAAAAGACACATGCACACATGTTTGTAGCAGCACAATTTGCAATAGCAAAGATGTGGAATCAACCTAGGTACCCACCGAGGAAGGAGTGAATAAAGAAAATGTTACATATACAGTATAAAATACCACTCAGCCATAATAAGGAGCAAAATAATGCATTTTGCAGCAACTTGGATGGAGCTGGGGGCCATTATTCAAAGTAACTCTGAAATGGAAAACCAAATACTGTATGTTCTTACTTATAAGTGGGAGCTAAGCTATGAGGATGCAAAGACATACAGAGTGATATAATGGACTCTGGGGACTCAGTCGGGGAGACTGGAAGGTGGGTGAAAGACTACATGTTGGGTATGGTGTTCACTGTTCTGGTGATGAGTGCACTAAGATCTCACCATTCACCACTAAAGAATTCATCCATATAACCAAAAGCCACCTGTACCCCAAAAACTATTAAAATTAAAAAAAATTAGCCAGGCATGGTGGCATGTGCCTATAGTCCCAGCTACTCAGGAGGCTGAGGTGAGAAGATTGCTTGGGCCTAGGAGTTCAAAGCTGCAGTGAGCTGAGATTGTGCCATTGCACTTCAGGCTGGGCAAGAGAGCAAGACCCTATCTCAAAAAAAAAAAAGTTTATCTGGAAGGATCATTGTGAGAGAAAGACCTTGAAATATATGAGAAAAAAATGACTGGGGTGGGGAAGGTTAAATATTATCTGTGTATTATAAAGTCACAACACTTACAAAAAATATACATGGGGTGTTGTTTTGGTGGAGAGTACTGGCTTTGGTTTTAGGGGGCTGCAGTATTGTAGTTTCCAGCAAAAATTAGCTGGGCATGGTGGCGGGCACCTGTAGTCCCAGCTACTGGGGAGGCTGAGGCGGGAGAATCGCTTGAACCCGGGAGGCAGAGGTTGCAGTGAGCCGAGATCACACCACTGCACTCCAGACTGGGCAACACAGCAAGATCCCGTCTCAAAAATAAAAAACAAACAAACAAATAAATAAATAAATAAAATACAAAGTACTGTAGTTTCCATGTAGTTTCTTCAGCTATAAGCCACTCTAGTGACATTTCCAAGTGTCTCAGTGGCTTAGGCTAACAGAGGCTGTGGTGGCAGTGGTGTGGCTTTACCGGGGGTAGCCTTGCCAGGCTGCTTCTTCAGGTCAGAGGTGCATGCATGCACATTGTGTGTTGGCAAACGTGAGGCTGGGGTTGGCGCTAAGAGGCTATTACTCTAGTTGGGAATGTGTGCATGTGGTTGCATGGCCGGCCTGGGGCTGTGCCTGCCAGGAGCAGTCTGCAGGGCTGTTTCTCAGGCCCAGGACACAGGCTTACAGCTGCTCTGCAGGCTTGGGGGCATGCATGCCAGGGGCAGACTGTGGGGCTGTTTCTCAGGCCTGGGATGCAGCCACAAGGCTACTCAGTTGGCCTGGAGGGTGCCCACCGGGGCTGCCCATATAGCTGTTTCTTGGACCTAGTTATGGTCACACAGTTGCTTGGCTGGCCTGGGGCATGTGTGCTGGGGGAAGCCCATGGGGCTGTTTCTCAGGCCTGGGATATGGGCTCATGGCGGTTTGGCCAGCCTGGGGTTTTGTCCAACAGGGATCACCTGTAGGGTTGTTTCTCAGTTGCAGGGCATGGGCACACAGTTGCTTGGCTGGCCTAGGGGAGTGTCTGCCAGAGGTAGCCTGCAGGGATGTTTTTCAGGCCTTGATTGTGGGTGCAGGGCCACTGGGCAGGCCAGGGGCTTGTCTGTAGGGGATTGAGCATTGCAGACAGTTTCTCGGGACTTGGGCACAGGCACATAGCTGCTCTGCCAGCCCAGGAGTGTTTCAGCTGTTTGGAGGCTTGAGGGCCTCTCCTGCTTGGGCACGCAGCAGTTTGGCTGGCTCAAGGGCAGGTTTGCCCTGGGCAGGACTTCCAGACTGTTCCTCCTGCTGGAGGTGAGGGTCACAGGAGTTGGTTTCCCTGCTGTGCAGGGCCAGTCACAGCCAGTCCTGCCCCCAGGCTTTATGTTACTGCGCTTGCATCAGCAGCCACCCGCGTGGGCTTGGTGGAATGCTGAAGCCCGGTGCTGGAGAGGGGTAGTGGCTACTGGCCCTCAGAGCAGGGTGCACTCTAGAAATGGCTCTGGTCTCAAGATGGGGCTGTGCTGCAGTAGCTTGGCTCGAGGGGGTAGATGGGGATGGGTAGTGTGCAACTGTGCTCCGGATCCAGGGCAGTGTGGCTGTGTGACCTCCTGTAGCTCTCCACACTGGACTCAGGGCCCTCGAGGACTCTGGGATTCTCCAGCAGTGAGGACTGAAGGTGTTTGTAGTTGCAATGGGGGTTCCGAGGGGGTTCTTCTGCTTACTTTTTCCCCTGCAGTGAGATGTCCTTTCTGACTCTGGACAGATCAGATCCAGATGGGGGAGGCGGGGTTGCAGAGGCCAGGTGCCTTCATGCTGGAGGTCCAGCCCTCCTGGCCTTGCAGTCACCGCAGCTGCAGCTCCACTCCCCTGCTGCACTCCAGCCCTCTCCCTCCACACTCCAGTCAAATCTGATCTGCGTATTGCTTGCCTTGGTCGGGTCTTGTGGGAGGGTGAACAGCAGGGTCTGCAGGCAGCCATCTTACTGACACCACTTTCCTTTTTTTTCTTTCTTTAAATGAGTTGTAGAAGTGTGTTTGTGTGTGTGTGTGTTTAAATATATTCTGAATACTGACATTTTGTCAGATATATATGTTTTGTGAATTTTTTTCTTAGTCTGAGAATGACATATTCATTTTCTTTTTTTTTTTTTTTTTTTTGAGGCAGAGTTTCACTCTTGTCACCCAGGCTGGAGTGCAATGGTGCGATCGCGGCTCACTGCAACCTCCACCTCCCAGGTACAAGTGATTCTCCTGCTTCAGCCTCCCAGGTAGCTGGGGTTACAGGCACCCGCCACCACGCCCAGCTAATTTTTTGTATTTTTGTAGAGATGGGGTTTAACCATGTTGGCCAGGCTGGTCTTGACCTCCTGACCTCAGATGATCCACCTGCCTCAGCCTCCCAAAGTGCTGGGATTACAGGCCACCGCACCCAGCCTATTCATTCTCTTAAAGATGTCTTTTGACAAACTGAAGTTTCACATTTTGATAAAATGACTTTATACACTTTATACACTTTTTCTTTTATGGTTATTGCTTTCTCAGTACTGCCTAAGAAACCTGCTTAAGAAGCCTGGTCTCCAAGTTGAGAAGGAAGTTTCCTATCTTTTCTTGTAGGCAGAGGGTCACTTTTTTTTTTTCCATATTGAATCTCCAGTTTTCTCAGACTATTTGTTGAAAACATTTCCTTTCTTTCTCCTCTTTTCCTTCCTTCCTTCCTTCCTTCCTTCCTTCCTTCCTTCCATCCCTCTCTCTCTTTCTTTTTTTCTCTCTCTCCTTCCTTCCTTCCTTCTTTTTTTTTTCTGAGACGGAGTCTTGCTCTGTTGTCCAGGCTGCAGTACAGTGGCATGATCTCAGCTCCGCAACCTCCACCTCCCGGGTTCAAGCGATTCTTCTGCCTCAGCCTTCTGAGTAGCTGGGACTATAGGTGCCTGCCACCATGCCTGGCTAATTTTTGTATTTTTAGTAGAGATGGGGGTTTCATCATATTGGCCAGGCTGGTCTCGAACTCCTGACCTCAAATGATCTCCCAGCCTCGACCTCCCAAAGTGCTGGGATTACAGGGGTGAGCCACTGCACCCAGCCTAAAAACATTTCCTTTCTTTATTGGATTGCTTTGGTGTTTTTATAAAAAAATAAATAAATCACCCTATAAATGAGGATCTACATCTGGATTCTCTGTTCTAGTCCATTGATCTATTTATCTATCCTTATGACAGTAACCACAATGCCTTGATTACTGTAGCTTCATCACAAGTCTTTAAATCCAGTTCTAGTAGTCCTCCAAATTTGTCTTTTTCAAGATTACTTTGGATACTTCCAGGTCTTTGTATTTTTATATACATTTTAGAACGAGTTTGTCAAATTCCATAAAATGGTCAGATTGGATTACGGTTGGGATGACATTAAATGTATAGATCAATTTTGGGACTAATTGACGTCTTAAAAGCATTGAATATTCCAATCAGTGCGTTTGGTTTATCTCTCCATTTATTCAGCCCTTTAAAAATTTCTCTCAGTAAGATTGTGTGCTTTTTAATGTAGACATTTTTAATGAAGAGGTTTTAAATGTAAAGGCAATGTCTTTTGTTAAATTTATTCCTAAGTATTTCATGTTTTTGGCATTCCAGTAAATAAAATTGGTTTTCTAATTCCATTTTCTAATGTTTCACTGCCAGAACAGAAAAATACAATTGATTTTGGTGTATTGCCTTTGTGTCTACAAGTTTGCTAGTTTACGTATTAGTTCCAGCAGATGTTTTATAGATTCCTTAAGATTTTCTATGTAAACAATAATTTCACTTGTGAATAAAGATAATTTACTTCTTTCTTTCCAATCCCAATGCCATTTACTTCTTTACTTGCCTTACCTCACGGGCTAGAATCTGTGATACCATGTTGAACAGAAGTGGTGAAAATGGATATTCTTGCCTTCTTCCCAATCTTAGAGGGGAACTATTCAATATTCAACTACTGCTGGGCGTGGTGGCTCACACCTGTAATCCCAGCACTTTGAGAGGCCCAGGTGGGAGGATCGCTTGAGCCCAGGAGTTTGAGACCAGCCTGGACAAAATAACGAAACCCTGTCTCTACAAAAAATAAAAAAATTAACTGGGTGTGGTGGCACATGCCTATAGTCCTAGCTGCTTGGGAGGCAGAGGTGGGAGGATCACTCTAGCCTAGGAGGTTGAGGCTGCAGTGAGCTGTGATTGCGCCACTGCACTCCAGCCTGGGTGGCAGAGCCAGATCCTGTCTTAATTAAAAAAAAAAAATTAAACTACTAAGTATAGTGTTAACTGTAGGCTTTTTGAAGATGTCATTAATTAGATTGCAGAAGTTCCCTTTTAATTCTGGTTTGCTAAAAGTTATTTCCTTTTTTGTTTTGTTTTTGAATAACTGGCTGTTTTTTTTTTAAATGGTTTTCCTGCTTTATTTCAATGAGTAATTTTTGTTTCAGACTGTTAATATGGCTGATTACATTGTTTGGCTTTTTGTGAGTTAAATCAACCTTGGATTCCTGAGATATGTCCAATTTGGTCATGTTTCTTTCTTTCTTTTTTTTTTTTAAATATTGCTGGATTCTATTTGTGATATTTTGTGAAGGAGTTTTGCATTAATGTTCAAAAAGAATATTGGTCTGGAATTTTTTTCGTGTGTGTGTATGTGATTTCTTTGTTAGGTTTGTCCTCAGGATTCTGCTGGCCTCATAAGATGAGTTGTTAAGTGTTCTTTCCATTTTGTGAGTTTGTGAGTGTGTGTGTCAATTCCTTCTTTTTTTTTTTTTTTTTTTTTTTTTTTTTTTGGTGAGACACAGTCTCACTCTGTTGCCCAAGCTGGAGTGCAGTGGTGCAATCTTGGCTCACTGCAACCTCCACCTCCTGGCTACAAGCAATTCTCCTGTCTCAGCCTCCCGAGTAGCTGGGATTACAGACATGTGCCACCACCCCTGGCTAATTTTTGTATTTTTAGTAGAGATGAGGTTTTATCATGTTGGCCAGCTGATCTTGAACTCCCGACCTCAGGTGATTCACCTGCCTTGGCCTCCCAAAGTGTTGGGATCACAGGCGTGAGCCACCATGCTTGGCCTCAATTCCGCCTTAATAAAACTTACTGGTGAAACCACATGGAATTTTCTCTGTGGGAAGATTTGTGTGTGTGTGTGGGAAGTTTCAGAATTATGAATTCAATTTCTTATGAGATACATGGACTATTTAGATTTTCTATTTTATTTTATATAACTTTTGGTAAGCTGTACTTCCAAGGAATTTATTTTATCTAGGTTTTCTGAATATATTTTTAGCATAAAGTTATTTATAATATGCAGTTATTATTCTTTTAATGTCTATAGGACTTGTAAGACTGTTTCCTTTTTCATTCCCGATATTGATAATTTTGGTTCTTTTCTTGGTCAGCCGAACTAGGAATTTATTTTTTGAGACAAGATCTTGCTCTATCACTCAGGCTAGAGTGCAGTGTTGCAATCATGGCTCACTGCAGCCTTGATCTCCTGGGCTCAAGTGATCTTCCCACCTTAGCCTCCCAAATGGGTGGGACCATAGGTGTGCACCCACCACACCCAGCTATTTTTGTAGTCACAAGCTCTGGCCATGTTGCTCAGGCTGGTCTTGAACTTCTGGGCTCAAGTGATCCTCCTGCCTTGGCCTCCCAAAGTGCTGGGATTACAGGCATGAGCCACTGTGCTCAACCTGTATGTCTTCTTTTAAAAAGTATCTGTTCATATCTTTCACACACTTTTTAATGGGGTTATTTTGTTGCTGTTGAGTTATTTGAGGTCCTTGTAGATTCTGGATATTAGTCCTTTGTTGGATGCATAGTTTGCAAATAACTTCTCCCATTCCATAGTTTGACCATTCTGTTGGTTGTTTCTTTTTCTTTTCTTTTTTTTAAAATTTTTTATTTGAGACAGAGTCTCTCTTTGTCACCCAGGCTAGAGTGCAATGGCATGGTCTCGGCTCACTGCAACCTCTGCCTCCCGGGTTCAAGCAATTCTCCTGCCTCAGCCTCCTGAGTAGCTGGGACTACAGGTGCATGCCACCACACCCTGCTAATTTTTGTATTTTTAGTAGAGACGGGGTTTCACTATGTTGGCCAGGCTGGTCTGGAACTCCTGACCTCATGATCTGTCCACCTCAGCCTCCCAAAGTGCTGGGATTACAGGTGTGAGCCAATGTGCCCAGCCTCTGTTGATTGTTTCTTTTGATGTGCAGAATATTTTTAGCTTGATATAATTCCATTTGTCTATTTTTGTTTCTGTCGCATATGCTTTTGAGGTCTTGGTTATAAATTCTTTGCCTAGGCCAATATCCAGAATAATTTTTTTCTAGGTTTCCTTCTAGAATTTTTATAGTTTCGGGTCTTACATTTAAGCCTTTAATCTGTCTTGAGTTAATTTTTGTCTATGGTGAGAGATATGGGACCAATTTCATTCTCCTGCTTATGGCTATCTAATTTTTCCAGCACCATTTTCGGAATAAGGTGTCCTTTCCTCAGTGTACGTTTTTGTTGACTCTGTTGAAGATCAATTATCATTAGGTATGTGGCTTTATTTCTGGGTTCTCTTTTCTGTTCCACTGGTCTATGTATCTATTTTTATGCCAGTACCATGCTGTTTTGGTTGCTGTAGCCTGGTTGTATAATTTAAAGTCAGACAGTGTTATTTGTTGCTTAGGATTGCTTTGGCTATTTGGACTCTTTTTTGGGTTCATATGAATTTTAACATTGTTTATTCTAATTCTGTGAAAAATGACCTTGGTATTTTGATAGGAATTGCATTAAGTCTGTTGATTGCTTCGAGCAGTATGGTAATTTTAATGATACTGATTCTTCCAATCCATGAGCATGGGCTATTTTTTCTATTTGCTTGTGTCATCTATAATTTCTTTCATCAGTGTTTTATAGTTTTTTAATAGAGATAGAGATATTTCACCTCTTTAGTAAAATATTCCTTAGTATTGTTTTCTAGTTATTGTAAATGGGATTGACTTCTTGATTTTGTTCTCTGCTTGATCACTATTGGTATATAGAAATGCTACTGGCTTTTATATGTTGCTTTTGTATCCTAAAACGTCACTGAATTCATTTATCAAACCTAGGAATGTCTTGGAGGAGTCTTTAGGGTTTTCTAGGCATAAGATCATATCATTGGCAAACAGATACTTTGATTTCCTATTTTCCAGTTTTGATGCCTCTTATTTCTCTTGCCTGCTCTGGCTAGGAAATCCAGATGTTGAATAAGAGTGTGAAAGTAGGCATCCTTGTCTTGTTTCAGTTCTTAGAGGGAACATTTCCCCATTCAGTATAATGTTGGCTGTGGGTTTGTTTTACATGGCTTTTATTATTTTGAGGTATGTTTCTTCTATGTCTAGTTTGTTGAGGGTTTTTATCATGAAGGACTGATGACTCTTATCAAATACTTTTTCTGTATTTATTGACATAATAATCTGGTTTTTGTTTTTAATCCTGTTTATGTGGTTAGTCACATTTATTGATTTGCATATGTTGAACCATCTTCGCATTCCTGCAATAAAACCCACTTGCTCTTGGTGCATTATCTTTTTGATGTGCTGTTGAATTTGGTTTGCTAATATTTTGTGAAGGAATTTTGTGTCTATGTCCATCAGGGATATTGATCTGTAGTTTTCTTTTTTGTTGTTGTTGTGTCCTTGCCTGGCTTTGGTATCAGGGTGACAATAACTTTGTAGAATGAGTTAGGGTGTATTCCCCCCTTCCGTTTTTTGGAGTAGCTTCAGTAGGATTGGTACTAGTTCTTCTTTGCACATCTGGTGGAATTGGGCTGTGAATCCATCTAGTCCTGGGTTTTTTTTTTTTTTTTTTTTTTGGCGAGGAGAGATTTTTTTTTTTTTTTGAGACAGAGGGTCTTGTTCTGTCACCCAGGCTGGAGTGCAGTAATGTATTCTTAGTTCAAGGTGGCCTTGAACTCCTGGTCTCAGGCTCAGGCTCCTGAGTAGCTGGGACTGCATGTGTGCTCCACCACACGCAGCTGCCTGTTTGCTGTTGTTTCTTGTGCATGGATGTCTATTTCTCTGCATTAAAGGATTAGTTATTTATTCCAGACTTCCCTGTCTGGCTTGTTTTGGTTTTTTGGGGGATATGTTTGCTTAGAGAGTCTTTGTAATTTACCTGTTAATTATGTTTCTTTTGTTTTTCCCTCTAGATCACTGCCTCCTTTTTGGCACTAGATGGCGCCTTAAGCTCAAGTTTGCCTCAGTTGTAGTAAATCAGATTGCTGCCTGTTCCCAAACGGGTGAGGCTCCAAAAGGGATAGCCTGGCAGCGTGGGAAGCTTTCCAGGGGTTTGCGAACAGGGAACCTGTGAAACGAACCTCCTCCCGTGTGGTGATGATGAACAGCCACTCTGATTTGGTATCTCCTTTGGCCAACGTCCAGAGCAGAGTTTTCTAAGCTGGGGATAGTAAGTCCCACCTTTGCCATTTGTCTCTGACTGTCCTTAGGGGCATTTCTCTTTCTAGGCACTCTCAATGCTTCCTGTGACTTGGGGCAGAGGCAGGTCTCCTGCCAAAGAACGCAGGATGGTGGGGAAATAGATCAAACGCCTCAATCTTAGTGTTTCCAGTGTAGAAGCTGTGAGTCAGGGGGAAGATTTCCATGTGTTTGGTGCTGGGCAGATCGGAGGGCAGAGCATTATGGATATGGAAGTCTGATCCTCTGACTGTCGGCTCAGAGTTTTTTCACTTCTCTGTAGTCCCAGGAACTGTCTCATCCTCATATTTGAGTTATGGTATATTGCTGGTGATAATCTTGGTGCTATATATTTGTTTTTGGTTTTCTGTGGGGGGTGGGGAGTGAAACCAGCTTGCTTCTGCACTGCGATTTTGTAACTGGGAGTCCAGGTTTTGTCAATTTTTGTTTCATGCATTTTTAAGCTCTATCGTTAGATGCAATTCTGATTTTTGTTCTCTTGATGAAAATGGACCATTTTACCACCATGAAATGTCCCTTTTTATCTCTGTCTTAAAGTCTACTCCATTTGAAATTAACCTAGCCCTTATTCTAGCTTTCTTATGCCCTGATTGGATGCTGTATAATGTATCTTTTCTCATCTCTTTCCTTTCAGCTATCTGTATTGTAACATTTAAAGTGTATCTCTTGTAGTTGGATATAGATTCTCCTTGTTATTGTTTTTTAATCCTGCCTTCTCTGCTTTTTCGCTGGAGTGTTTAGTCCATTTACAGATAATGTAATTATGGACATAATTTGATATAGATCTACCATTTTATTACTTGTTTGTTTTGTATATACATTTTTCCTCTCTTCATCCTTTTTGGCCTTCTTATGGGTTAAAATAAATTTTTGGAACTCCATTTTAATTTGTTAATTGGCATTCTAGCTACACCTCTTTCTATGTTTTAAAGTGGTTGCTTAGTGATTACAATATTCATTCTTAGCTTAGAGTCTACATTCTACGTAGATATAAATATTTTACCACTTCACACAAAATTTAAGAGCCTTACAACTATACACATCAGTTTACCCCCAACCTTTATGCTGTATTTTCATATATAATGTATAAAAACATTAAAACTCCCACAATACAATGTTATAATTTTTACTTTAAAGAGTTAGAAGCATTTAGAAATTAAGGAGAATGTAATATTTTATATTCACTAAATTAGTCGTTGTAACACTGCTATAAAGAACTACTGGACACTGGGTAATTTATAAAGAAAACAGATTTAATTGGCTCACAGTTCTGCAGGCTGCACAGGAAGCATGGCTGGAGAGGCCTCAGGAAACTTACAATCATGGTAGAAGGTGGAGAGGAAGGAGGCACGTCTTACATGACCAGAGCAGGGGGAGGAGAGGGAAGGGGCAGGTGCTACACACTGTTGAACAACATGATCTCATGAGAACTCATTCACTATCATGAGAACAGCAAGGGGGAAGTCTGCCCCCATGATCCAATCACCTCCAACAGTCCCCTCCTCCAACATTGGGGATTATGATTTGACATGAGATTTGGGCAGGGACACAGACCCAAACCATATCACTCAGCAACATGTTTAACATTTTCAGATGTGGAGAGAAAAATGACCCCATCTTGGATGTTAATCTTCCATGTTGACTTCTGCTTAACCCCAGTCCTGGGAATGCCTGCAAAATTTCTACTTTACTTACTGTTCCCAGTGTAACAACAGGTCTATCTTGATGTTATTGCAGAAATTATGGGCTATGATGCCTATAGTATTTTTGCCTGTCTGGAGGGTGCCTTTAATTGTCTCTATAGAGCACATATACTCTTGCCCTATGGTATAAAAGCCCTGGGTCTGGGGAGTAACGGTGCAGAGATTTTTTGTCTTGCTGTCACCCAAGACTACGCTTCTGTCTATAAGTTCCTACTGACAAACTGGATTTGTCAGCCTCATTCTTTGGCTTCTTGGCTCCTTCTGTTTTTGGGTGTCGCTTTGCATAGATGGCCTTTTCACAAAACACCAGGGATTTCACTTCTTCTCGAAGATATATGAGTTCCCATCTGTGTCACTTCCCTTCATTTGATGAACTTCATTTAGTGTTTCTTGTAATGCAGGTCTGCTGAGTGAAGTCTCTTAGTTTTCATTCATTTTAAAATGTTTTTATTTCATCTTCCTTGTGGTGGACAGGACTTGAGCGACCCCCAATAATCCCCACCTTCTGGTATTCACATCTTCATATAATCTCCTCTCCTTGAGTGTGAGTGGGACTTGTGAATTGCTTCTAAACAATAGAATATGGCAAAAGTGATAGGTTGCCACTGCCATGATATGGTACATTATAAAAAACTCTGTCTTGCTAGCTGACTCTAGAGTCTCTTTTACTTACTGGCTGTGAGCACGGAGGCTTGCAAAAACTTATCTGAGCCCACCAGGCAAGAAATTTCAGGCAACATCTAGTTGCTCAGCATAGCCTCAGTCTTACAGTCTCAAAGAAAGAAATTCTGCCACTAACCTGAGTGAGCTTGGGAGACGATTCATTGTCAGTTCAGCTTCCAGGTGAGAACAGATTCCTGGCTCTGACTTCTAATCTACAGAAACTGTGAGATAATGTGCAAATTTAAAAACCACTAGGTTGTGGTAATTGTTACATAGCAACACATTCATTTTCAGGTATATTTTAGTGGATATAGAATTCTGGGTTGACAATTTAAGTTGTTTTTCTTTTCTTTTTTTTTGGATATAGGGTCTCACTTTGTCACCCAGCCTGGAGTGCAGTGGTGTGATCATGGCTCACTGCAGCCTCAACATCCTGGGCTCAAGTGATCCTACTGCCTCAGCCTCCCAAACAGCTGGGACTACAGGTGTGAACCACCATGCTGGCTAATTTTTGTATTTTTTTCTGTAAAAGCGGGGTTTCACCATGTTGCCTAGGCTTAAAGTTGTTTTTCTGTTGTCTTTTGTTCTCTACTATTTCTGACGTGAAGTCAGAAGTCATTCAAATCATTGTTCCCCATTATGTTTTGCGTAAATTTTCTCTGGCTAATACCATGATATTTTCTTTATCTTTGGTTTTCAGCAGTTTGGTATGATGTATCTATATGTGGTTTTCTTTGTATTTTTTCCTGCTTGGAGTTTGTTGAATTTCTTGACTGTATAAATTTATAAATTGCACTAAAAATTTGACCATTATTTCTTCACAAAACTTTTTTTTTTTTTGAGATGTAATTTCACTCTTCTTGCCCAAGCTGGAGTGCAGTGGCATGATCTTGGCTCACTGCAACTTCTGCCTCCTGGGTTCAAGAGATTCTCCTGCCTCAGCCTCCCAAGTAGCTGAGATTGGGATTACAGGCATGCACCACCATGCTTGGCTAATTTTTTATATTTTTAGTAAAGATGGCGTTTCACCATGTTGGTCAGACTGGTCTCGAACTCCTGACCTCAGGTGATCTACGCGCCTTGGCCTCCCAAAGTGCTAGGAATATAGGCGTGAGCCAGCACGCCCAACCCAGAAAACTTTTTTGTCCCAATCTTTTCTTGCCTTCAAGGACTCCAGTGATACAAAGTTAAAACTTTTGATATTGCTCCATAGGTCACTGAAATTTCACCATTTTTTATTTTTCTATTCTTCAGCAGGGCTATTTCTTTTTTAAAAAAATTTAAAAATTATTTTATAATGCTTCATGAATTGGCATATCATCCTTGTGCAGGGCCATGCTAATCCTCTCTGTATCGTTCCAATTTTAGTATATGTACTGCCGAAGTGAGGACAGGTAGGATATTTCTATTGACCTATCTTCAAGTTTGTTGACTCTCTGTCACCTCTCATCTCTTGTTAAGCCTATCCAGTGAACTTTAAAAAATCCAGATATTGAATTTTTAAATTCTAGCGTGTTCATTTGATTCTTTTTGTAGTTTCTATTTATCTGTTGAAAATTTCTATTTATTCGCTTATTTGAAGCATATTTGCAGTCCTTGAGTATAGTTATAATGTTTGCTTTAAAATTATTTTATGTTTGTTGGAATTTCTGAGATGCAGATGCTAAGCCAGAGTTAGAAATACAAAAAATTTATTGTGGACTGTCACCTGTGAAAGAAAATGGGAAAAAGCAGGATTGAGCAGGGGAGGTGTCACCTCACAATGAATTCTTAGTACTATTTCTGCCAGCCTGACGGGGGAGCTCTGGAGCAAAAATTGCCTACTAAGGGAATTCCCCCATTGGGCAGCAATGACGAAGCCTTTGATACTACCTTGCTTAGGCATTGACTGGAAGTCTTCCGGAGAAGATGGGACTAAAAAATCTGTTCTGTTCTTTTAGCCTTAGCTAGTATAGTGGCTTTAAAATATGTGAATTCAGCTAGGATGAACTACATTTTACAAACTTCGTTACCTATACATTTCTTGTTAGGGTGGGACACAAGAGAGGTTCTTTTTTTTTTTTTGAGACGGAGTCTCACTCTGTCGCCCAGACTGGAGTGCAGTGGCGTGATCTTGGCTCACTGCAACCTCCACCTCCCGGGTTCAAGCGATTCTCCTGCCTCAGCCTCCTGAGTAGCTGGGATTACAGGCACGTGCCACCATGCCCAGCTAATTTTTTTATTTTTAGTAGAGACGGGGTTTCAATGTGTTGGCCAGGATGGTCTTGATCTCTTGACCTCAAGTGATCTGCCTGCCTCGGCCTCCCAAAGTGCTGGGATTACAGGTGTGAGCCACTGCGCCCAGCTAAGAGAGGTTCTTGTGGGAGATTTGGAGGGCCGAAGTGAAGCGGCAACCATCTTTTAGTTCACATAGTCTGTTTCTTATCTTCAGGTGTACCTGAACTGAAGGAGATAGAGACACAAAAAACCCTTCAAAAAATCAATGAATCCAGGAGCTGGTTTTTTGAAAAGAGCAACAAAATTCATAGATCGCTAGCAAGACTAATAAAGAAGAAAAGAGAGGTGAATCAAATAGATGCAATAAAAAATGATAAAGGGGATATCACCACCGATCCCACAGAAATACAAACTACCATCAGAGACTACTATAAACACCTCTATGCAAATAAACTAGAAAATCTAGAAGAAATGGATAAATTCCTGGGCACATACACCTTCCCAAGACTAAACCAGAAAGAAGTTGAATCCCTGAATAGACCAATAACAGGCTCTGAAACTGAGGCAATAATTAATAGCCTACCAACCAAAAAAAGTCCAGGACCAGACGGATTCACAGCCGAATTCTACCAGAGATACAAGGAGGAGATGGTACCATTCCTTCTGAAACTATTCCAATTAATAGAAAAAGAGGGAATCCTCCCTAACTCATTTTATGAGGCCAGCATCATCCTGATACCAAAACCTGGCAGAGACACAACAAAAAAAGAGAATTTTAGACTAATATCCCTGATGAACATCGATGCAAAAATCCTCAGCAAAATACTGGAAAACCGAATCCAGCAGCACATCAAAAAGCTTATCCACCATGATCAAGTGGGCTTCATCCCTGGGATGCAAGGCTGGTTCAACATATACAAATCAATAAATGTAATCCAGCATATAAACAGAACCAAAGACAAAAACCACACGATTATCTCAATAGATGCAGAAAAGGCCTTTGACAAAATTCAACAGCGCTTCATGCTAAAACTCTCAATAAATTAGGTATTGATGGGATGTATCTCAAAATAATAAGAGCTATTTATGACAAACCCACAGCCCATATCATACTGAATGGGCAAAAACTGGAAGCATTCCCTTTGAAAACTGGCACAAGACAGGGATGCCCTTTCTCACCACTCTTGTTCAACATAGTGTTGGAAGTTCTGGCCAGGGCAATCAGGCAGGAGAAAGAAATAAAGGGTATTCAATTAGGAAAAGAGGAAGTCAAATTGTCCCTGTTTACAGATGACATAATTGTATATTTAGAAAACCCCATCATCTCAGCCCAAAATCTCCTCAAGCTGATAAGCAACTTCAGCAAAGTCTCAGGTTACAAAATCAATGTGCAAAAATCACAAGCATTCTTATACACCAATAACAGAGAGCCAAATCATGAGTGAGCTCCCATTCACAATTGCTTCAAAGAGAATAAAATACCTAGGAATCCAACTTGCAAGGGATGTGAAGGACCTCTTCAAGGAGAACTACAAACCACTGCTCAACGAAATAAAAGAGGACACAAACAAATGGAAGAACATTCCATGCTCACGGATAGGAAGAATCAATAACATGAAAATGGCCATATTGCCCAAGGTAAATTATAGATTCAATGCCATCCCCATCAAGCTACCAATGACTTTCTCCACAGAATTGGAAAAAACTACTTTAAAGTTCATATGAAACCAAAAAAGAGCCCCCATCGCCAAGTCAATCCTAAGCCAAAAGAACAAAGCTGGAGGCATCACGCTACCTGACTTCAAACTATACTACAAGGCTAACCAAAACAGCATGGTACTGGTACCAAAACAGAGATATAGACCAATGGAACAGAACAGAGCCCTCAGAAATAATACCACACATCTACAACCATCTGATCTTTGACAAACCTGACAAAAACAAGAAATGGGGAAAGGATTCCCTATTTAATAAATGGTGCTGGGAAAACTGGCTAGCCATATGTAGAAAGCTGAAACTGGATCCCTTCCTTACACCTTATACAAAAATTAATTCAAGATGGATTAAAGACTTAAATGTTAGACCTAAAACCATAAAAAGTATAGAAGAAAAACCTAGGCAATACCATTCAGGACATAGGCATGGGTAAGGACTTCATGTCTAAAACACCAAAAGCAATGGCAACAAAAGCCAAAATTGACAAATGGGATCTCATTAAACTAAAGAGCTTCTGCACAGCAAAAGAAACTACCATCAGAGTGAACAGGCAACCTACAGAATGGGAGAAAATTTTTGCAATCTACTCATCTGACAAAGGGCTAATATCCAGAATCTACAAAGAACTTACACAAATTTACAAAAAAACCCAAACAACCCCATCGACAAGTGGGTGAAGGATATGAACAGACACTTCTCAAAAGAAGACATTTTTGCAGCCAACAGACACATGAAGAAATGCTCATCATCACTGGCCATCAGAGAAATGCAAATCAAAACCATAATGACATACTATCTCACACCAGTTAGAATGGCCATCATTAAAAAGTCAGGAAACAACAGGTGTTGGAGAGGACATGGAGAAATAGGAACACTTTTACACTGTTGGTGGGACTGTAAACTAGTTCAACCATTGTGGAAGACAGTGTGGCGATTCCTCAGGGATCTAGAACTAGAAATACCATTTGAACCAGCCATCCCATTTCAGGGTATATACCCAAAGGATTGTACATCATGTTGCTATAAAGACACATGCACACATATGTTTATTGCGGCACTATTCACAATGGCAAAGACTTGGAACCAACCCAAATGTCCATCAATGATAGACTGGATTAAGAAAATGTGGCACATATACACCATGGAATACTATGCAGCCATAAAAAATGATGAGTTCATGTCCTTTGTAGGGACATGGATGAAGCTGGAAACCATCATTCTCAGCAAACTATCGCAAGGACAAAAAACCAAACACTGCATGTTCTCACTCATAGGTGGGAATTGAACAATGAGAACACCTGGACACAGGAAGGGGAACATCACACACCGGGGCCTGTCGTGGGGTGGAGGGAGAGGGGAGGGATAGCATTAGGAGATACACCTAATGTTAAATGATGAGTTAATGGATGCAGCACACCAACATGGCACATGTATACATATGTAACAAACCTGCGTGTTGTGCACATGTACCCTAGAACCTAAGGTATAATAAAAAAAAATAAATAAAAAGAGAAAGAATGTTGGAATAAGACTGCTAAAGTACATACAGAAGAAATCCAGAAACTTTGGGTTATGATCTTTTCATTTGCATCGCTACAGGATAAAGTTTATTGGTTGCTATTGGTTTTCTATGGATTAACACTTTTCTTTTTCAGAGTTGTAAGCTACCCTAATCAATAGTAAATAACAAGTCAAACTACAGTACACACCCCTAGAGCGGTGCCACCCAATAGACATGTAATGTAAGCCTCAAATGCAATCAATCATTGTATTTAATTTCACTCAATGTATTCAAATAGTATCATTTAAACATGTGTTGTGGGGCCGGGTCAGGTCACTCAGCACTTTGGGAGGTTGAGGGAGGCGGATCACTTGAGGTCAGAAGTTCAATACCAGCCTGGCCAACATGGTGAAACCCTGTCTATACTAAAAATACAAAAATTAGCCGGTCGTGGTGGTGCACATCTGTAATTCCAGCTACTCGGGAGGCTGAGGCAGGACAATTGCTTGAATCCAGGAGGCAGAGTCTGCAGTGAGCCAAGATGGCTCCACTGCACTCCAGCCTGGGTGACAGAGAGAGACTCCGTCTCAAACAAAACAAAACAAAATAAAACAAAACACATGTGTTGTGGGTTTAATTGTGTTTCCCTAAAATACATGTTAAAATCCTCACCTTCAGTACTTTAGAATATGACCTTATTTGGAAATAGGGTTGTTGCAAATGTAATTAGTTAAGATCAGGTCATACTGGAGTAGGATGGGCGCTTAATCTCTACTGTGATGGGAATCCTTCTAAGACGATGCTATGTGACAGCACAGGGAGAGCACCAAGCGACGACAGAGGCACGTATGAGGCAGCTACAAGCCAAGGAACACCAAGAATTGATGGCCACCATCAGAAGCTAGAAAGCAGGCAGGCAATGGTTCCCCCTTCCAGGTTTCAGAGGGAGCATGGGTTTGCTGGCACCTTGATTTTGGACTTCTAGCTTCCAGAGTTGTACGACAATAAATTTCTGTTGTTTTAAGCCACGCTGTTTGTGCTACTTTGTTATGATAGCCCTAGAAACATGTGATATAAGAATTATTAATGAAAATTCTTTTTTGAGGCAGGTCTCACTCTGTTGCCCAGGTGGGTCATGGTAGCCTTGACCTCCTGGGCTCAAGCCATCCTCCCACCTCAGCCTCCTAAGTAGCTGGGACTACAGGCATGCACCACCATGTCCAGCTAATTTTTAAAATAAAATTTTGTGGAGATGGGGACTTGCACTGTTGCCCAGGCTGCTCTCGAGCTCCTGGGCTCAAGTGATCCTCTCACCTTGGCCTCCCAAAGTGCTAGGATTAGAGGCATGAGCCCCTGTGCCCGGCCTTAATGAAATATTTAACATTTTTTTCTTACTAAGTCTTTGAAATCCAGTGTGTGTTTTGTACCTAACAGCACAGCTCGATTTTGAGTACCCATGTTTTATGTTTAGTAACTGCACGTGGCTAGTGGCTACCGTATTGGACAGCTCAGTTCTTGGAGAATCAGATAATGGGGGAGGCATCTGACTTGCAACACCCAGCACTGAAGGATACGCGGTAATTTCTTTGCACCATTTCAAGTGTTGGCTGCTTTTCCTTCATGTCATCCTCTGCTCACGACAGCTCTGAGACTGAAGGTAGAAGCTGATAAAGGACAGGCTAATAAAGAGGTGACAGTGTGATAAAGGCTCTGAAAGAACAGGGCTATCTGAGGTTTTGAGCTCAGGGGCCACGATCTCCACTTGCCTATAAGATATCTGTTTAGCCGGGCGCAGTGGCTCATGCCTGTAATCACAGCACTTTGGGAGGCCGAGGTGGGTGGATCACCTGAGGTCAGGAGTTCGAGACCAGCTTAGCCAACATGGCGAAACCCTGTCTCTACTAAAATTACAAAAATTAGCTGGGCGTGGTGGCAGCGCCTGTAATCTCAGCTACGTGGGAGACTGAGACAGGAGAATTGCTTAAACCAAGGAGGCGGAGGTTGCAGTGAGCCGAGATCGTACCATTGCACTCCAGCCTGGATGACAAAAGCAAAACTCCATCTCAAAAAAAAAAAAAAAATTGTTGCTTAAATTTGAAAAATGGGCCCTTCTCAGTGGATGATTTAGAAAAAGCACACATGTCTGGGTATCTCCTGCTGGGATAAAGGATTTGGAAGGCACAAATTGGTTGGATTTTCGTTTCTACTGACACCTTGGCTAGGTGCCCTTGTACAGTGCACAACCGGCACAACTGCACTGGCAGGCCCCACTGGGGATGGCAACCAACCTCAGATGGTGGAGGGATGGGACCTCCTCCACTCTGGTAAGAAGGAGAGTAGGGGAGAAAGGAGGCATGGTCAGGAGCAGGACAGAGTGAGAGGCATGGAAGGAGGTTGTGGGGTTTCTGTTTGACAGCATTATTTTCTCTGTGAAGGAGAGAAGCCAAGTGTGAGTGAGGCTCAGAGATTTGGTGGGAGAGGCAGATCTGACACTGAATCCATGAAGACGGCAAAAGGATGGACTAGGAAAAATCAAGAGTTGTTGAGCAATGTTAAGGCCTGAACAGACTTTTCTCTGGAGCGGAAGGCAGGAGTGGGTGAAAGTTAGGAAGTGGGCAGTGAGCTCACTGGGGACATGGATCACTCTGAGGCGCAGGCTGGGAGAGGAGGACGACCATCTGTTGGCCAGGCATAAGACAAAACCCCAGCCGCTTGCTTTCATCAAATAATGCGCACTAGCTCTTATGGTAAGAACTTTTACAAATACTAAGTCATTTGATTCTTAATTGTTACTTCCACTTGGCATATGAGAAAAGCAAAGCACAGAAAGGTTAAGTGACTTGCTCAAAGTCACACAGCTGGCTAGTGGCAGAGCCAGGATTTGAACCTGGACCATCTGGCTCTAGAAGCTACATGGGAAGGATGGTCTGGGTCCTAACTCTTAACTGTGGGAGGCCTTTCCTGATTTTTCTACCAAGGGTGTCTCTGAGGTCATGGAATCAGTTTCAAGGGTGAGCCAAGGTGATTTTTTGTTTCTTTTGAGACAAGGTCTCAGTCTGTCACCCAGGTTCTAGCCTGGAGTGTGGTGGCATGATCATGGCTCACTGCAGCCTCGACCTCCGCAGCTCAGATGATCCTCCCACCTCAGCCTCCTGAGTAGCTGAGACTACAGGCTCGGGCCATCACGCCTGGCTATTATTTTGTCTTTTTAGTAGAGACATGGTCTGGCTATGTTGCCCAGGTTGGTCTTCAACTCCTGGGCTCAAACTATACTCCTGCCTTGGCATGCTAAAATGTTGGGATTAAAGGTGTGAGCCACTGCACCTGACCAAGGTGGTTTTTTTTTTAAAAGCTCAAAGGTACTCATTTGTTTTGTTGGGGTGAGTCTGAACATTCTCACATCCAAATGCTATGTGCCGTCAGGGAGAATCTGGGAGCCGTGGGTAGCTCAGCTTTCTGCTCCAGGCTTAGAGACAGACCTGGCTGGCCTGGAGAATGGGAAGTGGAGGTCAGGGAGTGACACTCATCTTTATTTCTATTATGGAGAGGGGGGGGGCTTTAGATTTTGAAATCCTGTGTATACACGCAGAACCCTTCATCTGAGAGAAACCATTTTTCCATTTTCATTTTTTTAAGTTAGAAAAACGTGCCAAAATCAGCTTTATAACAATCTCAGTCCTCGTTTTATAAAACACATTTCCTTGAAGCTACCAGCAGTATCACTTCTGTCAGCCATCAGCCTTGCAAAAGGAATAAACCCATAATCACCCCTCTATGGGAGTGAGGTCCATTTCAATGACGATCTAATATAAAGGAGTGAACTCAGCATTAAAAAAAATCAGAATCCCTAGGAACCCTAGAGGCAAATGGCAAAGGAAATTTGATCTGATGAAAACTGAGATCTTTTTTTAAAAGAAAGTCTTTTGTTTTTTTGGGGGGGGGGAAGACAAAACTACATTTTAAAAATGGTAGGTTGGTTTATCAACAAATCTCTATTTAAGAAATTGAATATGGAACTGATTATACAGCTGGCAAAACCCTCACTATTTCGACACATTCTGAGATGGTCTAATTTAGTGAAAGGTCTGGATCAGTTGGAAGCCAATGATTTTGGAGCTCTGACTGGCTTCATTACCTTTGACTCAGAGGAAGCCGAGAAACTGATTCCTTCAGTGACCTCCAGAGTCAAGAGAAACTTATCCCAATGAGCTGATAAAGACAGTTTCTTAACATATATATATTTATTCATTTTTCTTTTATAGAAATGGGGTTTTACCAATTAAAGATTTAAACGTTAGACCTAAAACCATAAAAACCCTAGAAGAAAACCTAGGCATTACCATTCAGGACATAGGCGTGGGCAAGGACTTCATGTCCAAAACACCAAAAGCAATGGCAACAAAAGCCAAAATTGACAAATGGGATCTAATTAAACTAAAGAGCTTCTGCACAGCAAAAGAAACTACCATCAGAGTGAACAGGCAACCTACAACATGGGAGAAAATTTTCGCAACCTACTCATCTGACAAAGGGCTAATATCCAGAATCTACAATGAACTCAAACAAATTTACAAGAAAAAAACAAACAACCCCATCAAAAAGTGGACGAAGGACATGAACAGACACTTCTCAAAAGAAGACATTTATGCAGCCAAAAAACACATGAAGAAATGCTCATCATCACTGGCCATCAGAGAAATGCAAACCAAAACCACTATGAGATATCATCTCACACCAGTTAGAATGACAATCATTAAAAAGTCAGGAAACAACAGGTGCTGGAGAGGATGTGGAGAAATAGGAACACTTTTACACTGTTGGTGGGACTGTAAACTAGTTCAACCATTGTGGAAGTCAGTGTGGCGATTCCTCAGGGATCTAGAACTAGAAATACCATTTGACCCAGCCATCCCATTACTGGGTATATACCCAAAGGACTATAAATCATGCTGCTATAAAGACACATGCACACGTATGTTTATTGCGGCACTATTCACAATAGCAAAGACTTGGAACCAACCCAAATGTCCAACAATGATAGACTGGATTAAGAAAATGTGGCACATATACACCATGGAATACTATGCAGCCATAAAAAATGATGAGTTCATGTCCTTTGTAGGGACATGGATGAAATTGGAAACCATCATTCTCAGTAAACTATCGCAAGAACAAAAAACCAAACACCGCATATTCTCACTCATAGGTGGGAATTGAACAATGAGATCACATGGACACAGGAAGGGGAATATCACACTCTGGGGACTGTGGTGGGGTCGGGGGAGGGGGGAGGGATAGCATTGGGAGATATACCTAATGCTAGATGACACGTTAGTGGGTGCAGCGCACCAGCATGGCACATGTATACATATGTAACTAACCTGCACAATGTGCACATGTACCCTAAAACTTAGAGTATAATAAAAAAAAAAAACATTAAAAAAAAAAAAAAAAAAAAAGAAATGGGGTTTTACCATGTTGCCCAGGCTGGTCTTGAACTCCGGTGCTCAAGTGATCTTCTTGCCTCAGCCTCCCAATGCTGGGATTACAGATGTGAGCCACCACGCCCAGCCCAAAGAGAGTTTCTAATTAGCAGATCAATTTCAAAATATTAACGACTTCTTAAGTTTTTCTCTGTTTGTAATATAGGAGGAACTTCCCCATCGGTGGCCTGGTCCCTTTGGTGTTTGCACAGTTGAGGAAAGAGTCTTAACCCTGCCCCACAAAACCCATGGTCACCACCACACATATGATATACTGATGTGGAAACTGAGGCTCAGGGGGAGGGAGTGCCTTGCTCAAGGTTTCAAGGCTGAACTGTGGCTGGAACACATCTCCTTATGACTCCCAGTCCAGTGCTCTTTGTAATGCATGTCCAAGTACTTGGTATATGGTAATTACATTATTAATAAAAAAGAGAATGTTGGAAAATTGTTCTTTGCTGCATTTTAGACATTTTCCCTGTGATAATTACAACTACCAATTTGGCCTTTCTGTGTAATAATAACCACATATATGCAGCTATTGTTATGCACTAGGTACCATTCTAAATACTGCATTTATCTTCACTTAATTCATCCTGTCAATAACCTTGCGATATATACTTATTATCTCCAGTGTTTGTTAGTTTGTTTGTTTTTTTTGTTTTGAGATGGAGTGTCACTCTTGTCTCCCAGGCTGGAGTGCAATGGTGCGATATCGGCTCCCTGTAACGCCCACCTCCTGGGTTCAAGCGATTCTCCTGTCTCAGTCAGTCCCTCAAGTATCTGGGATTACAGGTGTCTGCCACCATGCTTGGCTAATTTTTGTATTTTTAGTAGAGATGGGGTTTCACCATGTTGGCCAGGCTGGTCTCAAGCTCCTGACCTCAGGTGATCTACCCCCCTCGGCCTCCCAAAGTGCTGGGATTACAGGCGCGAGCCACTGTGCCTGGCCTCCAGTTTATCTATAGGAAAACTGACGCCCAGATAAGATGAAGTAAAATGCCTAACACGGGGACTCCCACAGTTTCTCCGTTCCCAATGCCTTCAGTGTCTCAGTAACTTTTTCATGGTGCCCCAAGGCCTAAAGAAATACCTAATAGTTTTGTTTATTAAGTAATTAGGTGCAGACAACTTACAACTCTTTATGCCCTAACAGCTGAGTCACTGTTTGAAAAAATAACTCACATAAATTGAAACAAAAAATAATTTTCTTCCATCTCAACCAGAATGACATAGTCATGGGATGTATGCATATGCCTGTTGGGCACTGCACAGCTTCTCAAAACTTGAATCAGATTGGACGTTGCTTCCTTCATTTTCTGTTCTACATTGATTTTCACGTGATGTTTGCTTTTTATAACTGTAACTACAGAAAACCCAGCTTTTCAAAGATATGATGTCACTGAAAGCGATGTAGCACAAGCTAATGTTGAAACAGTGAACTGCCTTGAGCTGTAGTTTGTGGGTATCTGACAAATATTATGTTTCTTTAAAACAGGTAAGATAATAAATGTTCCCCTCCTGTGTGTGCTGCAGTGCCTAGGAGTGCTATTTTATTTATTTATTTATTTTAGACAAAGTCTTACTCTACTGCCTAGACTGGAGTGCAGTGGTGCAATCTCAACTCACTGCAACCTCCATCTCCCAGGTTCAAGCGATTCTCTTGCCTCAGCCTCCCAAGTAGCTGGGACTACAGATGTCCACCACCATACCTGGCTAATTTTTGTATTTTTAGTAGAGACAGGGTTTCACTGTGTCCACCAGGCTGGTCTTAAACTCCTGACCTCAAGTGATCTGCTGCCTTGGGCTCCCAAAGTGCTGGGATTACAGGGGTGAGCCATTGCACTTGGACCCTAGGAGTGTTATCTTCATCTTCTTGGGCTGCTAGAACAAAATACCATAAACTGGGTGGCTTAAACAGCAGAGATTTACTTTTTCACAGTTCTGGAGGCTAGAAGTCCATGATCGAGATGCCAGCAAAGTTGAGTACTGGGGAGGGCTCTCTTCCTGGCTTGCAGATGGCTGCCTTCTCACTGTGTCCTGGCATGGCAGAAAGAGAGAGTGATCTTTCTTCCTATTTTCATAAGGCCACTAATCCCATCATGAGAGCCCCACCCTCATGACCTAATCTAACTGTATTTGCCTCCCAAAGGCCCCGTTTCCAAACACCATCACTTTGCAGGGTAGGGCTTCAAAATATGAATTTTGCGGGATGCAAACATTCAGTTCATCACAGATGTCTTGACACACAACTTGGGGACTGTGGGTCTACAAGAAAGGGCTACTGAGAACAGGAACTTGAACCCAGTAGTCTAGATCCTAAGCTTCTATGGTTGACACTAGGTTAGGTGGTTTTGTCCAGTGCACCCCATCCAATAGGGCTCACCCTCTAGGAAATAGACTTATTCATTCAGCAGATGTTTTATAAGCTGCCACTCCATGCCAGCCCTTGTGCTGGGCTGGGGTGAGGAAGGGACAAAGGGTCAAAGGAATGGCCAGAGAATCCATGGTGGAGCTGGTAGTTCTGGGAAAGAAGGGGCAGGAGAGAGAGACAATTCTTTACAAATTTTTGCTCAGCAGCCCAGGGTTGTAATTTGTCCCAGAGAATGATCTGATCCAATTCAGCCACAGTCTGGTCTCCACCTTTAAATGTTGGAAACTGCATAAATCAGCACATTTTGCTCAAAGCAGAGTCTATATACAGCATTGCCAGGCTGCTTGCCATAATTAGGCCTCCAGCAGTGATTGTTTTTGCTCCTTGTGTTTTATCACCAGCCTCGGAGGGGAAGGGAAGGGGTGTGATCAGGGTTGTGACGTTCGTGTGCAACTCTAACACATGAGAGGTTTGGGGGCAAGAGCACAGATGGAGGCTCTGGTCTGTAGCTCCTCCTTTTCTCCTCCCATCCCCATCTTTGTCTGTACCACAAAGGGTCTTCCTGCATGCTGTGGTCAGTCCACTCTCCATCTCCAAGCCCTTCTCACCTCCATCATCCCCCCAACAAATAGCCTCCTTTAGGCTCTTTGAGCTTGAGAGTGCACACACTGAGGGCAGTCCATCGTTGGGAGGAAGGACCCAAAGAAAAATGATGTGAGTCCTAGAGGCAGGCTCAGGACCATTTCGGCAGGTCCTACCTGTGCCCCTTCCCCTTCCTGGGCCATGCAGCAGTGACCAGGAAGGTGGGCTTATGCTCTTGGTCTTACGAATTCCATGCCCTGTGGGCGGGGCATAGCTATAGGAAGGCCAGAGAAGGGCCCTCTAAATAGGGGCACAAGGCAGGGAGGTCCTGGTCGCTCAAGTCTAAGGTGGTTCTCTTTGTGTGCAAAGACAGAGAAGCATAGGGGTCTCAAAATCTGACCCTGTCACACTGCCAGCAGGGCTGGGCCTCTCAGAATTCTAGGAGTCGCCTGAGTGAAGCCAGGCCTGTTTGGAATTCTGGGAGCAGCGAGCATCACCCTGATTGGAGGTGTGATGTTCTGCATCTACTTATTAGCTTGCTGATTGAGATAGTTGTTTGTCTGGGTTTGGTCAGTTTCTAGGGGAGATGAATTAAATTCTCTAAATAATAATTGTAGATTTATTTCTCTATGCAATTCTGTAATTTGACATCTTATTATTATTATTATTATTTTTGAGACGGGTCTCACTCTGTCACCCAGGCTGGAGTGCAGTGGCATGATCTCAGCTCACTGCAACTTCCACATCCTGGGCTCAAGAGATCGTCCTATCTCAGCCTCCCAAGTAGATGGGACCACAGGCACTCTCCACTATGCCTGGCTAATTTTTCTTTTTTTCTTTTTTTTTTTTTCTGTAGAGATGGGGTTTCACCATGTTGCCCAGCCTGGTCTTGAACTCCTGACCTAAAGTGATCCACCCCCCTCGGCCTCCCAAAGTGCTGGGATTACAGGTGTAAGCCACCTCGCCCAGCCTGATATCTTATGTATTTTGAAGCTACAGTTTTTCGTGAAATTATATGCTCATGGGTGGCTATTTGAAAATCTGTAATTCTTCTTATGACATTATTGTTTGCATTAACTTATATTTGTCAGGTATTAGGATGATCACCTTAGCTTTCTTTTGGTTCATATTTGTCTGCTATATCCTTTTTAATCCTTCTGTCTTCAATCTCCCTGTATCCTTTTGTTTAAGTGCTTGCTCGTAAATAGCACAGTACTGGATCTTACATTGTTCATCAAATCTTAGACTCCCTATCTTTTGCTTGATGGCAATAACCTATTTATCCTTGTTATGAATACTGTTATGTTGTGCCTATATCATAATGAACCTCTGATTTAAAAGCAAACAGCTGGCTGGGTGTGGTGGCTCATGCCTGTAATCCCAGCACTTTGGGAAGTTGAGGCGGGCAGATCACCTGAGATCAGGCATTCAAGTCCAGCCTGGCCAACACGGTGCAACCCTGTCTCTATTAAAAACAGAAAAATTAGCCGGGCTTGGTGGCACATGCCTGTAGTCCCAGCTACTCAGGAGGCTGAGGCAGGAGAATTGCTTGAACCCAGGAGGCTGAGGTTGCTGTGAGCCGAGATCGCACCACCACGCTCCAGCCTGGGTGACAGAGCAAGACTGTCTCAAAAAAACAAAAAACAAGACAAAACAAAGCAAAAAAGCAAACTGCTAATGACAGAATTGGAATATCACCATTTTACAGTCCCCGGTGACATAATGGATGCAGGTAATGATTGCCAATGGCAGCTGACAGCACAAGAAGAGACCAAAGCTGAATCTGAACAAACCTCCGGATTCAACTCCAACGGACCGAATCTACAACTCAGAAAATCTGAGGAACACGTGAAATTATATGACAGGGATGCAGACAACAAAATCCAGACTATGGGACATGTCAGGACAGACAACCAGGTTTTCTCAACAAATGAATTGCAAGGAAAAAAGACAGAAAGGAGGGGAGGCATACAGAGGAAGAGGCACTCAAAAACAGTGGGCTAGTTGCAGTGAGTGGACTTTATGAGGATCATGATTAATAAACTGTAGAAAAACATTTAAAAATTTATGAGACTGTATTATTTGATGATAAGAAATAAGTATTATTTTGTGGAATATGGTATTGTGGTTGTATTGTTAAAAATACTTATGTTACATATTGAAACATTTAGGAGTGAAATGATATAATGCCCAGGATTTAATCTGATTTGAAATACATCGGGGAGGAGAAAGTGCAGGGTGGTTAGAGAGGAAGTCGGATTGGCCATGAGCGAATTGGTGAAGTGGAACGATGGGTATCTGGGAGTTTATGACAGCTCTCTCTACTTTTGTACATATTTCAAGTTTTCCTTAATAACATATAAAAAAAATTGTGCATGGGGAAGTAAATAGCTGATCTGCTTTTTTGGGCCCGGGGCCTCCCCCACCCCATGCCCCCTTCAGAGGCCGGAGGCTGGCTGGCATCAGCTGCGTTCCCCGAAGGCGTCAGGAGGTGGCGCCACTGCTCCTCTGCCGGCTGCAACTCCGCGCCCCCAGCGCCCCCCACCGCCCCCGCCTCAGAGGCCGCCAGGGTTCCTGCTCTTCCCTACAACGCAGGGTGCGGGGAGGGAGACCTGAGGTCCAGCGCAGATTCACCCGTTTCAGCTCGTGCTCCAGGCTCTCCTAACCCTCATCTTTCAGGGCTGTGGCTGCCTGTGATGCACCTGTCCAGGCTTGGGGAAGGGACCTTGTCCTGGCCCCATGAACCCAGCCTAGGCTCCCGAGCTTCACCCTGACCTTGCGGTCTCCCTTCCATGTCCTCTGGCCTCCCCCACACCTGGAGGCGGTTAGCCTCAGTCCCCCGCAGCCCAGTTGCCCAACACCCATCTCCCGACCCCAGACTCCAATTACAGGGCTGGGCGGGTGCCCCCTCTGGCTGAGTCTTCAGGTGTGAGGCCCTCAGTAGGAGCCAGAACCATGCCTGTGGGTGGCTGTGGCTGTGGCCTTGAGCTGAGCCAGCCCGGGCCAGGGAGTCAGTAAGCCCAGGTCCCAGAGCAGCCTCCCTTGACTATGCCATGCCAGTCTAAAACATGCTGAGGCTGGAATGTGGAATAATGGTTTTCTAACCTTTTTTCTTTTTGAGACAGAGTCTCTGTCACCCAGGCTGCAGTCCGGTGGCGCAGTCTTGTCTCTCTGCAACCTCCACCTCCCGGGTTCAAGCGATTCTCCTACTTCAGCCTCCTGAGTACCTGGGATTACAGGCATGCACCACCACACCTGGCTAATTTTTGCATTTTTAGTAGAGACAGGGTTTCATCATGTTGGCCAGGCTGGTCTCAAACTTCTGGTCTCAAGTGACCCACCCACCTCGGCCTCCTGAACTGCTGGGATTACAGGCATGAGCCACCACACATGGCCGGTTTTGTAACTTTTTAAAGGAGTGGAACTCCATTTCTAGAAGCCCAGTATGTAAGATCAACAGGAGTGAAGATTCCTGGCTCTATCTGGGAGAAATTCAGTCCCTTAGGCCTCCTCTGGCCCCGCCCCCAGCCCGGGGTGAAAAACACCAGGCTTCCTGGACTCTGGGCTCCTTACGTTTCTGGCTAGCTGTCAGCCCAAGAGTTCCTACAAGCCCGTCCAAGGCTCCAGTAAGTCCTCCTGGCACTCATTCAATCCCTTCATTCATATATTCATTTATTCAACAAACATTTACTAAGCTTATACTCTATGCTAAACTTTCAGGGAGACAAGCGACCAAGATGGAGACTCTGTCCTCTGTGAGCCCACAGCCTGGTGAGCAGACACACAATCTGGGCCTGCTGTCCAAGCAGGTGGACCCCAATTCAGGGAGCACAAAGCAGAGGGTGGCTGCTGGCTCAAGGTAGTCAGGGAAGACTCCTCGGAGGAGGTGACATCCGGGTGGTCTTGAGGAAAGTCAAGGGTCCGGAAGACAGTGAGAAGCTTGCTTTCTTGATGCAGCCCTTTAGAGAGGACTCCCAGAAATGACAGCGGGGAGCGAGAACTCCAGACTGTGATTTGGGTGGAGACCAAGTGCTTCCTTGTAGATCCCCCGCCTGGCGCGTTGCATGAGCATTTATCTATCGGGCCGCCCACGCAGATGAAGCAGCGAGTCACTACTCCTTCGGAAACACCACTACAGGATGTCTGGAAGGAAATCTACTTCCCTCACAGAGGGAAATTGCCAATAATCAGTGTTGCTGAGAACACGAGTAGCTTCATGGGCCCCAAATGAAAGACTGAATCCCAAGTGTTCCTTCCAAGTGCTGGGGGGTGAATCAGTAACAAGGTGCCAAGATTGTAAGGCCCCCCTCCTTGGGCAGAATGCCTCTCCATCCACAAATAGAAACTTGCTGAGAATTTAATTAAGAACAGTGTACATAAAACTCACTGTTCCTAAGTAAACAAATATTAAGCAAGATACTTCACTTTCATGTTATGGGCTCTTGAGGGGTGAGAAAATCGGGACAGGAGGGGTGGGTGGGGAGCTCTTGAGGGGGAAGAGGAAGAAAGATTCAGACTGAGAAGAAAATAGATTCCAGGTTGGGGAGGGGAGAGAAGACGAAAGCCAGACATACACATTGCAGAGGGAACAGAGGAGAGGCAGATGGAAGGTTCTAACTTCTTCTCTGTCCAGACTTTTTTTTGTTTTTTCTTTTTTTTTTTTTTGAGATTGAGTCTCCCTCTGTTGCCCAGGCGGGAGTGCAGTGACGCAATCTCAGTTTACTGCAACCTCCACCTCCCGGGTTCAAGGGATTCTCCTGTCTCAGCCTCCCAAGTAGCTGGGATTACAGGCACACACTACCAGGCCTGGCTAATTTTGTGTTTTTAGTAGAGACGGGGTTTCACCATGTTGGCCAGGCTGATTTTGAACTCCTGATCGCTGGTGATCCACCCATCTCGGCCTTCCAAAGCCATGAGCCACTGGGCCCGGCCCAGAGTTTTCTTTTGTCTTAGATCTCCACTTTCTTGCTTAGTTTTCATTAGGTTCTGATGCCTGTTAGTTGGAAACAAATTCCTCTTATCACACCAGGTTTTCCTCTTGGGCTTTGTAGCTGGCCCTGCTCACTCACCCCGACTCATGCCTTTGCCACTTGCTGTCCCTGTACATGTAAGAAGGTGTCTCCACTTGAGGATTTCCTCTCAGCCCTGTGCTTGGAGGGCTGGGAACACTGGGGAGTTAATGGCTCTGGGAGTAGGCAATGACAGATGGGAGTTGGAGTATAAATACCTCACCTCTCCTTCCCCTTAGGTGGATTAATTCAGAGCCAAGTCTTCCATACTGTTCCCCAGAGCTACCCAGTAGGATTGAGCTCTCATTGCCCACGGTGGTAACTGGACTGACGGCATGCTATTAATTGGCTTCCATCCTTTCTGTCTTTCTTTCCCTCTTCCTTGCTGCTGCTTCCGGGAGTCACCTCCCAAATAAATTACTTACACTCAAATTCTTGTCTCAGGGTCTGCTTCTGGAAGAATTCAACTCTCAGAAAGGCTTCATATACCATATTAAAATTTTATTTTGGGGATCTTATGACCCTCCTTACCCCCAGAGTTTAGTTAATCCTGTTTGCAATGCAGAACGACTAACATCTTTTAATTGTTAAAGTTTTGCATTGAAGACTTATTTTCTTATTGTGTTTTGAAGGTTTACTGTCCCTGAATAATGGCTTAAGGTTTACAAAGTTGCTTTTCAACTAGCAAGTCTGATGTTTCCCTTTCCAAACCTAAGTGATAGGGTTTGGCTCTGTGTCCTCACACAAATCTCAGGTTGAACTGTAATCCCCATATGTTGGAGGAGGGACCTGGTGGGAAGTGATTGAATCACGGGGGCGCAAGTCCCCCTTGCTGTTCTCATGATGGTGAATTCTGACAAAATCTGGTTGCTTAAAAACGTGTGGCACTTCCCCATTTGCTCTCTCTCTCAGTCTTGCTCTGTTGTGGTAAGAGGTGCTTGCTTCCCCTTTGCCTTCTGCCATGATTGTAAGTTTCCTGAGGCCTCCTAGCCATGCTTCCTGTACAGCCTGTGGGGCTGCAAGTCAATTAAACTTCTTTTCTTCTTACATTACCCAGTCTCAGGTAGTTTTTTTGTAGCAGTGTGAGAACGAACTAATACATTAAGATTGTATCTGGACCCAATCCTTTGTGTCACCTACAATGAGAGTTACTAGAAATAAGGGTGTAAATCCTCAGCTATGCTATCATTCATTTATTTTATTCATGATGTAAGTTTGTATTGAGAAAGCGTGTGCCATGTGCCAGGCATTCCTGCCCCATGAACTTGCTGTCTTGGGTAGCTCGAGATTGGATTTTGGGTGAGGTTTTAGTTTACTTGGTTATTCACTCATTATTTACTGAGAGTCTTTGTGTGCCTGGCACGGTGTTGGATCCTGGGCATACAGAAATGGGTAAGGCCTGGCCTATATTTCCCAGAAGACTGGAAGCCACAAGGCTGCAATGGGTATATAAATAATAGTGGGTTAGTTTGCTTATGATAATGGCCTCTGGCTACATCCATGTTGCTGCAAAGGACGCGAATCCGTTCTTTTTTATGGCTGTGTAGTATTCCATGGTGTATATGTACCACATTTTCTTTAATGTCATGCAACATACCCTTCTAACAAACCTGCCCATGCATCCCCTGAATCTAAAATAAAATTGAAAAAATAAAAATATTGGGAACGTTTCCTGTGATGGATGCATCTAGAGCCAGCAGGGGTGGAGTGAAGGAGAGAGGGGTTAATTCTCTCTTAGGGGCCTGGGAGGCTCAGGAAGTCTTCATGGAGGAGGGACCATGAGCAGAGCCTGAAACATTCTAGGGAGAGGAAAGGATGTGGCAGGAGCAGGGGTGTGGCAGCTCTTTAAGGACTGGGGCTAGTGAGGCCGCAGCTGGAGTGCCAGCAGGTGAGGAACTGGTGTGTCCAGTGTGGGAGATTCTTTGGTTTTAAGATCTGGGCTATGCCGGAAGTAGTGTGGCACAGTGGTTAGGGCACAAGGGATTTGCGTTTGCAAGCTCTTGTCCATAGAGCTTGTGCCCCTAACCACTGTGCCACACCGCTTCCCAGCACAGCCTAGATTTTTTTTTTTTTAAACGGAGTTTTACTCTTGTTGTCCGGGCTGGAGTGCCTTTTTTTTGTTTGTTTGTTTTTGTTTTTGTTTTTGTTTTTTTTTTTGGAGAGGGAGTTCTTCTCTGTCGCCCAGGCTGGAGTGCAGTGGTGCCATCTTGGCTCACTGCAACCTCTGTCTCCCGGGTTCAGGCGATTCTCCTGCCTCAGCCTCCTGAGTAGCTGGGATTATAGGCATGCAACACCATGCCCAGCTAATTTTTTGTATTTTTAGTAGAGATGGGGTTTCACCATGTTGGCCAGGCTGGTCTTGAACTCCTTCCTGACCTCAAGTGATCCGCCCACCTTGGCCTCCCAAAGTGCTGGGATTACACATGTGAGCCATTCCACCCGGCCTCTGAGCCTAGATTTTAATACCAGAGAATCTCCCATGCTGGACACACCAGCGCACACCTGCTTGCACTCTGGCTCTAGTCTTGCTAGTCCCAGTCTCTGAGTCCTGCCTTTCTGAACTTCAGTTTACTCATCAGTATTCGATAGGGGATAGACTACCTCCTGCATAGGGTTGTTGTGACAGTTAAGTGAAGGAAGCCTAGCACAGTCCCTAGGATATTGTGAGTTCTCTCTCTCTCTTTTTTTTTTTTTGAGACAGAGTTTCGCTCTTGTTGCCCAGGCTGGAGTGCAATGGCGCAGTCTCAGCTCACTGCAACCTCCGCCTCCTAGGTTCAAGCAATTGTCATGCCTCAGCCTCCCAAGTAGCTGGGATTACAGGCACCCACCACCATGCCCGGCTAATTTTTGTATTTTTAGTAGAGACGGAGTTTCACCGTGTTGGCCAGGATGGTCTCGAACTCCTGACTTCAGGTGATCCGCCCACCTCGACCTCCCAAAGTGCTGGGATTACAGGCGTGAGCCACTGCGCCCGGCCTGTGAGTTCTCAATCAAAGGACATTGTTTGTTAGTAATTTGCACCCAGTCATCTTGGTTAAAAATGTTTAGATACACAAATACTCCCCACAGTGTTGCCATTGCCTATAGTCGTCAGGACAGTAACATGCCGAACAGTTTGTAGCCTGGGAGCAACAGGCTATAGCATATAGCTTAGGTGCATAGGAGACTATACTATCTAGGGTTGCATAAATACATTCTCTGATGTTTACACAACAACGAAATTGCCTAACACATTTCTCATAACCTATCCCCATCATTAAGTGACACATGACTGTATTTGTATCTACATTACCTGGGGCTTGAGAAACATCTTTGTAAAAGAGACTTGACTGCCCAGGGCAACGAGGAGCAGAAGTGGACTAAACTGGGACAAAAGGATGCCCCTAAATGTGGCCGTGTGTGTCTCCGTGGGAGAGTTGCGTAATTTCCATCATCACCATCCCGGCAGTTCCTGGAATTCATCTTTTGATACCTGGGCAGGGAAGCGGGGGAAGGGGCTCCACCTGATGCCTTCTCCCCACCCCCATGGGGAATTCTTGGTGCTTTGCACTGGGGGATGGTGCCTGTCTGGTGAGCATGGGGACAGACGGGACTGACTGGCAGTACTCCAAACTTCTCACTCGCCAAAAGGCCCACGTCTCACCCTTTTCAGGAGCATCTGCAGTGATGTTCTCAGAGAAGTTGGAGACCTCCCAAATACCCACCCATTCTGGTGTCTCTCTGCATGGAGAACCAGCAGATGGACAGTGAGACCCCCTCTGCCAAGGACTTGGAATACGGCTCTGCTTTAACAGTTTGGGGACACCCCCACCCCATGAAATTTTCTCAGACTTGGGAGAAGAAAGGGACCAGAGAGAGGGAGAGCTAGGACAGCGCTATATTTGTGTAGATGGGGAAACTGAGGCTCAGAGATGTGAAGGGAGTAGCTCAGAATTACATAGTTGGTCAGTTTCCAGGCAGGCTTTTCTCTCCGTGGTTGGTTTACTTTCTACACTCCTTGAGGTAACTTTCCCCACCTACCTGTGATCTGCCAGCCAAAAGGTGTTGCCAGGTTCACCCCAAGTCCTCGCCCCTCACCTCAGCCAGATGCTCCTAGTTCTGTGCCTTTAGAGAAACACAAGGCTCTCATTGAACATTTATCCCTCCCTCTCTTCACCTAGCAAAAGAGCATGTATGCTGTCTTTGCCTCAGGCACTTTTCATTGTTGTGGATTCAGTGGTGAATATGGTGGGGGTTAATTTGGAAGCGGTGGGGGGAGTCTGGAGTCACAGCTTTTCAAGTATTTCTTCACTCTTTCCTCCAAAATACCCGCATTTCTTTGTCTCTTAAACATATCTCCAACCTTTAGTAACTTGCAGTCCCTTGACTCACAATGTTTTCCCTTCCTCCTTCCCATGTGGAATCTTGCCATCAGCTTGAGGCATGGTGGGGAGATTCTAGTGATAACTTCTGGGGCCAAGGGATCCCATATGGCTCTGGTTTTCAAGGAGACTAGCACTATCTTCAGAGGCCACAGGTCATGGACGAGGTGGGCAGGAACTTTCCAGAACACACCTCTCTGAGTTGAGGGTGAAGCTTGCATGGTTTATTTCCCCCTTGTCTCCTGCATGTTGTGAAATGTTATTCTTACCCTTGGGTGGCTGTAATAGTGAAAGGGACGTTTTCTTGTTTGAGTCAGATCTCTTTGGGTTGTAAGTGAAAGAAACTTGCATGGAAGTGGTAGAACAACATTGCGACCAATAGCTCTGGAGCATGAAATCTCAGTTTCAACCCTCATAGGGAGGGACAGATTCAATTCTCGCTTTGTCCCATGTCCAGAATTTCAGGACAGGGAGTAATTGGTTCAACTTAGGTCAAGCTCCCTTGGCCACCACGAGCCAAACAGCTGTGGCTGGAGGAATGAGGTCATGGGATACAGAATCGTTGCTTCTATAGTAACTGTGTAAATGGTGGGGAAGGTTCCTAGAGAGGGTCCCCAGAAAAGAGGGGAGCTGGGTAGGTAAAGGTTCATTCAGGATGCTCATTTGGGAGTGGGTCTGGAGACACAGTGTCTTTGCCCCTAATGTGCTCAGTTTGGCCTCATTAGCATCTAGTAGGTTTGATGATCCTCTTTAGGCTCAGACTCTTCTCTTTCTTACCTCATACCCCCAAAGGGCCACGGCAACCACAAAAGCGGCTGTTTTCACATGCGTCCGTGTGAAGAGACCACCAAACAGGCTTTGTGTGAGCAATAAAGCTTTTTAATCACCTGGGTGCAGGCGGGCTGAGTCCGAAAACAGAGTCAGCGAAGGGAGATAGGGGTGGGGCCATTTTATAGGATTTGGGTGGGTAAAGGAAAATTAGTCAAAGGGGGCTGTTCTCTGGCGGGCAGGGGCGGGGGTCACAAGGTGCTCAGTAGGGGAGCTTCTGAGCCAGGAGAAGGAATTTCACAACGTTAATCGCTCGGTTAAGGTGGGGCAGGAACAAATCACAATGGTGGAATGTCATCAGTTAAGGCAGGAATTGGCCATTTTCACTTCTTTTGTGATTCTTCACTTGCTTCGGGCCATCTGGACGTATATACGTGCAGGTCACAGGGGATATGATGGCTTAGCTTGGGCTCAGAGGCCTGACAGCTGTGGCATTGTGGACTTTGTCTTCGTGGTGCTCGTGGTACGAGAGAGTCAGCCTGAAGTCCAGTCCAGGCTTTCCTTTTCCCTGCTGCCTTGTGTTCAAGGAGGCAAGGCAGAGCAGAAAGAGCTGGCCTCTGGTGTTATACTGAGCCCATTTCAAGTCCTAGCTCTGCCATTGCTATATCAGAACCTGGGCAAAACAGGTAACCTCTTTGAGCCTGATTTTCTTATTTATGAAACTGGAACATGAGCAATTACCTTGCAAGGGTTAGGGATAATCTTTATTGCTGGGTCTGAAACTTGACTGTGCATTAGAATCACCTGGAGGGCTTATTGCTGGGACGCACCCCCAGGGTTTTTGATTCAGTGGATCTGGAGTGTGGCCTGATCAACTGCAGTTTAAGCAAGTTCTAGGTGATGCTGCTGCTGCTGCTGGTCTGGGGACCACATTTTAAGAACCACTAATCTACATTTACAATATTTCTCGACTGACATGGTTTGATTGTGTCTCTACCCAAATCTCACCTTGAATTGTAATAATCCCCACGTGTCAAGGGCAGGGCCAGGTGGAGATGATTGAATCATGGCGTGGTTTCCCCCACACTGTTCTCGTGGTAGTGAGTAAGTCTTACGAGATTTGATGATTATATAAATCGGAGTTCCCCTACACAAGTTTTCTTGTCTGCTGCCGGGTAAGATGGCCTTTGCTCCAAGTTCACTTTCTCCATGATTGGAGGCCTCCTCAGCCACGTGGAACCGTGAGTCAATTAAACCTCTTTCCTTTATAAATTACCCAGTTTTGGGTATGTCTTTATTAGCAGCATGAAAACAGACCAATATATCAACTGAGGGGGATTCTGCAGTACCTTGCATTCTTCCCCACCCCTGCCAGAGGACGTTTGGCAATGTCTGGAGATATTTTTGATTGTCTTGATTGGTTGGGGTGATATTACTGACATCTGGTGGTAGAGAGGCTAGGGATGCTAAATGTTATGCAATGCACAGGACAGCCCTACAGCAGGGAATTATCCAAACCAAAGTTACCAATCCAGCAGTGCTGAAGTTGACAAACTCTGGCTTACAGCAAGTCTCTGGTCCTAGCTTTACTTCCAAGCTGTGATGCCCTAGCAAAGTCATTGCACTCTTCTAAGCCTCATAATTGTGCAGAATTAGTCCCAAAAAACTTTGCAGCTCTAACATGCAACAACTTTAGTCAAAGGACGTTTATTAAGTACCAGCAATATCCAAGGCATGGCGGTGTTTCTATGCAAGGCACTTCTCTTTTATGGAATTGTACACTCGGCAAACACTTTGAAAATGTGGTTGGGTTTTATATTGTAATGTGTAATGATTGCTTCTACAACCTTGCATAAATAGTACTATGATTTTTTTCCTTGTCCTTAATGGAATTTAGAAAAATAAAGTCACAGCATCATAGCTTTTTATTTTTGTTGATATGTCATAAATGAATGCACTAATGAGGGTGTTTGGGGCATTAGCTTGCTAATTGGTGATAGTAACTATGGACATATGTGCAAAACACCATAATCAAAATTTTCACACTTGGTTAATGGAAGCCAACATTTTATTTGAGAATTATAATAACATATTTATTGCAATTAGTCCTGATCTACAATATATTGTTAATTTACAGTAGTTCTCACAGTGACTAGCTGATTGAGGTAGAAAATGTAGAAGGTCCTGCAGAAATGGACCAGGCAAGAGCTTTCCTTGGCTGAATATTTGGCTGTTGTCCTTGATTTCTAAGCTGCTGTTGGAGTGGGGGAACAAGATAAAAAGCAGAGAGATCAGTTAGTAGAGAGATGGGGGTGGTTTGGACCGCAGTGGTGGCAGTTGTGATGAGAAAAGGAATTTGAGAAGTATTTGGAAGAATAATCATTGGGACATGAGGATTGGTGGGATATGGAGAAGTTTTTGGAATGTCATGGAGGGGCCATTGGAGTGCCAATTAGGCATATGGAGGTGAGATGGGGATGGCTGGCAGAGGAAGTTGGCGGGGTATTGCAAATCAAGACTTCAATCTGGCATATTAAATTTGAGATACCTGGAAGGCCTCCAGTGGGCTTGTGAGAAGAGTTGGATATTCTGTCTGAGTGAGGCCAGAGGTAGAAATTTGGAAGTTTTTGGTGTATACATTTGAATGGGTGAGATTGCTAAGGCAAGAATGGAATGAGAAGAGATGAAGTTTCTGGACCAAGCTCTGAGCCTGAGTTTCTTTGGTAGAGTGACCTTCAAAGATCCTGAGAAAAGGATTTGTGTATAAGTAGTTTATCTGGGGGGTGATCCCAGAAAGAACCAGTCAGAAAGTGGAGAAACGAGACAGGGAAGATGTGGTAGTTTACATATGGCCATGAGATATTTGTACATTTTTACATCAAGAGGTGGATTCTATTACCCCACTCCTAGAATCCAGGCTGGCCTTACGACTTGTTTTGTTCAACAGTATGCGGCAGCAGTGAAGTTGTGCTATTTCCAGAGCCATCTTTACCCTCTTGGCGTGCTCACACTCCCATGTAAGAAAGCCTGGGCTAGACTATTAGAGTATGTGAGTCCATGTGGAAAGAAATCCCAGCCAACAGCTAGCACCAAGGCCACAGGCATGTGAGTGAGGTCATCTGAGACCCTTCAGCTCTAGCTGAGCTACAAGATGACTACCACTCCATGAGTCATCCAGGACCAGCAGAAGAGCTGCCTGGATGGGCCCAGCCCAAACTGCAGAATCATGAACAAATAAATGATTGTTATTTAAAGTTTTGGGATGTTTTGTTACACAACAATAGATAACTGATGATATTTTACCAATGACATGCTAAAATATTGCAAGATGTTGTGAGGTTGTATACTTGGGTCCAAAATATCAGCAGCTTAGATAAAAGATGGAAGAAGATATGACTTAGTATTACTCATGGAAAATGAATCAGGAGCTTTAGTTTACTGTGAGTTTAATCAGTGTCTGTAGTTTGATGTGGATATCCAAAAAGCTAATGCAACAGACCTCAGGAGGCATTAATGAAGGTATACTACAGGAAAAAAAAAAGTCACAACAGTAGGCAAAGCGAAGACCACTGGAAGATCCATTGTCAAAATCCGAGGAGAAGTTGCACCAATTTGAGAGGATGAAGTGGGATTAGACAAAAATAGTTCTTAGCATGCTGAAGAAAAAGGCACAAAGGTGGTATTAGTTCTCACAGGCAAGCAAAGGGACAAAGGGCACAAGAGTCTGACTACATACAAACCTCCTAGGTTATTAAGGAAAGATGTTCTCATGGTGAACATCTGAGACCCACCAGGAGCATTTGTGTTGCTATGGTGATGTAGTTCATCTACCAGAGGGAGGGTGGGCTACTTTTTTTTTTTTTCTCTCGAGACGGTCTGGCTCTGTTGGCCAGGTTGGAGTGCAGTGGCACAATCTCGGCTCACTGCAACCTCTGTCTCCTGAGCTCAAGCAATTCTCCTGCCTCAGCCTCCCGAGTAGCTGGGATTACAGGCATGTGCCACCATGCCTGGCTAATTTTTTTTGTATTTTTACTAGAGATAGGGTTTCATCATGTTGGCCAGGCTGGTTTCAAACTCCTGATCTCAGGTAATCTGCCAGCCTTGGCCTTCCAAAGTGCTGGGATTACAGGTGTGAGCCATTGCACCCTGCCTGAGTGGGCTATTCTTGGCAGTCATCTACTGAAGGGGCTCCTGAGGCATAGGCCTTGTAATGTTTTGTGTTTTTCTGGTGTGTCTTTTCCAGATGCCACTGCTTTGGGCAGTGGATCTCAAATTAAGCATGCATCAGAGTCACCTGAAAGGCTCGTAGAAAACACAGGTGGCTGGGCCCCACCTCCAGAGTTTGATTCAGTGGATCTTGGGTAGACCCCAAGAACTTGCGTTTCTTGAAAGTTCCCAGGTGATGCCGATGCTACTGGTCCAGGGATCACACTTTGAGAACCATCCCCCTAGGACAATAAGGCCCAAAGCTACCCCACAGTTATACCAAAGGAAATGGAAATTTATCTATTCAGCTCATACTCATAACTTTTATTTTTATTTTTTTTTATTAGAGATGAGGTCTCACTATGTTGCCCAGTCAGGTCTCGAACTCCTGAGCTCAAGTGACCCTCCCGCCTCTGCCTCCCAAACTGCTAGGATTATAGGCGTGAGACACTGCACCTGGACAACTTTCTTCTAATGCTGTTCTTTCGACTGTAGAACAAATGAATGTGTGTGTGTGTGTGTGTGTGTGTGTGTGTGTGTGTGTGTGTGTGATAGGAGAGCTAGAAGACAGAGAAAGAGAAGTCGGAGTGGGGGAGAGAGAGAGGAGAGGCCTTCTGGGTTTCTATTTCTGACTCTCATGGTGAAGAGATCCCTGTTAAAGTGTTCTAATTGTTAGACTTCTCCCACCATCCTAGTCTTCTTGATGTTGACATAATGCTTGGACATTTTGCTTCTTTATGATGTCTAGGATTCACTTATCAAAACTCACTGATGCGGGACATAGGCATTATGGGTCTTTCCTTTACCTAAACCCTGGCTGCACATTAGAATCCCCTGGGATTTAAAAATCCGTGCTCTCTCTCTCTATATATACATGATGGAATACTACTCAGTCATAAAAAGGAACGAATTAATGGCATTCGCAGCAATCTGCACGGAACTGGAGACTATTACTCTAAGTGAAGTAACTCAGGAATGGAAAACCAAACATTGTATGTTCTCACTCATAAGTGGGAGCTAAGCTATGAGGATGCAAAGGCGTAAGAATGATACAATGGACTTTGGGGACTTGGGAGGAAGGGTGGAAGGGGGTAGGAATAAAAGACTACACATTGGGTTCAGTGTATACTGTTTGGGTGACGGGTGCACCAAAATTTCACAAATCACCGCTAAAGAACTTGCTCATGTACCCAAATACCACCTGTTCCCCAAAAACCTGTGGAAATAAAAAATCTCAATGTTGACCCCAACTCCAGTGAATTAAATCAGGACTTCTAGGGGAAAGGAGGGCCGTCACCAGTTAAAACAATTTTTCTCAGGTGAATATAATATAAAACCAAGGTAGACATTGACCTATTCCTTGTTCTCAGCAGTGGTAACAGGTCCTATGCAGAGGTAATTCTAGGCCAATGGCCGCCAACCTTGGCTACACATTAGCATCACCTGGGGAGCTTTAAAAACTTGAAATGCTCAGACAGCACCCCAGACCAATTTACTGAGACTCTCAAAAGGTGGTATCCAGGCATCAGTATTTTAAACAATTTTTCATGTGATTCCAATGTGTAGGCAAGATTGAAAACAGCTCGCCTAAAAGTATGTTTGCATAAAACCTGTCATTGTTCCAGGCCTTGGCAAGGGGATGTGTGAAATGCTTCGCTTGGAGTACAAGGCCAGTAAATCCTGGTCTCAGCTTCATGGGCTCTCACTTTTGAGCTCAGACACCAGCACAGCTAAGCACTGGCCCCCTACTCAGAGGTCTGATTTTCAGCTTTGCAGAGCCCTTCTAATCTTCTAAGTTTGTATGTATGTATGTATGTATTTATATTATTAGTTTAAAGACAGGATGTTACTCTGTTGCCCAGACTGGAGTGCAGTGGTGCTATCACGGCTCACTGCAGCCTTGACCTCCTGGGCTCAATTGATCCTCCCATCTCAGCCTTCTGAGTAGCTGGGACTACAGGCGTGCACCATCATGCCTGGCTATTTTTGTATTTTTTGTAGGGATGGGCTTTTTGCCATATTGGCCAGACTGGTCTAGAATTTCTGAGCTCAAGCAACCTGCCGGCCTCGACCTCCCAATGTGTTGGGATTACAGGTGTGAGCCACTGTACCTGGCCCTGTTTTAACACTGCCAGTTTCTTCCCTTTGTTTCCCAGCCCTTTGGGTAATGGTTGCTCTCTGCAGCTGTTGCCTCTATTATATGTTAATGTTCTCTTTTTGTCTTTTCAGTACCGAGTTAACAATTTTGTACCTGGTTACCACTTATCTACATTAAATTATTTCTATTAAAATAAGTGTTATGTTTTTTGACTCCTGACCAGATCCTGACAGATACACTGACCACACATAGAGAAGAGGGAAATGTGGAATTGACGTGGGAATAATTTGTGTTCTTGGAGGATAAGAAATAGGACAAATGCAACAGGGAGAATATTCGAGGAGGAAATATGAATAGAAGAAACATCCCTGAAGTGAAGGTAGATACGAATGTTCAGCTCAAAGGGTTACCAAGGAAATTTATAAGCAGAGAAAAAAAGCTAGCAGTGAGACATAGACTCTGATGAAACCATTACATTTCAAGGAAAAAGGGAGTCTAATGAAAATTCAGGCAGAACAAGCAGGTTGTCTTCAAAGAAAATAAAAATCAGATGGCCTCAATTTTTAACTCTGACATTAGATTCCAGAAGAAAATGCAGCAAGAAAGACAATGAAAAGAAAAAGAATAGGATCCAAAATTTCATCAAAGTTGATATTTACAAGTGAGTCAAATATGCACGGATTTAGGAAGTATATCACCCATATATCCTTCTTGTGGGGGAAAGAGTGTGGGGGAGGAAATACTTGAAAATATGCTTCAGTCAACTAAGAGATGACTCAAAACAAAGAACTCACTAGAAAATTATCTAGCATTACTGGAAAAGGAAGTGCTTGTATGGGGGTGTGCATTGAGACAATTTACATATAAAATTAAATATAAATAACCATGGAAAAATTATAAAACAGAATGTGAAGAATGTAGCTATTATAGTTCTTAAAGCAAAATATATATAGCATTATAACCCCAAAATTTAAAAGACTGAGACAAAAATTCCCAGAGCATATAATTGAAAACCAGAAGATAGAGGTGAAGACAGAATGAGAAATTGGAATGGAATCAATTTTCTTATCTTCCATAAGCGGAGTCAACAGCTACTTTTTCTTTTTCTTTCTTTCTTTCTTTTTTTTTTTTTTTTTTTGTAACAGGGTCTCCCTCTGCCACCCAGGCTGGAGTACAGTGGCATGATTTCAGCTCACTGCAACTTCCCCCTCCCAGGGTTCAAATGATTCTTGTGCCTCAGCCACCCTAGTAGCTGGGATTACAGGCGTGAGCCACAGAGCCAGGACTTTTATTTATTTTACTTTATTTTATTTTAGTTTTTGCTTTTTGCTTTTTCTGGAGACAGGGTCTTCCTATGTTGTCCAGGCTGGTCTCATATTCCTGAGCTCAAGTGATCCTCTCATCTCAGTCCCCCAAAGCGCTGGGATTACAGGGATGGCCATTGTGTCTGGCTGACAGCTACTTTTTCATTTTTGAAGTTGAAAACTTTGAACGTGTAAATTAAACCTTGTAATTCAAAGATAAAAAACAATCACCAGTAGAACAAAACACATTCTGTTTGCCAGATGAGCAGAAGGTAGGAAAAATTAGGAAATAAGATAATGGAAGCATATAAAACATAAAACAAGAAAGTAGAATTAAGACCAAAGATATCTGTTATGGAAGCAAATATAAATTTAAAAAAAGACATGCCCACGGAAAGAAAATGACTCCCAGGTTGGGTAAATCCAATCCAAATTCAACAATCTGCCAACTGCAAAGCACAAACCTGAAACAATATAATTGAGGCAGAATAATTCCAGATATATCAGCCAAATGCAAACAGAAAGGAGGCAGGAGTCACAACACCATCAGAGGAGGGAGAAATCAAGGTAAACATTATTCAGTGAGATGCGGTGGTTCATGCCTGTAATCCCAGCACTTTGGGAAGCTGAGGTGGGCGGATCACCTGAGGTCAGGAGTTTGAGACCAGCCTGGTGAACATGGTGAAACCCCGTCTTTACTAAAAATACAAAAAATAGCTGGGCGAGGTGGTGCATGCCTGTAATCCCAGCTCCTCGGGAGGCTGAGGCAGGAGAATCACTTGAGCCCGGGAGGTGGAGGTTGCAGTGAGCTGAGATCATTCCATTGCACTCCAGCCTGGGCAACAAGAGTGAAACTCCATCTCAAAAAAAAAAAAAATTATTTAACAAACTAATGGAGGGTTTAACCTACAACCAAGATATAATAGTTATGAGTATAGTATAGCATACACATATGTATAGTTAAACGGTAGGAAAACAATGAGCAATGGACAGAAAAGTGATTAGTGAGGAAGTTGAAGGTATTCTTCACAGATAAAATATGACAAATGTAAAAATGGAGAAGATTTAAATAATGCTTCCCTCAGGTTCTGAAAGGGGAGCTCAAGGGCCTTACTCTTAGGTTTCTAATTGCCCCTTGTAAACTGGGTCCTGCGGTGAAAGGGAGCAAATGGACAGACGGTAGGAAAGGCAGTTTGGAATCCCTCATACCTGGACTGGGGTCTTAGCACCACAACTAATGGCTGTGCAACCTTGGTCAAGGCGCTTCACCTCTCTGAACCTCAGTCTCTTCGTAACATCTGTACTAATTCCTCCTCTTGGAGAGTTCTGGTAAAAATTAAATGAGGCCCTCTCTAAGGAACAGGCAGTGCTTGACCATAGCAGACAAGCGATACATGTTTTCTTGCAGGATGATGAGCAGCTGGCATAGTATGAACTTGATTATGTAATTATCACAGAGCTACACATCCATATGTCTATAGCAGGGTTTCTTGGCCTCAGCACCACTGGCATTTGAGCTGGATAATTCTTTGTGGTGGAGAGAGGGGCTGTCCTTTGCAGTGTGGGATGCTTAGTGGCATCCTCAGCCTCTACCCACTAAATGCCAGGAACACCCCTTCCTAGTGTGTGACAACCAAATATGTTTCCATACATTGCCAAATGTACGCAGGCGGCCAAAATTGTCCTCAGCTGAGAACCATTGGAAGAGAGCGAGATTTGGAAGAATGCTCTCCAAAAGTGAATGATTTTGTCTCTGGGTGGTGAGATTTGAGGGCATTTTCTTTCTTTCTTTCTTTCTTTTTTTTTTTTTTTGAGATGGAGTCTCTCTGCCACCCAGGCTGGAGTGCAATGGTGCAATCTCGGCTCACTGCAACCTCTGCCTCCCGGATTCAAGTGATTCTCCTGCCTCAGCCTCCCGAGTAACTGGGATTACAGGCGCCCGCCACCATACCCGGCTGATTTTTGTATTTTTAGTAGAGACGGGGTTTCACTACATTGGCCAGGCTGGTCTCGAACTCCTGACCTTGTGATCCACCCACCTCGGACTCTCAAAGTGCTGGGATTACAGGTGTGAGCCACTGTGCCCGGCCTTGGCATTTTCTTTCATTAGCCTGTTCTACATGTTTGAATGCAGAATCTACAAAGTGCATACATTAAGATGGTGAAAGAAACACAAATGTTCAATGTTCTATTTTATTCTTATTTATTTTGTGGAACCAGAGGCCAAGCTGTTTCCTTTCTGTTCTCTACTCTGGCCCCTGGACAATGAGGAGATACTTACTCAAACCCCTTCTGTGGGTGTCCACAGTTGGTACCCAGTAAGAACTCAGTAAATAAGCATTTCCTGTTGCCTCTTCAGCTCTTCGCTCCAGGAGAGAGCAAGGTGATTAGTGCAAAGTCTTTGTCCCCAGGGCAAACAGAATGGGGTGGTCTTTATGCAAAGACATTAACAACTTCATGATGCTATTTCAGAAGAGCAGACATACAATTTGTCGACAGAAATCCACCAAAGAAGCATGCGGTAGGCACGAATCCACCTAAGCTGCTATGCTTTTGGCAGAAACCTCAAAGACCCCAAAAGCATAGCATCATCGTGTTTACATCACCGCTCTGAAACGAACAAGAAATGTGCTATTGAGACTGATTTCTCCATTATCCTGTTGCGTTCTGATTTTTAAAAGAGATCAAAATTCTATTTTTCCTGTAGAAAGGGAACACAGATTCACAGATTTCATTACCAACTTAAAACAAATTGAGCAAAAAATTAGAGGGGAATGTTTTTTCATAGCCAGCAAGGCCTCCATGTAAAACCAGCAAACATCTGTGCACTTGAGTAGCTTCTGTTAAGGTCTAAGGAAGTCAGTTTCTGGAATACGTGCGAGATCATTGACTGTGCCTCCCTTTCAAAACTGAATAAGAAATGAAGAAATCATCTTTCAGTTTTTAAAAAAGTGTAAAAAAGGATACATCTGCCAAGAAAGTTGGATGGGGCATTCACATCTTACAATAAACAGATGCAGAATGCAGCATTGAGCTGGAACTGGGCCAGACACTGGGGCAGTGTTTGGATTTTCTGTTCTAAGTTGTTATTAACTTAAAAATCACATCTAGTACTTTTTTCCTAAGTATATAAAACTACTGGCCGGGTGTGGTGGCTCACGCCTATAATCCTAGCACTTTGGGAGGCTGAGGCGGGCAGATCACCTGAGGTCAGGAGTTTGAGATCAGCCTGGCCAATATGGCAAAACCCCATCTCTACTAAAAATACAAAAATTAGCCGGGTGTGGTGGTGCATGCCTGTAATCCCAGCTACTCGGGAGGCTGAGGAAGGAGGATTGCTTGAACCTGGGAGACAGAGGTTGCAGTGAGCCAAGATTGTGCCACTGCACTCCAGCCTGGGTGACAGAGCGAGACTGTCTCAAAAAAAATAAAAAATAAAAAATAAAAACTACTCCTTCCCTCTGGTGTGCTGTTCTTTCTTTTTTTGTGATTATGTCATATCTGTTTTTTTTTTTATTATTATACTTTAAGTTTTAGGGTACATGTGCATAATGTGCAGGTTAGTTACATATGTATACATGTGCCATGCTGGTGTGCTGTACCCATTAACTTGTCATTTAGCATTAGGTATATCTCCTAATGCTATCCCTCCCCCCTCCCCACACCCCACAACAGTCCCCAGAGTGTGATGTTCCCCTTCCTGTGTCCATGTGTTCTCATTGTTCAATTCCCACCTATGAGTGAGAATATGCAGTGTTTGGTTTTTTGTTCTTGCGATAGTTTACTGAGAATAATGATTTCCAATTTCATCCATGTCCCTACAAAGGACATAAACTCATCATTTTTTATGGCTGCATAGTATTCCATGATGTATATGTGCCACATTTTCTTAATCCAGTCTATCATTGTTGGACATTTGGGTTGGTTCCAAGTCTTTGCTATTGTGAATAGTGCCGCAATAAACATACGTGTGCATGTGTCTTTATAGCAGCATGATTTATAGTCCTTTGGGTATATACCCAGTAATGGGATGGCTGGGTCAAATGGCATTTCTAGTTCTAGATCCCTGGGGAATCACCACACTGACTTCCACAATGGTTGAACTACTTTACAGTCCCACCAACAGTGTAAAAGTGTTCCTATTTCTCCACGTCCTCTCCAGCACCTGTTGTTTCCTGACTTTTTAATGATTGCCATTCTAACTGGTGTGAGATGGTATCTCATTGTGGTTTTGATTTGCATTTCTCTGATGGCCAGTGATGGTGAGCATTTTTTCATGTGTTTTTTGGCTGCATAAATGTCTTCTTTTGAGAAGTGTCTGTTCATGTCCTTTGCCCACTTTTTGATGGGGTTGTTTTTTTTTTCTTGTAAATTTGTTTGAGTTCATTGTAGATTCTGGATATTAGCCCTTTGTCAGATGAGTAGGTTGCAAAAATTTTCTCCTATTTTGTAGGTTGCCTGTTCACTGTGATGGTAGTTTCTTTTGCTGTGCAGAAGCTCTTTAGTTTAATGAGATCCCATTTGTCAATTTTGGCTTTTGTTGCCATTGCTTTTGGTGTTTTAGACATGAAGTCCTTGCCCATGCCTATGTCCTGAATGGTAATGCCTAGGTTTTCTTCTAGGGTTTTTATGGTTTTAGGTCTAACATTTAAGTCTTTAATCCATCTTGGATTAATTTTTGTATAAGGTGTAAGGAAGGGACCCAGTTTCAGCTTTCTATATATGGCTAGCCAGTTTTCCCAGCACCATTTATGAAATAGGGAATCCTTTCCCCATTTCTTGTTTTTGTCAGGTTTGTCAAAGATCAGATAGTTGTAGATATGCGGCATTATTTCTGAGGGCTCTGTTCTGTTCCATTGATCTATATCTCTGTTTTGGTACCAGTACCATGCTGTTTTGGTTACTGTAGCCTTGTAGTACAGTTTGAAGTCAGGTAGCATGATGCCTCCAGCTTTGTTCTTTTGGCTTAGGATTGACTTGGCAATGCGGGCTCTTTTTTGGTTCCATATGAACTTTAAAGTAGTTTTTTCCAATTCTGTGAAGAAAGTCATTGGTAACTTGATGGGGATGGCATTGAATCTATAAATTACCTTGGGCAGTATGGCCATTTTCACAATATTGATTCTTCCTACCCATGAGCATGGAATGTTCTTCCATTTGTTTGTGTCCTCTTTTATTTCATTGAGCAGTGGTTTGTAGTTCTCCTTGACGAGGTCCTTCACGTCCCTTGTAAGTTGGATGCCTAGGTATTTTATTCTCTTTGAAGCAATTGTGAATGGGAGTTCACTCATGATTTGGCTCTCCGTTTGTCTGTTATTGGTGTACAAGAATGCTTGTGATTTTTGTACATTGATTTTGTATCCTGAGACTTTGCCGAAGTTGCTTATCAGCTTAAGGAGATTTTGGGCTGAGACAGTGGGGTTTTCTAGATATACAATCATGTCATCTGCAAACAGGGACAGTTTGACTTCCTCTTTTCCTAATTGAATACCCTTTATTTCCTTCTCCTGCCCAATTGCCCTGGCCGGAACTTCCAACACTATGTTGAATAGGAGTGGTGAGAGATGGCATCCCTGTCTTGTGCCAGTTTTCAAAGGGAATGCTTCCAGTTTTGCCCATTCAGTATGATATTGGCTGTGGGTTTGTCATAGATAGCTCTTATTATTTTGAGATATGTCCCATCAATATCTAACTTATTGAAAGTTTTTAGCATGAAGGGTTGTTGAATTTTGTCAAAGGCCTTTTCTGCATCTATTGAGATAATCATGTGGTTTTTGTCTTTGGTTCTGTTTATATGCTGGATTACATTTATTGATTTGCGTATATTGAACCAGCCTTGCATCCCAGGGATGAAGCCCACTTGATCATGGTGGATAAGCTTTTTGATGTGCTGCTGGATTTGGTTTGCCAGTATTTTATTGAGGATTTTTACATCAATGTTCCTCAAGGATATTGGTCTAAAATTCTCTTTTTTGGTTGTGTCTGTGCCCGGCTTTGGTATCAGGATGATGCTGGCCTCATAGAATGAGTTAGGGAGGATTCTCTTCTTTTCTGTTGGTTGGAATAGTTTCAGAAGGAATGGTACCAGTTCCTCCTTGTACCTCTGGTAGAATTCGGCTGTGAATCCATCCGGTCCTGGACTCTTTTTGGTTGGTAAGCTATTGATTATTGCCACAATTTCAGAGCCTGTTATTGGTCTATTCAGAGATTCAACTTCTTCCTGGTTTAGTCTTGGGAGAGTGTATGTGTCGAGGAATTTATCCATTTCTTCTAGATTTTCTAGTTTATTTGCGGAGAGGTGTTTGTAGTATTCTCTGATGGTAGTTTGTATTTCTGTGGGATTGGTGGTGATATCCCCTTTATCATTTTTTATTGCATCTATTTGATTCTTCTCTCTTTTCTTCTTTATTAGTCTGCTAGTGGTCTATCAATTTTGTTGATCCTTTAAAAAAACCAGCTCCTGGATTCATTAATTTTTTGAAGGGTTTTTTGTGTCTCTATTTCCCTCAGTTCTGCTCTGATTTTAGTTATTTCTTGCCTTCTGCTAGCTTTTGAATGTGTTTGCTCTTGCTTTTCTAGTTCTTTTCATTGTGATGTTGGGGTGTCAATTTTGGATCTTTCCTGCTTTCTCTTGTGGGCATTTAGTGCTATAAATTTCCCTCTACACTCTGCTTTGAATGTGTCCCAGAGATTCTTGTATGTTGTGTCTTTGTTCTCATTGGTTTCAAAGAACATCTTTATTTCTGCCTTCATTTCGTTATAGTAATCATTCAGGAGCAGGTTGTTCAGTTTCCTATTCTTAAGTACAGTAGCCACTAGGCATGTGAGGCTATTTAAATTTAAATAAAGTAAAATAAAAATTTCAGGTCCTTGGTCCTATTTGCTAACATTTCAAGTGTCTATAGCTGTGGGAGGCTTGTGGCTACTTACTGCAAAATTGGATGGTGCTGACCTAGACCAGGGGTCCCCAACATTTTTGGCACCAGGAACCAGTTTTGTGGAAGACAATATTTCCACGGATGGGTGGGGTAGGGGTGAGCAAGTTAGGATGGAACTGTTCCACCTTAGATCATCAGGCATTAGTTAGATTCTCCTAACGAGCTTGCAACCTAGATCCCTCGCATGCACAGTTCACAGTAGGGTTCACGCTCCTCTGAGAATCTAATGCCAGCACTGAGCTGACAGGAGGCGGAGCTCAGGCAGTAATGCTCTCTCTCAACTGCTGTGCAGTCCAGTTCCTAACAGGCCATGGACCGGTACCAGTCTGTCACCCAGGGGTTGGGGACCCCTGCTCTAGAAGATTTGGAAAATAAAGACAAGTATAGAAGAGAAATGGCAAAGTGATCTCATCCCTGCCCCTCCACCCCTCAGAACTGCTGTTGTTGACATGGGCTGGATTTCTTTCTGGTCTTTTTAGCACTTTCCACATAAAATCTAAAATATTGCTTTAATTGTGATATGTATTATGTATAATATGCACCTTCTTTGTGTATCTCACTTTTCACCTAATTTTTTATAGTGAGAATTTTCCCATCTTAAAATATATTCTTCAAAAACATGATTTATAAATTTTTGTTTAGAAGGACTTTTTTTTTTTTTTTGAAAATGAGAGATTTATGATCAACTTAGAGATTTAACCATGTGTTAAGAGATAACTGTTCCCTGCTAAACAAGAGCTTGCAGAAGCTAAATGGGCAAAGTAGAAGGCCGTCAAACACATCCTGGACTATTTTAGTGCAACTATAAAAATTTCAACTTTTAGGTCAAGCGCAGTGGCTCACGCCTGTAATTCCAGCACTTTGGGAGCCTGAGGCAGGAGGATCACTTGAGGTCAGGAGTTCGACACCAGCCTGGCCGACATGGTGAAACCCCATCTCTACGAAAAATACAAAAATCAGCTGGGTGTGCTGATGGGTGCCTGTAATCCCAGCTACTCGGGTGGCTGATACAGGAGAAACGCTTGAAACCAGGGAGGCGGAGGTTGCAGTGAGCTGAGATTGAGCCACTGCACTCCAGCCTAGGTGACAGAGCGAGACTCCATCTCAAAAAGAAAAAAAAAATTCAACTTTTAGATGCAGGGGGTACATGTACAGGTTGGTTACATGGGAATATTGTATGATGCTGAGGTTTAGGGTACAGATCCTCTCATCCAGGTAGTGAGCATAGTATCTGATAGGTAGTTTTTTAAACCCAAGCCCCACTCCTTCCTCCCTCTGGTAGTCCCCAGTGTCTTATTATTCCCATATTTATGTCCATGTGTGCTCAATGCTTCACTTTCACTTACAAGTGAGAACATGTGGTATTTGGTTTTCTGTTTTGCGTTAAGTTGCTTAGGATTATGGCCTCCAACTGCATCCACGTTGCTGCAAAGGACATGATTTCATGCTTTTTTATGGCTGTATTCCATGGTATATATGTACCACATTTTCTTTATCCAGTCTATCATTGATGGACATCTAGGTTGATTGCCTGTCTTTGCTATTGTGAATAATACAGCAATGAACATAGGAGTGCATGTGTCTTTTTGTTAGAATGATTTATTTTCCTTTGGGTATATACCCAGTAATGGGATTGCTGGGTGAATGGTAGCTATTTTAAGTTTGGAAAGGTAATACATGCTGATTGTAGGAAATGGAAGTAAAAAAGAAATCTCACTTTTACCAGAGACAAAAATCTTTGACCATTTGGTGGGCATGCTTTTAGATATTTCTTTGGGTATAAATGCAGATGAGCATATAGTCAGTGTTATTAGGAATATTTGCATGTCAGTGACTCTAGAGATACTTGTACACTGTCCCTTTCATTAGCTGCGGGTTATTCCGTGACATGCGTGTTATGCTTGACTCTTGTTGTTGCTTCATCTGATTAATACCTCTCCTCTTCTACAAAGTTTTCTTTCCTCCAAAAAATTTTTCTTTTCTCCCTTCTTTCTGTCTTTCCTTCTTTTTTCCCTTCCTTCCTTTCTCTCTTTCTTCCCTCTCTCCATAAATGTCTTCTGTGCCAGACCTTTCACTAGTGTAAGGAATAAAACCATGAAGAAATCAGTAAAGTTCCTGCCCTCATGGAATTTATAGCCCAGTGGAGGAGGCAGAAAAGACAACGGGCAGAAGGAAGTGGTAATTGAATCGTAAAAAATTACAATTCAATTACAGATTGGGGGTAGTGCTATGAAGGTGTCAGACTGGCTGAAGGCCGAGTGGAGTGGGTTAAAGCTTGGCCCCGAAGCCTAGTCTGCATGGATGCGGTTTCACTCTTTCATCTGCTTCCTGGCAGCCTGGGGCGTGGAGAAGGCAGAGGGCTGCACCGGGAGAGGGCTGGAGCCGAGTGAAGTGACTGTCGCTGGGGTCGGGAGGTCAAAGGCACTGGACTTGGGGTCCAGAGGATGCTGATGTTGCTCCAGACCAGTGACTCTCTACCAAGGGTGACTTTGTACCCCTGTAGGACATTGGACAAGGTCTGGAGACATTTTTGGTGGTCGCGACTGAGGGGTGTGTGTAGTGTTGCTGGCATCTTGTGAGTAGAGGCCAGGGATGCTGCTAGGCATCCTCCAGGGCACAGAACAGCCCCCACCACAGGAATGAGCTGGCTCACAATGTCAGTAGAGGCAAGGTGGAGAATCCCGGCCCTAGAAGCTGCCAGGGCTTGCTTAGGGTGGAGAAAGGGACAGAGCCTGGGGTAGAGGGAGGCTCTTCAGGAAGAAGGATGGGGATGAGGATGGGAGACGCAGGCTTGAAGAGCTAGTTTCACCTGAGGCAAGGAAGCCAGGCCCAGTTAGCAGTGAGGAGCAAAGAGGATGCTTACTGCAAATTTGGACCTTAAGGTACGTGCTTATAGAGGGTTGAGGTAGGGGGTGCAGAGAGGAGTAGTTCCGGCTGAATGAGGCTGCATAAGAAGTGGGGTTTTGGTGGGGGCAGAGACCTTCAGTTGAGACAGAAGGTACAGATGCTTTGTCTGGGGACGTGGTGAAGCATGGGGGTGAGTTTGTTCACTTAAAAGATGGGTTCCAGGCCGGGTGTGGTGCCTCACGCCTGTAATCCCAGCACTCTGGGAGGCTGAGGCCGGTGGACCACCTGAGGTCGGGAGTTCAGCCTGAGCAACATGGTGAAACCCTCTCTCTACTAAAAATACAAAAATTAGCCAGGTGTGGTGGCACATGTCTGTAATCCCAGCTACTCAGGAGGCTGAGGCAGGAGAATCGTTTGAACCTGGGAGGCAGAGGTTGCAGTGAGCTGAAGTCGCGCCACTGCACTCCAGCCTGGGTGACAGAGTGAGACTCCGTCTCAAAAAAAAAAAAAATTAATTAAAATTTAAAAGTGTTTCCAAAGAACACAGGGAAGAGGTCTGGGAGGGAAAGGGTGGTGGATGGTGAGTCAGGCTGGGGAAAGCTGGGAGGCAAGGACAGTGTGTAGATTCAGTTCTTGGCCCCTCGGGTATCTCCTTCATGCTAGAGGTCTGGCTGAGGTGCAAAGCCAGGTGTGTCTGTCAATTAGTCCTGAGGGACACCTGGTGGGATGAGGAGGGACAGTGACCAGAGGAGCTGTACTGTAGGCAGCCCCTGGTGCTGAGGTCAGGCTCTGTCTGGGGAGGCTCTGTAGGAAGCTTTTATACCGGAGAGGGTTGTCCAGGTTCTTAGCAGGTTGAACAAAGAATTCAACACAATGCACAAAGTAACGAATGAGGCAATGAAAAGCAACGGAAAAACAGTAACGAAAGCACAGATTTATTGAAGACAATTCAGAGTGGGAGTGGGCTTGAGCAAGTGGCTTAAGAGCCTCCTCAATTAGGATTTTTATTAAGCTAGGAAGAAGCCGGCAACACCCCTAGGTGCCCTTCACAGGCCTCCAGTTGGTTACACCCTATGAAGGATTGGCCCGTGACCAGAGGCCGAAATGGAGGCCCAGCTGGCAGTCAGAATCTTTGGGGAGGTTCTGCCTTGCCTGTGGATGAGGACCTGGCCCCACCAGCTGGGCTGCACTGCTGCCTGTCTGAGGGTGGTCAGGTAGGTGCCAGAGAGTTCCAGTGCATTTCCCCCTGTCTGGCCCAGCTCTTGTTTGACGCTGAGAGTGGGTCCGAAGGCCGAGGGAACCGTGGCCTCACTTTGTCCCTGTTTGCATGGTAAATGGGTGAGTGCAAAAAGCGAGGCAGGTGAGCCAGGAAGTTCTGAGTTCAAATCCCGGCTCTGCCACTGACCAGCTGGGTGATCTTGTGCAGTTGGTTTGGCCCCTTGGAGTGTTAGTTTCCTCTTCGGCAAGGTTGCTGGGAGGATTAAATAAAGTTAGCCATAGGACAGCACTCCATCAACTGTAAGTGCTATCTCCGGGTGAGATGGGAAGAAGGACCCTTGAAAAGGAAATAGAAATGCACAACCCGCCCCAGTTCTGGAGTAATGGATACTGACCAGACAGCCTGGGAGGGGATGTGAGAGACGCTCTGTATTTGAAATGTCACCAGAACAGGCTGGGCGCGTGGTATTTCTGAGCTTACTGCCCGAGGCTGAGTCACCAAGAGAACTGCAGAGAGGACTCAGGCCTTCACACTCCTACTTCCCGCGCTCTGCACAAGGGCGGGGGATGGAAGCCAGGAGGAGTGCTGTCCAGCCAACATCGTCTCTCCACATGTGGGTCCCTCTGTGCCGCCAAATCCCATGGGCTGTACACCTGGGAGCCGGGCTCTCCACTCACCTGCCCTCGTTTAATCATCGCCACACTCTTGAGAAGTGAGCAGTTTTATGCTCATTTCATAGATGTGGAAGCTGAGACCCAGTGGGTGAATAACTGGCCTCAGGTCACGTGGCTTATACAAGGTACTGCTAGGATTTAAACTCAGGTCAATCTGCCTGATTGCAGAAAAGATTCTCTCTCCCTCCTGTCTCCCTGGCCCCTGGCTTTCTTCAGGAACTGGGTGCTGGAGAAGGGTTTATGAGTTTTTTGGTTTTGTTTTGTTTTGTTTTCTGAGACAGTGTAAGAGCTGTTTGGGATCCCAGGCTTCAGGGAACTGATGACTGTGGACCAATGGTTCAGGTGGCCTAAAGGGACAGGTGGCAGCCAGATGGTGGCTGAACTAGAGGCAAAGCCTCAACGTGAATAGGGGAGCCTCATCCCCTTTGCCTTTGCTTTAATGGGAGACTGCACCATTTGCACATAGGAAAGGATTTCCTGCTTTGCTGTCTCAACAAACGTAGGTCTTATTCATCAGAGTAGGGCAATCTATTGAATGGTCTTTTTTTTTTTTTTGGTTTCTCAGGCCATGGGTCAGACAAGGCATCATTCCTGGGAGGCAATGAAGAAGCTGGGTCTGTTAATCCAATGATGATTTTTTTTTTTTTTCCTGAGACGGAGTCTCACTCTGTCACCCAGGCTGGAGTGCAGTGGCATGATCTCGGCTCACTGCAACCTCTGCCTCCCAGGTTCAAGTGATTCTCCTGCCTCAGCCTCCTGAATAGCTGGGACTACAGGCACCTGCCACCATACCTGGCTAATTTTTGTATTTTTAGTAGAAATGGGTTTTCGCCATGTTGGCCAGGCTGGTCTCAAACTCCTGACCTCAAGTGACCCACCTCGGCCTCCCAAAGTGCTGAGATTATAGGTGTGAGCCACCATGCCTGGACAAATGATGACACATTTTTGAGCACGTGGTGTGTGCATGGATCTGAGCTCGAAAGGACAGGGCCAGTCAAGTTCCCAAGCTGAATCAATTATGGGCCACTCAAGGAAGCAGGGTGTCTTGTGCTCTTGACAGACTCCTGCTCATCCTTCAGTCCTTGGCTCATGCATCACCACCTACAGGAAGCCTTTCCGGAATCCTCTTCAGGAGAGTTGGTGACTCTGAGCTCTGTTCTTTGTTCCTGCATTGATAACCATTGTGTGTATCAAATGCATCTTCCCATATCTGTCTCCCCACCAGCCTGGGAATGACTGTCTTCCCCACCTCGGAAGCTCTGGGATGTAGCACAAGGTCCGAACACAGATGTGTTTAGGGGGAATGTATATACCCTCCCATAGAAGGTAGTTTGCATCTAAGTGTTCTTCCAGCGGTTATGGCTGGAGGATTCCAGAGGGAACTAAACCCTCATGGATTTTGGGAGGGTCATGGATTTGGAGGGCTTCTAGGCAGAGGTGGGTTCTAATAGGTTCTCAGAAAGACTTCCCTGGATCCCTACTATAACCCTGTGGGGTTGGCATTATTATCCTTGTTTTAAAAAATGAGTATGCTGTGTCTTAGGAAGAAAGCTTTACTTAAAAAGTTGATCTCTGAGCGAGCTCCAGAACCAAGACAGGAGCTCTGAACTGACTCTACTTGTAGTTCTGTTCCTTGATCCATTTAGCAAATGTTTGTTGAAAGTCTAACGTGATGGTTTTCAAAGCACATCCCTGGGGCCAGCAGCAGCAGTGTCACCTGGGAACTTGTTAGAAATGCAGATTCTCAGGCTCCACTCAAGCCTCCTGAATCAGAAACTTGGGGTGGGACACAGCTCTGACAGGTTTTCCAGCAAATTGTGTTGCGCAATAAGGTTTGCAAGCCACTGGTTGCAGAGTACTGGGGAACAAGGGACCAGAGAGGAATCAGAGCTGGGAGAGACAGCCTTGTATTGAAATTAACCTGTGGTCTAATCCCAGCAATTTGGGAGGCTGAGGCGGGCAGATCACCTCAGGTCAGGGGTTTGGGACCAGCCGGGGCAATGTGGTGAAACCCCATTTCTACTAAAAATACAAAAATTAGCCAGGTGTGGTGATGCACGCCTATATCCCAGCTTCTTGGGAGGCTGAGGCGTGAGAATTGCTTGAACCTGGGAAGCAGAGGTTGCAGTGAGCCGAGATCATGCAACTGCATGTCAGCCTGGGTGACAGAGTGAGACCCCATCTCAAAAAAGAAAAAAGAAAATAAAAAAGCTGGGAGAGACAGCCTAGTATTCAAGTTAACTTATATTCTAGGTGGGATGATTCCCAGAGGGGAAACAGAGGCTAAGCTCAGCACGGGAAGGGCTGGAGCCACTCGAAAGGCAGAAAAGGGACGTTAACAAGGACAGGTTTGGTGACACTTCCCTTGGCCACACAGCCTCTCTCTCAGTAGCTACTCTGCCCTTTTAAGATGACCTCTGTTGAGGGGAGAAGAAAAGCACCCCTCTGCCCACCTGAGTTCTAGGTTTCCCCCTGCAAAGAAGGAAGAGTTTACTAAGTGGGGCAAATCCAAGGCCCTGCAGTGGGGGCATGTTCACTAGCGGATGTGGCTGCGATGTGTATAAAGGGAGTGCACCCAGGTTGGATATTCGGGTTCCATTTCTTCTTCCCTACGGTTGGGTGGGTCACTAGGGACTGTTTACTCCAGCCCAATCAGTGGGTAACAAGATGCCAAGATCTAGGTTAGCCTTCAGAGGGAGTTGGTGGACCAGGCTTGATTTGTTTTGTTTCAGGATATTTTTTTGCTAAGGTGGTATTTACATACAATAAAATGCAGAGATTTTAAGTGTGATGAGATTTGACATTTGTGCACACCTCTGTGATCAAGTTGTAAATATTTTTACTGTCTCCTTTGAGATTGGAGTTAGTGTTTCTGCTTCTCCTGACCCTAATACCATCAAATACCACCAACACTCCTGCTTTTATTTGTAGGATAATGAAGCAGAAAGACCAAGCAGCAGCAGTTGAAGTGGGCAGTGTAGAGACTTGCCACTCAAAGTGTGGGCCTTGGAGCAGAAGCATCAGGGACATCTGTGATTTTTTTTTTTTTTTTTTTTGAGATGAAATCTCACTCTGTTGCCCAGGCTGGAGTGCAGTGGTGTGATCTTGGCTCACTGCAAGCTCCGCCTCCCGGGTTCAAGCCATTCTCTCACATCAGCCTTCCCAGTAGCTGGGATTACAGTGCCCACCATCTCTCCCGGCTAATTTTTGTATTTTTAGTAGAGATGGGGTTTCGCCATGTTGGTCAGGCTGGTGTCATAAACCCCTGACCTCAAGTGATGCCCCGCCTCGGCCTCCCAAAGTGCTGGGATTACAAGCATGAGCCACCACGCCCCACCCTGTGATCCTGACAGAAAAGTGACATCTCAGCACTCCCCCTACCCCTGCCTGCCTTCCCTCTCCCAGACCTACTCACTCAGGATTAGCATTTCAGCAGGATCCACATGTGGTTTGTGCGTGCATTTAGGTTTTGCCTCTTGCACCGATGGGATTATGTCTCTTACCACCCTCGGGATGAGTCCTTCACCTTAAACCAGCCAGTGAGTGGTCATGGAGGGTTGTTGCTGGACTCACAGCCCATGACTCTGGAAGGTTCTCCATCCCATCATGCTTAGGTTCTGATGAATTATTGAACTAGGTGAGTTCCTTTCCACCTTTCTAAAATAGATGGGGAGAAGCATCCGGTGCATTAAACCCTCTACCTTTCCAGTCAGACCCAAGGTCATTTCTAGTCAGGATGGAGGAAGGGAGATTTTAGCCTGATTGGATACATTCTTCCGCACTCCCTTAAGGATGGAACTTTTCCCACACCCACGCCCCTGCTCAGGCGATGAATTATTGAAATCCGAGAAACACATTTCATTAGTCATGTAGGTTCTGGGGGCCCCAGAGATCAGTGCCTCAGAATAGCCGCTTTATTTTTCTTTGAGAAGTTAAAAGAAAAATACAAAAGTAACAAATTTGCATCCCCACCACTGGGATGATAACTATGAACCTTTTGTTATATTTTCTTCAAGTATATTTTTAATAAAAGAGATAAAACATTACAGAAGACATTGAAGCACCCCTTGAGGGGCACCCTTAAGGTTTAATCTTTGTCCCTTTCCAGAGCCAACCACTATCATGACTTTCATGAATAACTGTGCCTTTTAAAAATACTTTTTTTTGGGAAGCTTTTGTATTTTGTGTATACATATGTAATGTATTATGAATAATAAATGTATGGTATTGTTTGTGGGGGTGCTTTTCCACATTTACACAAATTTGCTCTGGTCTCTTTGCAGCTTGGTTTTTCACATAAGGACACTTTCACCCACTGTTGTTAGTGATACATTTAGCTCTAATCCATTCTTTCTATTAGGTTGGTGCAAAAGGAATTGCCATTTTTGCCATTACTTTCAATGGCATTACTTTCAATGGCAAAAATGGCAATTCCTTTCCCACCAACCTAGTAACTATGCAAGGTGTTCTATCATGTGAATAGACCACATTTTGTTTCTCATTTCTGTCTTGTTGCGTAGTTTGTTTCTAATTTTTCACCATAACAAATAATGCTGCCGTCAGCATCCTTGCCCTAGATCTCACTGGGCTCATGTGGGAGAGTTGCTGTGGGGGCCTGAAGCTGGAGTGGAATTGTTACATTGTATATATGCACTTCCCATTTTACTAGGTATTGCTGAATGCTCTGCAAGTTTGCCCTTGTGATTTCCATTCCCACCAGCAGTAGAGGAGAATACAGTTTTCTCCACCTCTTCTCCAACACTTGATATTGTCAGAATTTTTCATTGTTGCTAGTTCCGTGGGAGAAAAATGGTACATCTCTGTGGTTTTAAGTTAACAGTAGTTCCTTTTAATTGGAAGAGATCCTGGCAGGGTGGACAAGGTCTGAGCTGTCAGTAGATGTAGATTTTTGTCCAGCTCTGCTGTCAACTTGGATTGGAGATTGGGCAAGCCCTTTCACCTCTCTGGTCTCCTATGAGGTGGCTGGGCCAGATGGCATCTAAGGGGTACAACGTGAAGTGAGCAGGACTCTTCTGACCCGTAGAGTTTGGAGTTTGCAATGACAAGGTTTGTGCAGAAAGATTCCTCCACCACTTAGCACCTATACTAGGATCCTGGGGTTACCTCTTAGGAAATGATTCTTGCATTAGAGAAAACTTGTTAGCACAGGAATCAGAAGAAGTGGGTTTTAGCCCTGGCTCTAACATTCCCCTATGGTGTGGGTATGGATGGATGACCAGGTATTGACCATATGATAGGATTCCAGCGCAAATCTGCTTCAAGGCAAGGACCCCCACACCTGGGAAGCCCAAGTGGAAGTCATTTTCTTGCCACAGCCCCAGCCCTGGACTAGCTGTAAGACCTGAGCTTAGTGCAGCTCTAACAAAGTGTGTTTCCTGAGACTGACTCTTTTTGCTCTTGGCTTTGGCTAAATTGGTTCTGTGATGCAGAAGACCTAGCTTCCTCTGAACTTGAGGCTCACCTGGCTGCTTCAGTATTGGCAGGAACTTGGCTCAAGCACCTGGAGACTTCATGGGTAGGAATGTTGGGTTGCCAGGTTTAGCAAATGAAAATAACCATATTTGCATGAGACATACCAAAAAATTATCCATTATTGATGTGAGATTCAAATTTAACTAGGCATCTTGTGTTTTATCTGGCAACCCTAGGCAGGAGGTGAGCAGTCACTCAATATAAGAAATAACTGAAGATTGGCCAGTCTAACTGGACAAGTTGTGAATATCTTGTTGAAGAAGGTTGCTATGGTTTGGATATTTGTTCCTTCTAAGTTCCATGTTGTAATTTGACCCCCAGTATTGGAGGTGGGGCCTAATGGGAGGTGTTCAGGTCATGGGGGCAGATCCCTCATGGATAGACTAATGATTTCCCTGGGGGCTGTGGTGAGTGTGTTCTTGCTCTATTAGTTCCAATGAGAGCTGGCTGTTGAAAAGAGCCCGGCACCTTCTCCCTTGCTCCCTCTCTCTGGCCATGTATTCTCTGCACACACCAGATCTCCTTTGCCTTCTACCACGAGTGGACGCAGCCCGAAGCCCTCACCAGAAGCCAAGCAGATTGTTGGCGCCATGCTTCTTGTACAGCCTGCAGAACTGTGAGCCAAACTAACTTTATTTCTTTATGCATTACCCAGCCTCAGGTATTTCTTTATAGCAACGCTCACAAAAGATGGACTAAGACAGAGATGTATAAACAGAGGTTAGATAAACCGTGAGCAGAGAAGCTGTGCGTGTGTGATATGGTCTGGTAGCCTCTGCTCGTGTGCCTTGGGTGCTCAATGCTGCTTAAAGCAGCTTGCAGACATCTTGAATGGTGAGAAAAGGCAGATGTCACCCAAGCCTCTATGCTGCCTCTGCCTCCACTCAAGCTGTTCCTGTGGCTGGGAATGTCTTTCAAGGACTGACCTCAATGTAGCACTGTGGTACCGTGGTTCTCAAAATATGAGCCCTGGACCAGCAACATTAGCATCGCCAGCGAATGTATTAGAAGTGCAAACTCTTAAGACCTACCTCAGACCCACTGAATTAGAAACTTGGAGGGTGGGTCCAAAAATCTGTGTCTTAAGTCTTTCAGAGTATCCTGATACATCAAGTTTGAGAACCACAGCAACAGAGGATTGGATTAGAAAGCTGCCCTGAGATCCTAAAGCCATTGCTTTGAGCTTAGTTTCTCTAGGGGTGGAGTGAAGCTGGGAATTGCAGTTGGGGTGAGGGCATGAGAGGGGCCAGGTGGCTGATGCTCTGTGAGGTTGTGCCTAGCCCAGAAGCTGGAGGGCAGAGGGAGCTTGGGTAATGATGTTATAGAATTGCGTTTTTTTTTTTTTTGAGATGGAGTCTCACTGTGTTGCCCAGGCTGGAGTGCAACGGCGCAATCTCGGCTCACTGAAAACTCCACCTCCCGGGTTCACGCCATTCTCCTGCCTCAGCCTCCCGAGTAGCTGGGACTACAGGCACCCGCCACCACGCCTGGCTAATTTTTTGTATTTTTAGTACAGACAGGATTTCACCATGTTAGCCAGGATGATATCGATCTCCTGACCTTGTGATCCGTCCACCTCGGCCTCCCAAAGTGCTGGGATTACAGGCATGAGCCACCGCGCCCGGCTAGAATTGCGTTTTTTTTTTTTTGTTTTTTTTTTTTGACTAAGTCTCGCTCTGTCGCCCAAGGTGGAGTGCAGTGGTGCGATCTTGGCTCACTGCAAGCTCCGCCTCCCGGGTTCGGGCCATTCTCCTGCCTCAGCCTCCTGAGTAGCTGGGACTACAGGCGCCCGCCACCACGCCCGGCTAATTTTTTGTATTTTTAGTAGAGATGGGGTTTTACCGTGTTAGCCAGGATGGTCTCGATCTCCTGACCTTGTGATCCACCCACCTCGGCCTCCCAAGGTGCTGGGATTACAGGTATGAGCCACCGCACCCGGCCTAGAATTGCGTTTTTAACAAAAGGATTTTGAAGTATCTATTTTGATCAGGCATCAAGGAGAAAACTGTTTGTGTCTTCAAAGAGCTCACAGTTAAGTGGGGGTGAGGAAGAGTAATAAAATAGGCTAAAACACAGACAGCTGTGCATGCTGTAAACAAGGGCAGGGACCACATCGGGGGCTCAATTTCATTTGGGGAGGATGGGTTGCATGGTGCTTCTGCAAGGCATTCCCAGCCACAGCTGTGGCTTGAATATGGAGACATGGGCAGTGTGAAGGGCTTGGCCAACAGTCCACCTTTTTCACCATCAGAGATGTCCACAGCTGTTTCCAGCAGCAGTGACTGTCCTGTCCTGGGAGGCATGCAAAGCAGAGGCTACAAGGCCACTCTAGTGCTGGATGGAAGGGTGGCTTGTGTGACCTTCCAGGAGGGGTCCCTTCCAGGGTTGTCAGGATGCTCCCCAGGTCAGCTGTGAGGAGTCTGTGGCCTCTAACTCTTGTTCTCGTTGTGTCAGCCTCTCTTTGTACCTCATTCCAGCTAAATAACTCTCCCTCTACCCATTACTCATGAGTAGGCAGAGAAGAGTGGCTTTAGGGGCCATGTGTTTCTTTTGTAAATGAAAGAAAACAAGAGAAAAAAATAGAAACATCTAGCCTAAATTCTATGTGTTCACTAAATATGCTTTTGCAAAGAGCAGCTTTATGCTCTTTATTTGTCTCCCTCAATGGAGTAGGGGGTCGTGGATTTTCCAGAACACCTCGTATTTAGTGCCTGTGTCCCAGCAGGCACCTCCTTGGGCAGCCATGTGGTCGCTTGTCTCTCTCATTTCTGTCCTCTGCCAACAACCTGGTATAAGCTAGCTCTGGGGAAGTGTTTGGGGGCTGCTGGGTTTCCAGGGGCTGGTGAATATCATGGCCATTTCTCTGCAATGGCACAGTTGCCTCAGCATGACTGAGCTGAAATGTGTCTCTGGCAGCTGGCTGCCTGGCACTGGGAGGTGTGGTCACCCCATTTGGCTGTCTTCACAGGCTCCATTTTGGTAACATAATATTGGTGCTGTTGAATTTGGCTGTGGCATTTTGTCCAGGTTGTTAACACCCGCATAAACAACTACCTTCCTTTTTCTCTCTGATTTTTCTGGTCCATTATTGTGACCAAATGCATTGCATCTGCACAGTTATTACTGTTAACTCTAGTAATATTTGTACTGCACTTACAGTTTACAAAATGCTTCCACATATGTTACATTAGCTTCTGGAGATTGCGCCACTGCACTCCAGCCTGGGCAACAGAGAGTGAGACCTTGTCTCAAAAAAATAAAATAAAAATAAACAGTTGATCCAATATCAGCCATAATAGTCCACTAATTAAATGATGACAAAATCTAATGTGAGTTATTTTAATTCTTTAATTAAAGTCTATATGACCACTTGGAGTTTTTACTGGAGCTGAAAATTTCGAACCATGAGATGGAGCCTGAACCATAAGCTAGAATGTTTTATTTTATTTTTATTTTTTTGAGACAGAGTCTCACTCTGTCACCCAGGCTGGAGTGCAGTGGTGTGATCTTGGCTCACTGCAACCTCTGCCTCCCAGGTTCAAGTGATTCTGCAGCCTCAGCCTCATGAATAGCTGGGATTACAAGCTGGGATTATCTTGCCCAGATAATTTTTGTATTTTTTAGTAGAGGTGGGGTTTCGCCATGTTGGCCAGGATGGTCTCGAACTCCTGACCTCAGGTGATCGGCTGCCTCAGCCTCCCAGAGTGCTGGGGTTACAAGTGTGAGCCACTGCGTCCGGCCATTGAGCTGGAATATTTTTTTTGTTTGGTGAGTGCAAATTTTAGTTCCTCCAGTAAATATTTTCCTGAATCTGAATAATATATGTAACATTGAAATTTCTCTTCTAAAATTGCTAATTGTTTTAAGACTAAAGAATGAATCAGGAACGTAATGATTATTACTGATTATTCCATAATTATTACAGAAGATAATCTTGCTGTGTAGTGTTGGGGAGGGATGTTAAGAATGATCCTTTCTTGTGTAGATCTATTCACTGTCTGCTCTGCTGGCTCTGACGGGTCCTGTACGCACAGCATCTCCTTGAATACACAGGGTGTCCCAGAGAGGGAGGGCTTATTATTTCTGGTTTATGTTTTTAATTATCTAATTCTGCTAATGATACAAAACTCTAAAACATTGCTTATTTCTGCATTCAAATTTACTCCCATTTGTTTCTTCCCCATAAAATGTTTTATTACAAGTGTAATCTGGAAGCCTCTCCAGTGCTGTGAGACACGATCACGCACGCGGCCGACCATGAAATCGTGTGGCTCTAGCCCCTTCTGGGCCTCTTGTTGGTAATGAAGCCACTCTAAAGCGCCCCCTGTTATTCAGAGGGCTCCCCAGCTGCCATGATATGTGTATGGGGAGGGCATAGCAGGTCCTTTTGCCCCGGCAGCCATTCTTCTGCTCACAAGGGGCTGGCTCTGGGGACAGGGATGTCTTTGTCATCAGTGACCACTAATCCCCCTCCTCATTGGCCTCCAGGGCTGCTCCCCTTCACTCTCTTGGTTGAAGTTGTAGGGGCTGAGGTTACCCTGAGAAACACCTGTTCTTGGAGCCCATAGACCCAACCTTGGAGATGCAGGGGGAGCCACTGGCTGGGCTCTGCAGGTGGGGCCAGCTGATCCCCAGCTGCTGGCACCTCCAGGCATCCACAGAGCTTGGAGTCCCAGCCACATTTCCTCCTTGGCCTTAGAGGGAGAGGAAGTCCTTTGATTGCCTAGTCCAAGATCCCTTTATTTCCTGCCCTGGGATTATGGTGGCAGCAGCCATGCCCTTCATGGGAAGCTGTTCTCCCTTCCTCGGGGTTGGGTCTGGCCTCAGCTCGGGCAACAGTCATGATGGCGCACGGCGTGTTCTCCAAACTCTGGCTTGTTCAGCCTTAAACACAGCATCCTATGTGAAGGGCCAAGCCGGGTCAGTTCTTTAGCCCCGCCTGCCTGGTCTCCTCATTCAGTCTCTCCTTTCTGGGCTCTTGCTGCTTCCCTGGGGTGCACACCCTTTCTCACGGGAGATCTTCAGTTCTCCTTCTCAGTCCTGGGGGAAAATTCACCAGTCCTGGCTGGTGGGGTGGGGAAGGCCAGGATGGCCATATTCCTCTTGCAGGTTTTTGCATTCCCCAAGGGCAAAGCCCTGTGGTGATGGTAAACCAGGTAGGCGGCTGTGTTTCTGTTGTCCCCCCAGGTCATGTCTGTCCTCTTCTCTCAGGCAATGAGCTCAAGAGGCTTGGCAGCTTGAATTGGGGTTGGAGGAGATCATGGAGAAAGCAAGAGTGCAAAAAAGAAAGCAAAAGGAAAGAGGAAAAAGAAAGAATCAATTACTCTCTAAGAAACACTATCCTGTACCATGGGAAAGAAACTTAAATCCAGAGAAGCTTCTGCTAATAGCTCCCATCCCATTCCTCGCAGCTCGTAGACTAAACTCAATCTGCCCCACACAGTCTTCCAGAGAGTTCCAAGTGGGATTGAGCCCCAGTGGCCCACAGCAACAGACCCTCTCATTACTGTAGGCTTTGTTGACTCTTGTCACTCCCCGTCACTTCTCCTTCCCTGTGCTTTCTGGGATCACCTCCCAAATAGACTGCCTGCACCCAAGTCCTTATCTCTCAATCTGCTTTTTGGGGAAGCCAAATTAAAACACAACCCCTTGCTTCTAAGGCCCTTGTAAAATGTATTAGTTTCCTATTGCTGCTGTAACAAATGACGACAAACTCAGTGGCTTAAAACATGCAAATGTGTAATATGACAGTTCTGGAGGTGAGAAGTCTGAAATGGGTCTCCCTGGGCAAAAATCGAGGTGTCTTCAGGGCTGCATTCCTTCTGGAGACTCTAGGGGGAGAATGCTTTCTCTTGCATTTTCATCTTCTGGAGGCCATCTGCATTCCTTGGCTCATAGCCCCTTTCCCTATCTCCAGAGCCTGCAGGACAGCATCTTCAAATATCTCTGATTTGGATCCCCTACCCTCCCACCTCCCCCTTTCTCTTATAAGGACCCTATGTTACACTGGGCCCATCTGGGCAATCCAGGATAATCCCCCATCTCAAGATCCTTAACTTAATCACATCTACAAAGTCCCCTTTGCCATACAAGGTAGCTCATTTACAGGTTCTGGGGATTAGGACATGGGCATCTTTGGGGGTTATTATTCTGCCTGTCATATCCTTCGTATCTCACAGGGCTGTTTAAAGGATGGATGGGAGAAGATGTGTGTGTGGGCACATAGTGGGAACATGGTAATGTAAATTTTTTTCCCTACGTGACGGTATGATCCTGAGGAAGAGCTTGATTCCTGATGGAGGTCCCCTTAGAAAACACAGTCACGTGGACCAGAAGCGGCCCTGATCCAATTCCAGCCAAACTGTGGCAGGCGCTGTCAGTACTCCCCCACCCTTCCACATCCTTCAGCCTCTTCTTCCCAGAGGTTCCCTGCAGTTTCTGTGGGCAGTTCCTGGTCACGCTGGTGGTTTCATACTGTAGGCACAGGTGTCTCTCTGCCGGAGGTCTTTCTCTGGCTGCAGTAGTGGCCTCAGCTTTCAGTGGCACAGACGACCCCAGGAGTAATTTTTTTTTTTTTTAAGACTGAGTCTCACTCTGTCATCAGGCTGGAGTGCAGTGGTGCGTCTCAGCTCACTGCAACCTCTGCCTCCCGGGTTCAAGTGATTCTCCTGCCTCAGCCTCCCAAGTACCTGCGCCACCACGCCCAGCTAATTTTTGTATTTTTAGTAGAGATGGGGTTTCACCATGTTGGCCAGATGGGCTCGATCTCTTGACCTCATGATCTGCCTGCCTCGGCCTCCCACAGTGCTGGGATTACAGGCGTGAGCCACTGTGCCCGGCCAACCCCAGGAGTAATTCTTAACCAGGAAGGTTTGGGTATCGATGGGTGTTATCCCATCGATAACACCAGGCCTGTGGCTGCTGCAACAAATTATCACAAACTTTGTGGCTTAAAAATTTGTTTTCTCAGTTCTCAAGGCCAAAAGGCTGAAATCAAGGTGTTGGTAGGGTCATGTGATTCCTGGAAGGCTCTAAGGAGAATCCTTCCATGCCTCTTCCAGCTCCTGCTGGCTCTTGGCATTCTTTGGCTTGTGGTTGCATCACTGCACTCTTTACCTCTAATTTCACATGGCCTTTTCCTTTTCTATGTCTCTCTCTCCCTTTATTTATTTATTTATTTATTTATTTATTTATTTATTTATTATTTTTTGAGACGGAGTCTCACTCTGTTGCCCAGGCAGGAGTGCAATGGCATGATCTTGGCTCACTGCAGCCTCTGCCTCCTGCGTTCAAAAGATTCTCCTGCCTCAGCCACCTGAGTAGCTGGGATTACAGGTGTGTGCCACCACGCTGGCTAATTTTTGTATTTTTAGTAGAGATGGAGATGGGGGTTTCATCATGTTGGCCAGGCTGGTCTCGAACTCCTGACCTCAAGTAATCCACCCCTGTTGGCCTCCCAAAGTGTTGGGATGACAGGCGTGAGCCACTGTGCCTGACCCTGTATGTATCTCTTAAAAGGACACTTGTCATTGGATTTACGGCTCAGCTGGGTAATCCAGGTTGATCTCATCTCAAGATCTTTAAGTTTACTCACAAAGACCCTTTTTCCAAATAAGGGCACATCCACAGGTTCTAGGGGTTAGGACATGGACATGTCTCTTTGGGGGCCACCATTCAACCCTGTATGGTGAGTAAACACTTGGCTTTTTTGCCCCTTGGGAACGCTTCTCATGTATGCTCCACACAGTCTTCCATGGAGTTCCAAGTGGGATTGAGCCCCATCAGCCCACAGCAACAGACCCTCTCGTAGCTGCAGGCTTTGTCGACTTTCTTCACTCCCTATCAGTTCTCCTTCACTGCTTCCTGGGCTCACTTTCCAAATAGACTACCTGCACCCAGTCCTTGTCTCCGGATCTGCTTTTGGGGGAACCCAAATTTAAAAATGCTCCCTTGCTTCTAAGGCCCTTGAAAGCAGCTGAAAGTCACATGTCAGCTGGCTTCCAGATGTAGCTTTGCCTGGGGCCACCTGCATTGTTGCATTCCTGGCTGATCTTTCTCTGTGGCCAGTCCTCTGGTCTCCCTGGCCTCTTTGCCCATCACATTGCCCTTGTGATTCCATAGCTTCATCTCTATCTCCTGGAGACCCCAGGCGACATGCAGGCTCAGCAGAGGGGAAGTAATTGCAAAGGCACCTGCTGCCTTAGATAGTGGAGAAAGTATCACAGTCAGCATGTGGCTTAATTGAGTTAAAGGAAAAAAAGTCCTGCTTCTATCTCCTCAGTAACTCTTTGCTCTTGACGGGATGCAGATAGAGCTCTTGACGGGATGCAGATAGAGCTCATCCCAGATGCACGAGTCAAGGACAAGGGGATTGCTGGGCTGCAGGCCTGGCTTTAGGAAGCTCCTGACCCAGAGAGGGTAGGAGCAGAGTGTGTGAACCACCGCCCAGAGCTCGAAGCCCTACGTAGGCCATGGGCCAAGGGGTGAAGAAAGGAGGGTGATTAGGGTGAAGGAGACAAGGGCTTTAGCTTTGGGATGGAGAGCATGACCCAGACACTTGGGAGAAGGTCAAACAGACAATCCTGCGCTCAGGGCTAGCAGGCAGAGAGAGTTGGAAAAGAGTGATCAGAGGTGATGGGGAGGTGCTCTCACTTCCTTCAGGTGCTCCAATCCCTCTGACCATCTGATTGTTCAAAGGCCAGGACAGTGATTGGATCACAGGGACCTGTGGGCAAGGCCACAGTGGGCTGTGCAGTTGCATACACACGTGTAGACTCCCCTTCCTGGGGACGTGCTGTCAGGCCAGCATGCCCTCCCTGCTGCTGCATTGCTACTGGAGCTTTAATGGAGGTAGAACGCATAACAGCGGTGAGTTCAAGCTCTGTGCTCCTGCCTCGGGTCTTTTGAGTTCTGTACTGTGTGGACCAGGCTTGGGCCCAGCTCATCACAGAAGAACATGGTGTTTCCTGCTTGATGACACCTCTATGATGAAGGCTCCCTAAGGAATCCTGCAGAGAGCCAGGAATCAGGCATTGTGGGGTGTCCAAATGTAATACCATCAAGATTTTACTTCTATTCTTAACATAAGGGTGACCCTGATTCTCTTTCCCTATCAGAAGCATGGGGAGGAGCTGGGGGAACTGTAGGGATTGGTCCAGAGTGGGAGAGGGGAATGGGTGTGTTGGGGACGGAAGGGGCTCCAGGGCTAGTGAGGTCCCAGGAGACTGTCAAGCACCAGGCATGTCTTTTACTTGGGAAATAAACTCACCAAAGCCTGATCTTTTGGTTACTTCAGGTTACTTAAGGTCCTTGTGTCACAGAATAAGGAAAAATAACTGGATTTTTTCGTCCAATAGGAGAGAACTGTTTTCCCTCCTATCTGTACTTCAAGCATAAAAATAGACTCTCAATCATGTGAGCACTTTGCACCTGTACCTTCTAGGTTGTCTTCCATTTGCCTCTGCAAGAAGCCCCTTCGTCTGTCACACCCAGAAGGCTTGTGTTTCATTGGGAGGTTGTCTCTATATGGCTGGAGAGGTGAAGAAGCAGTCAGATTAAATACAATCTTGACCATCAGGTTAAGGAAGTTAGGAGCAATGGGCTTTGTTCAGGAGCCACCTGGGATTCCTGGAAGGTTATTGAGCTGAGGGAGCACACAGTAGAAGAAGAGTCGCATGTACAAATATAGTAAGACTTGGTTTGGGGCAGGGACCTAACATTTCTGCAGCTGAATGTTTGATCTAAACACCTTTATGTGTGCTAGCCTCCCTGCCTGGGATGCTTGTCCCAGCTCAAATACCTCTATTTCTGCAGCTGAATGTTTGATCTAAATGCCTTTATGTGTGTTAGCCTCTCTGCCTGGGATGCTTGTCCCAGCTCAAATACCTCTTCTCAGAGAGGCCTTCCTAGAGTCCCTTCCCATCTAAATTAAGTTTCCTCTGTTACACTGTCTCATAGCTTCCTCTAGTTTTCTTTTTCTTTTTTTCTTTTTTTTAGATGGACTCTTGCTCTGTCACCCCAGGCTGGAATGCAGTGACGCGATCTTGACTCACTGCAACCTCCACCTCCCGAGTTCTAGCAATTCTCCTGCCTCAGCCTCCAGAGTAGCTGAGATTACAGGCACGTGTCACCACACCCAGCTAATTTTTGTATTTTTAGTAGTGACAGGGTTTCACCATGTTGGCCAGGCTGGTTTCAAACTCCTGACCTCAAGTGATCTGCCCGCCTTGATCCCCCAAAGTGCTGGGATTACAGCATTTACTACAATTCGGAAAGTTTTCATTTGTCTTGATCAGACCTTACATTCTTTTGGGGCAGGATCCGTGTTTTATTCATTGCTGTACTGGACAGAGTTAATCAGGCGAGAAAGACTATTTAAGACAATTGCAGTAGGGGAGGGAGATTGAACTTACCTCCCCGAAACAAAACCCAGGATGGTGTTTTTTTGTTTTGTTTTGATTTTTGTTGTGTTTTTTGAGATGGAGTCTTGCTCTGTCACCCAGGCTGGAGTGCAGTGGCGCAATCTTGGCTCACTGCAAGCTCTGCCTCCTGGGTTCACGCCATTCTCCTGCCTCAGCCTCCTGAGTAGCTGGGACTACAGCCACCCGCCACCATGCCCGGCTAATTTTTTGTATTTTTAGTAGAGACGGGGTTTCACCGTGTTAGCCAGGATGATATCGATCTCCTGACCTTGTGATCCACCCCACCTCGGCCCCTCAAAGTGCTGGGATTACAGGCGTGAGCCACTGCGCCAGGCCAAAGCAAAGAGGGTTTTTAAGCACTGGGGTGAGCTAGTGGGAAAGTCCTGGAGGACATTTGCGTTTGCTAATGTTGGTGCTTACCAAAGTTAGGCACCTTCCCTCCTGCAGAGACTGAGAGATTGTGGTGCTATCTTTCTTGATGATTGCATTTCAAAGGGATAACTGCCAGATCCTTGAGAAAGACATTCCTAGGTTGTAAAAATTGGCAAGAAACTGGGAGATTTACATCTCAAAAGGGGCAATTTTTATCAAAAACAAAACAAAAAAACTGTAGACTGCAAATCTTTTAAGGTAAATGTTTTAGAGAAAATGGCACCTGCAATCTCAGCCGTTTGGGAGGCAGAGGCGGGCGGATCACCTGAGGTCAGGAGTTTGAGATCACCTTGGCCAACATGGTGAAACCCAAGCTTTACTAAAAAATACAAAACTTAGCTGAGCATGGTGGTGTGCACCTGTGATCCCAGCTACTTGGGAGGCTGAGGCGGGAGAATCGCTTGAACCCAGGAGGCAGAGGTTGCAGTGAGCTGAGATCGCGACACTGCACTCCAGCCTGGGCAACCGAGTGAGACTGTGTCTCAGAAAAAAAGAAAAAAGTAAATGCTCTAAGAAAATGTTTGCCAGGACCTCAAAGTCAGAAAGAAACCTGTTTAAAGTTTAGTGAAACTGAGGGGAAGTTAAAACCATCTTGGTCAATGACCTCCCCTCCCATGCTACATTCCTCCCCTGCAGGACCTGGCAAAGATTCAGCAAATAACAGGTGTGTTTAATGTAAATTTGTCTTCAATATTTGTGTCTTTGTTTGGTTAATATTCATTTTCCTCTCTAGACTATGAGCTCCATGAGGTCAGGGATTATGCTGCCTTGTTCATTAGTGTAAACACAGCAGTGTCTGCTGCCTTCTAACAGGTATTCAATAAATGCTTATGGAAAGAATGAATAAATGAATGGATAGATGAAGAGATAGAAGCATCAAGGATGACTCTGGCTTCTCAGGATGGGTGAAAGAAGGTAATTAACAGGCCAGAGATGGCTGATGTGTGGGACTGACCGCAGAGCAAACAGTCACTTGATCCTGGGCCCTTAGTGGGGCATGGAGGCTCCCTGCTGCGTTCTCAAGGAGTGGGGGGCTCTTTGGTTTTGGTTTTGTGATAGAGATGATTAAGGGAGGTTTTTGGAGCCTGGGGAGATTGTTCATGCAGATTATACACCACTTACCTGCCCTCTGTTTGATTTCTAACAAGCCATAACGATCCTGGGGGAAATGACAATGTATGCTCTTTTGAGTTTATTTAGAAGATGGAGCTGAAACGAGGTGAGGACCCCCTTCCGGGCAACCCCACAGGCAGATGGATGCTGGCACATGTAATTACTTTCAGGGTCAAAGCAGCGCAATCAGCTCTTTTGTCAGCAGCATTCATTGAATAGTTTCATCGAACGCCTGAGAGTGATTTGTTCCAGCACTGGAGTAATTGTCCAATCAACTATAGGCTCCCTTGGGGGAAGGTGGTTTGAAGGAAGCATCCCGAATGTTTGTGATTAAGACTGGACAGCTTCCTTAATTAACTCAACAAACATTCATTAAGCACCTACTGTGTGTTGGGCCCTGTGCCAGGCCTTGCAGAAGGTAGGGGCGGGTTCTGGCTCTAAAGAACCTATGGATTGTTAAAGAGGATAATCTCATGTCTTCCCAGGTGCCTCAGCGAGGATCTCAGGGAGGAAAGGCTTGTTCCTGAAAGTGGAGGCTATGGATAGAGCAGGGCCTGGGAAGATGATGGGTAGGAGTGAGGGTAGGGATCGGGAGTTGGTATTGATGGACATTCAAAAGTCAGTTCTCAGGCTGGGTGTGGTGGCTCACACTTGTAATCCCAGCACTTTGGGAGACCAAGATGGGTGGTTTGCTTGAGCTTACGAGTTCAAGACCAGCCTGGGCAACATGGTGAAACCTTTCTTTAGCAAAAATGCAAAAAAATTAGCTGGGCATGGTGGCATGTGTCTGTCGTCTCAGCTACTTGAGAGGCTGAGGTGGGAGGATCACTTGAGTCTGGGAGGCAGGGGTTGCAGTGAGCCGAGATCACACCACTGCACTCCAATCTGGGTGTCAGAGTGAGACTGGTCTCAAAAAAAGAAAAAAAAAAGTCGATTCTCCATGGAAAAGTAAAAAACTGACCCACCTAATTGTTTCAAAAAAGGACCTCTTCGGATTAGATTCAGCACCGGAAATGGTAAGAAAAGAAGTTATGGAGAAAAGGGGCATCAGATCACAGGGGCTTGTAGGCTCAAGCAAGGAGTTGGAGGTTTTATTCTAAGCACTATAGGAAGCCCATGGAAGATTTTAAGCTGGGGAGTAACAGGATCAGAGCAGGGCCCAACAAAAAGTAAGCTTTCATTAAGCGTTGTTTTTGCTATTCAGTATTTGCAGTTAAAAAGAACAATCCTTCTGGACTGTGGCATGGAGAAAAGATCCATGGTGGATCTGGGACAACAGGGAGGAGGCTACTGCAATGGAAGCCAGAGATTGTTTGCCTCAGTATTTAGAGGAATGGAGAAAGGGACTGATTCCAGGAGAGATTATGGAGTTCAAACTGGCAGGACTTGATAAATGGCTGGAAATGGTGGGGAGCAGGGGAGAGAAAAGGAAAAAGCGAGGGTGAGATCCAGGTTTCTGGCTTGGAAGAATGAGTGGGTGGTGGATCTGTCTCTGGGGTTGGAGCAGGTGTGTGTGTGGCCTATGGGGAGATCACTTTTTCATATTGAATTAAAGAGCCAGTGGAGTGTCCAGTGTGCTGTTGGGTATATGAGGCTGGAGCTCTGAACCCAGCACATGCTTAATTTGTGTTCTCCCAAATGCTAAGACAAGAATCCAAGTGAAAGATATTTATTTGGGAAGTAGAGGTTGTAGGGGAGGAAAAGTTTTTTTTTTTTTTTTCCCTGTACCCTTCTGGCTGGGGGCCTGCAAATTAGACTGACAGAAGACAGATTAACAGGAAAAGAACCAAGTTTATTAACACATGCAGTGTACATATACATGAGAGAACTTAGTGATGAGTAACTCAAAGCAATGGTTAGAGCTTGGGTTTATATACCATCTTAACAAAGAACAATAATTTTGTAGAGAAGTGACAAGAAAAAAGAAAATGACTTTGAACTGCTAGGGGCAGCAAATTGTGGGAAGGTAAATATATGGGAAAATTAGTGGTAGAAAAGGGCTGGTTAGTAAGGTTTCTTTGTGTAGATGGCTTCATCATCTCATTTCTGGTGATAAGGTTGTTATCTCTTTCCTGGTATGTGAGTCGGGGAAACACCTTCACAAGAGGAATTTAAGTTCTGCTTTCAGGCAGATAGGGAAGGGTAGAGAGCTTGTCCGGTGTCTCCTTATTCTCAATTGCCTTCAGCTCAAAATAATCCTTATGCCAGAGTGGCATATTTTGGGATAGTATACTCTGAAACCCTTCAAGGTCACACAGATTGGGAAGTGAAACAAGGAAGACAAGATGCCAGCAAAGTGTGTCATTGAGCCATCAATCATGATGGTTTAATCCTGTGAGGGAACTTGAGGAAATGGTGCAAGACTTAGGCCTCAGACTGATCCCACACAAGAGGTGAGGGAACTGGGTATTTATATACCGGCTCCCTTAGTCATTGGTTGAAGGTGGCTCCTGAGAGTGTTCTTTACCTGGCACATCTGACCTATCATGCACTGGCAGGGCAGATTCCCATGGTTCCTGGAACAAGAGCCCTCAGGCATAGAGATATAGATGCTGACAGGTGGAATTCCCTGGAGCACAATAAAATGTCTAAGGGGTATGGGCAGGACATTGTGAGTGTTGGCTGCAAAGTTTAATAATGCAATTTATATAACATGTAAATTTCTATTCCAAGCTATTTCAAAACTGCTTTTCTACTTAATTTTATGTAAAATTGGCAGCATTAACTGCAACCTTCAAATAAAACCTAGTTGCAATTGGAGCAAATTATGTTCACAGTGCAGGGGGTAGGATGCAACTGTAACCAACTGGTGAGCTAACATTTCTACATTTCACCTACTTCAGATTCATTTGTTGGTTAGAGTCAAACATTTATTGAGCATCTAGTGTGTTCTGGGCTTCTTGCTAGGTACTTTACACATATGATCTTATTTAATCTTTATAATAACAAACCCTATGAGATACGTTTGGTTAGACCCATTTTATAGATGAAGAGGGTTTCAGTGATTTGCTCTTGTTGAAACAGTTTGTAATGAGCAGAGCCAAGTTTCAGCCCATTTTCATTTCTCTACCTTTTCCTGCCTCTTGGCAGGTAGAAATTACAAGAGAAATCTGTGCCCAAGCATTTGGCATACATTTGCGTTCAATGTTTATTGAAGTTCCCAGGTCCATCCAGTACTTACTGTCAGGGCTTAATAAGTTCTAAATAATAATGATTTTTCCCCCGGATGAATATAGATGCTTTCGTCAGCTGAGGCTGATTTCCACCTAATTTGCAGGGAATTTGTGCTGCACAATGATGAGCTAAATATTTATGCAAGGAGGATGTATGTACAAATCACATTTCCATAAGAAACACAAGGCAAATGAGAGTTCCCACAAAAAAGTTTATTGATGGGAAAAGATGCTTTAGAGAATTAAACATTAGCCAGAATTAACCAGCATTATCCAAGAGTTAGCCATATTTAGGCAATTTAGCTTTTATGCCAGAGAAGTATCTTTATAAAGAGTTGCCAAAGATTATTGGAGGACGAGTTGTTTTGCTCTTTGGCATTTAGGGAAAAAACTTGGGAATATGGAATTGCTCTTTCTTTGAATGACCAAGCCATCTTGCTGAATGACCATGGGCAAGTTGCTGCCTCTCTCTGAGCCTGTTTCTCAAGTTGTTATTTACTGTGTAGAATTGGATGTTCTTTAAGGCCCTCCTCTCTCCATCTTGTAATTATGTGTGCCACAACTCATTGTGTCTCTCAGTCTTTTGATCTACATTGAGGAGCAGGCACTTAACTTCAGACTGTCAGCCTTCGTACTGAAGAATGGAGCCAACATTTAGGCTTCCTACTGTATGCCAGGCACCTGATGTAAATCAACTCATTACTTCTTACAGCAGCTCTATAGCATAGGTTTTATTTCTAGTTTATAGTTAACTGCATACTCTTACTTTAAGATCACCATGGCAGGGCGTGGTGGCTCATGCCTGTGATCCCAACACTTTAGGGGGCGAAGGTGGGCAGATCAGGAGGTCAGGAGCTGGAGACCAGCCTGGCCAACATGGTGAAACCCTGTCCCTACTAAAAACACAAAAATTAGCCAGGTGTGGTGGCGGGTGCCTGTAATCCCAGCTACTCAGGAGGCTGAGGCAGGAGAAATGCTTGAAACGGGAAGGCAGAGGTTACAGTGAGCCGAGATTGTGCCACTGCACTCCAGCCCGGGCGACAGAGCGAAACTCCGTCTCAGAAAAAAAATCTCCATGGAGCAGGGCTGTTGTGGGGATTCCATGAGCAACCCTCCAGCAATTTGGCCTGGATTTGATGGACTCATCATTCTAGGCTTCTAAGGGCCTTCTCAGATGGCTATGCTTACTGCCTTTCTGGAAAATGAAGAAGTTCTGGGTGTGGCCCTGGCTTTTTCCCCACCCTGGCTCCATTGAGTCTTAGTCTGATCCTATCCAAGCCCTGGCCCTGCCTGGCTTCTGCCTGTGCATATGACACATGGCTGGAGATATGGGTGTAAGTTCCGGCCATACCCCACCTCTGCTTGGAATTCAGCTTTGCTGCCACCAAGACCCACAGCCAGACTTTTAGGCCCACTGAGGTTGTGACAGGGCTTTGAAGAGCTATAGAAAATTGTAAAAAACTTAGAGGTGTGAGGCTGTGTATGGTGGCTCACATCTGTAATCCCAGCAGTTTGGGATGCCAAGGCGGGAGGATCACTTGAGCCCAGGAGTTCAAGACCAGCCTGGATAACAGGGAGACCCTGGTCTCTACAAGAAATTAAAAATATTAGCCAGGTGAGGTTGTGCATGCCTGTAGTCTTGGCTACTCAGGAGGCTGAGGCGGGAGGATCCCTTGAGCCCAGGAGTTTGAGGCTGCAGTGGGCTATGATTTTGACACTGCACTCCATCCTGGGTGATAGAACAAGAGCTTGCCTCTAATAAATAAATGAATATATAAATTGAGAGGTGTGGTTTCACAGGAGACCAGAAACACAAAAAATCTCAACTCCCCTCCCCCATCTTTCTCTTTCAAATAACAGCTTTATTGAGATATAGTTCACATAAAATGAAATTCATCTTGTAAGAGAATACAATTCTGTGGTTTTTAGAATAGTCAGAGTTGCACAACCATCACTGCTGTTTAATTTGAGAACATTTTCATCACCCCCCAGGAAATCCCATATCCATTAGCAGTCACTCTTCATACATCCCCAGAAACCACTAATTTACTTTCTACCTCTGTGAATCTGCCTATTCTGAACTTTTATAGAAATGAAATCGTATAATATGTGGCCTTTTGTGACTGGCTTCTTTCACCAAGCATAATGTTTTCACGCTTAGTCCATTTTGTAACATGCATTAGTATTTCATTCACTTTATTCATTTATTCATGGGTGAATAATAGTCCATTGTGTGGGTATGCCACGTTTTATTTATTAGTTGAATTGATGTTCACGGACGTTTGGGTTATGCCCACTTTTTGGCTAGTTGGAATACTGCTGCTGTGAATATTTGTGTATATGTTTTTGTGGAGCCATGTATTTTCAGTTCTTTTAGGTACAGACCTAGGAGGAGAATTGCTGGGTCATATGTTAACCCCATATTTAACACTTGGAGGAACTACCAGACTGTTTTCCAAAGTAGCTTCACCATTTTCCAATCCACCTCCAAAAACTCTTATGGCTTATGCTGGCCGAAATGGGTTTGCAGATGCTGACAATTTATTGGAGCTTCAAGCCCAATTTGGTCCAAAGTCTCAGAGGAACACTCAGTTTGAATTACGGGATTGGATTTAACATTGCTCAAAAAGGCCTTCTATTGGGAGGCCGAGGTGGGCAGATCATGAGGTCAGGAGATCGAGGCCATCCTGGCTAACATGGTGAAATGCCGTCTGTACTAAAAATACAAAAAATTAGCTAGGCATAGTGGTAGGTACCTGTAGTCCCAGCTACTCAGGAGGCTGAGGCAGGAGAATGGCATGAACCCGGGAGGCGGAGCTTGCAGTGAGCCCAGATCGCGCCACTGCACTCCAAGCCCGGGTGACAGAAGGAGACTCCGTGTCAAAAAAAAAAAAAAAAGAAAAAAAAAAAAGGCAAACCTTCTAACGTCTACGGTGCTGCACCCTAAATATCCTCTAGTAAAATTCAAAATATAGTACAGTCTTGGACTTGAGTTGTTGAGTAAGCTGTGGTCTAGCACAGGAAGAACAGTTTAGAATAGTGCTTATCTTGCTTTGAGTTCTCTTAGAAGGAGATCCTGAAATAAGGATTTGAGCACAAGTAATATCCTTGGCATGTCATCCCAAGAAACACTGGTCCAGGAGTAGGGGAAGTGAGACAGAGAAGGGAAGGAAGCCAGAAAATGGCGTGTTATCCAGCAGGTTACCACTGTGGGCGACTAGAGCTCAATTCATTTGGGGAACTGGGATCCAGTATAGAACCTGCCTTAGAGGTATCCCAATTTATAGATAAGGAAGTTGGGGCATCTATCCATCAATTCCTGATCTATCTTCCTGTGCACTGGCCATGCACCTGTAGCCACAGGTGGAGAGTTGCAATGTTTGCCCTAAGTGACCTTCAGTGTGTGGAGGTAGGTGCTGAGGGACTGCAGGCAAGGAACTAGCAGCATCAGTCAGGGGCCATTCCACAGTGGTGCTTAAGTGTGGCCCACCAGAGGCCATCTCCACCAGCATTAAACGGGTCTGATTGGCCGGGCGTGGTGGCTCATGCCTATAATCCCAGCACTTTACGGGGCCAAGGCAGGCGGATCACCTAAGGTTGGGAGTTCGAGACCAACCTGACCAACATGGAGAAATCCCGTCTCTACTAAAAATACACAATTAGCTGGGCGTGGTGGCACATGCCTGTAATCCCAGCTACTCGAGAGGCTGAGGCAGGAGAATCCCTTGAACCCAGGAGGCAGAGTTGGTGGTGAGCCGAGATCACACCACTGCACTCCAGCCTGGGCAACAAGAGTGAAACTCAGTCTCAAAAAAAAAAAAAAAAAAGTCTGATCAAAATATCATGTAAGCCCTCTCCCTCTCCCGCTCCCTCTCCTGCTTTCCACGGTCTCCTCCCTCCCTCGTCTCTGTCTCCCACTTTCCACGGTCTCCCTCTGTTGCCGAGGCTGGACTGTACTGCCGCGATCTCGGCTCACTGCAACCTCCCTGCCTGATTCTCCTGCCTCAGCCTGCTGAGTGCCTGGCATTGCAGGCGCGCGCCGCCACGCCTGACTGGTTTTTGTATTTTTTGGTGGAGACGGGGTTTCGCCGTGTTGGCTGGGCTGGTCTCCAGCTCCTGACCTCGAGTGATCTGCCCGCCTCGGCCTCCCGAGGTGCCCAGATTGCAGACGGAGTCTCGTTCACTCAGTGCTCAGTGTTGCCCAGGCTGGAGTGCAGTGGCGTGATCTCGGCTCGCTACAACCTCCACCTCCCAGCCGCCTGCCTTGGTGTCCCAAAGTGCTGAGATTGCAGCCTCTGCCCAGCCGCCACCCAGTCTGGGAAGTGAGGAGCGCCTCTTTCCAGCGGTCATCCCGTCTAGGAAGTGAGGAGCGTCTCTGCCTGGCCCGCCCATCGTCTGGGATGTGGGGAGCGCCTCTGCCCGGCAGCCCGTCTGGGATGTGAGGAGCGTCTCTACCCAGCCGCAACCCCGTCTGGGAACTGAGGAACGCCTCTGCCCGGCCGCCAAGTCTGGGAAGTGAGGAGCCTCTCTGCCTGGCCGTCACCCCGTCTGGGAGGTGTACCCAACAGCTCATTGAGAAGGGGCCATGATGATGATGGCAGTTTTGTCGAATAGAAAAGGGGGAAATGTGGGGAAAAGAAAGAGAGATCAGATTGTTACTGTGTCTGTGTAGAAAGAAATAGACATAGGAGACTCCATTTTGTTCTGTACTAAGAAAAATTCTTCTGCCTTGGGATGCTGTTAATCTCTAACCTTACCCCCAACCCCGTGCTCTCTGAAACATGTGCTGTGTCAACTCAGGGTTAAATGGATTAAGGGCGGTGCAAGATGTGCTTTGTTAAACAGTTGCTTGAAGGCAGCATGCTCGTTAAGAGTCATCACCACTCCCTAATCTCAAGTACCCAGGGACACAAACACTGCGGAAGGCCGCAGGGTCCTCTGCCTAGGAAAACCAGAGACCTTTGTTCACATGTTTATCTGCTGACCTTCTCTCCACTATTGTCCTATGACCCTGCCAAATCCCCCTCTCCGAGAAACACCCAAGAATGATCAATAAATACTAAAAAAATTAAAAAAAAAATATCATGTAAGGCCAAGCAGTGGCTCATGCCTGTCATCCCAGCACTTTGGGAGGCTGAGGCAGGAGGATTGTTTGAGGCCAGGAATTTGAGAACAGCCTGGGCAACATAGGGAGACACCTGTCTCTATAAAAATAAAAATATTAGCTGGGCATGATGCACACCAGTAGTCTCAGCTACTTGGGAGGCTGAGGTGGGAGGATCCCTTGAGCTCAGGAGGTCGAGGCTGCAGTAAGCCATGATCGGCCCCACTGTACTTCAGCCTGGGCGACAGTGAGATCCATTCTCTAAAAAAAGTCATGTTAAGGCTGTCTCTGTTGACTTAAAGGAATCAAAGGTAGGACAAATAAAATCTTTTTCTAAACCCCTCCCTGAGGTAGAAAGCACAAAGCTTCTGGAACAGGGGAAATAGCATATGTATACATTTATGTATATATATATAAATTGAAGTTAGAGGTGGTTCTTTAAGAAAAAAAAATGGGGCAATTGAAAGGCATTTGCTGAAGTAGTCAGAGTTGAGAGGCAGGAATAGAAATGGAAATTAGATTCTGCCTTGAGACAACTTCGAGGGACAAACAAGGGCCAGGAATTGTGCCAGTTCCCCACAGATCAAAACCTCCGGGCTCCGCACAGCCCTGAGCGCATGTCTATCTTTAGGCCGTGGAAGAAGGGCTGGTGGAGCGGCAGCTTCCAAACCCCACTGGAGACCACAGCCAGCTGGGGCATGGGAGGAAGATAGCAGTCTGGGGGTCTCACCCTGGAATCCCCAAGGGTGGGGCCTGGGAAGCTGCCTTTTAACAAGCACCCCCGAGTCAAGTGACTATGAATCAGATGTGGGGACCTCTGGGAGGAGACAGTAATACTGCGATAAATATCCGGACGTTTTTGGAAAAAGAAGGAAAATATGCCCCTTACTGGGTTCCCTTCTTGGCCTTCCTGGGTGTCCTACTTAGGTGTTGCTGGCACACACTTTATGGCCAGTTCAGGCTCTTTTGTCCCTCCCCAGGCTAAGATATCCAGCAGGAATGTCTGTTGGGCCTGAGATTTCATCTTTGGAAATGATGGGCATCTCAAGAGTTGGGTGGTGCTCTCTGGAAGGCATCATCTGAAACAAGCAAACAAGCAAACCCTCACACAGACAGTCTAGGCAGGTAAGAGGGATGCCAGCAGAGTTGCTGTAACCGGTCTCTCTAAACCCATGAAAGGACATTTAATCTTCTTCTCACTCCCTTTGGACTTTTTTTCTTTTCTTTTTGAAATGGAGTCTCGCTCTGTCACCTAGGCTGGAGTACAGTGGCATGATCTCGGCTCACTGCAATCTCTACCTCCCGGGTTCAAGCGATTCTTCTGCCTCAGCCTCCTGAGTAGCTGGGACTACAGACGTGCATCACCACCCCTGGATAATTTCTGTATTTTAGTAGAGACGGGATTTCACCACGTTGGCCAGGCTGGTCTCGAACTCCTGACCTCAGGTGATCCACACTCCTTGGCCTCCCAAAGTACTGGGATTACAGGCGTGAGCCACTGCACCCGGCAGGACTTTTCTTAGTGTTATGTGTTGCGGGTGAGACCGGCTGGGGCTGGCATCACAGGCAGTAAAATAATTTACCAAGACAGTCATAGGTAAATAAAGGCAGATTTGCTAGAGAAAGTACAAAGATATGTTGCAAGGGTGCAACAGGCAGTACTACAGAGAAAGGGCTGTCTGCCAAGAAGCAGGGGCTGGAGGGAAGTTTTAAAGGGTACTACCAGAGGGGCTACGTGCAGATAAGGTGTGTAGGTAGGGTCATGCTGCTGAGGCTACATGCGGAATGAGGATTTGGAATAGGATGTTGTGGCAGTGGGTTGTCTGTGATTATCTGTCTCTCAGAATGATTGTTCCCCTGAAACCTGCAGCCCCTTCTGTATTGTTGTTTACTTATTAGGACCCCACATTATGGATTAAATTGTCCTCCCCAAATTCATATGTTGAAGTCCTAATTCCCCGTCCCTAATAATGTGACCTTATTTGGAGATAAGGTCCTTCCAGTTAAAATGAAGGTGGGCTTCAATCCAAGATGACTGGTATTCTTATAAACAGGTGAAATTTGGAGACAGATAGACATGCAGCCAGAGGGGACGCCAAAAGAATAGGAAAATGTCTACCTCCAAGCCAATGAAGGAGGCCTGGGACAGCTCCTTCCCTGCTGGCCCTAAGAAGGAACCGATCCTGCCTGACACCTTGATTTTGGACTTCTAACTTCCAGAACTGTGAAATGGTGAATTTCTGCAGTTTAAGCCACCCAGTCCATGGTACTCTGTTACAGCAACCGCAGCAAAATAAAGACAGTGAGTTTCCTTACCAGTGAGGCCTACTTCTCAAATTTCCCTCCATTTTTTTCTCTCCATCTTCACAGCCTTTACTGTATTCGAAACCACCACCACCTCCCCAGCTCCTGCCCTAGCTCTGCCTTTGTCTTTCTGCTTTTACTCTGTCCCTCCTGCCATTTTTCTCTGCCCAGCCACCAGCACCATGTTTTATAAACACACACCTCATAGTGTCCCTCCCATGCTTAAAACACTTCTGTGGCTCCCTGCTGTTTTGAGGACAAAGACGCGAATCCTCAGTTACCAGGCTGTGTGTGGCTGAGCCTTGTCCACCCCTCAGCTTTCTTCCTAGGTTCTCTCACGCCATTCTTCTTTCAGTTCCAAATGATCCTGTCTTCCATCTCCAGAATCTCTGCCTGGAGCCCTTCTTCTTACCCTCTGTGTTAGGTGGTTCTTGGGTTGCTATAAATAAACACCGGAGGCTGGATAATTTATATAAAAGAAAAAAGTTTAATTGGTTCACAGTTTTGTAGGCTGTAGATGGTGCTGGCATCTGCTCAGCTTCTAGGGAGGCCTCAGAGAACTTTTACTCACAGCAGAAGGTGAAGTGGGAGCAGGCACATTACATGGCGAAAGTAGGAGCGAGAGAGAGTGTGTGTGGGCGGCAGGGTGGAGAGGGGGTACCACTCACTTTTAAATGACCAGATCTCATGACAATTCACTATCGAGAGGACAGAACCAAGCCCCCATGACCCAGACACCTCACCAGGTCCCACCTCCAACACTGGGGTTTACATTTCAGCATGCGATTTGGGTGGGACATCCAAATGATATCACCCTCCCCTTCTCCTAGGTGACTCCCCTTCCAGGAAGCCTCAATTAAAGCTGTTCCTGTGGGGTGATCAGGCTGGATTTTTTTTCTGTCCTGAGCTAACACCCTGTGCTATTTCATGGTCACAGCTACACATTGGGAATGAATAATTTTTGTCATGATTGATTTAATGTCTTCATAGAATGCAAACTCTACCAGGGCAGGGATTTTTGTTCTGTCTGTTCAATTCTGTATCCCCAAGACCTGGAACAGTGGCTGGCCCAGAGTAGGTGCTCAGTAAATATTTGTTGCATAAACAAATTAATAATATGTTCTGACAAAAAATAAATAAAATAACCCCCCCAAAGCCCCTGTTTGAAATGCTTGTTCCCTGGTGCCATAAAGAAATAGCACTTGAACATCAATTTAATTTTCTCAGCAAGGCAATTTTTACTTTTTGCAGAAAGGGTACACTCGCCAGTAGTTTTGCCATGAGAGTACACTGAACAAAGGAGACAGGGTTATTTATAACCTGACGTGTCCACCCTACTGTTGCGCCTGGTTTCCATTGGCTAGAATGGGACCTCACATTCTGTATGTGTCCCGATTGGCTAGCAACTTGGAACCTTCTAAAAGAGGCAAAGGCAGAGGAAAACAAAGGAAGGAGGAAGTAACTTGTGGAATGCTGAGAAAGGTAAAAACACCTCCAAAGAAGGAAGACAAACAGGCTATGACCTAATCTTGCGTGGACTAGTATTAAGCATGCCAGGGCAAATTGTGGGAGCAAAGAACACAAAGTACGTTGATTTCTTTATTACAGCTAGCAGATACCTAGTAATGTTAGCACAGGTCTTTGAGTAAATTTTGCTTCTTTTTTTTTTTTTATTGACCATTCTTGGGTGTTTCTCACAGAGGGGGATTTGGCAGGGTCATAGGACAATAGTGGAGGGAAGGTCAGCAGATAAACAAGTGAACAAAGGTCTCTGGTTTTCCTAGGCAGAGGACCCTTTTGGCCCTCTGCAGTGTTTGTGTCCCTGGGTACTTGAGATTAGGGAGTGGTGATGACTCTTAACGAGCATGCTGCCTTCAAGCAACTGTTTAACAAAGCACATCTTGCACCGCCCTTAATCCATTTAATCCTGAGTGGACACAGCACATGTTTCAGAGAGCACAGGGTTGGGGGTAAGATCATAGATCAACAGGATCCCAAGGCAGAAGAATTTTTCTTAGTACAGAACAAAATGAAAAGTCTCCCATGTCTACTTCTTTCTACACAGACACAGCAGCCATCCGATTTCTCAATCTTTTCCCCACCTTTCCCCCTTTTCTATTCCACAAAACCACCATTGTCATCATGGCCCGTTCTCAATGAGCTGTTGGGTACACCTCCCAGACGGGGTGGTGGCCGGGCAGAGGGGCTCCTCACTTCCCAGTAGGGGCGGCCGGGCAGAGGCGCCCCTCACCTCCCGGACGGGGCGGCTGGCTGGGTGGGGGGCTGACCCCCCACCTCCCTCCCGGACTAAATTTTGCTTCTAAGAGAAGTTATTATTTATTCTTAATTAGACAGGAAAGTCTCTTTGAAGAGGAACCTCTACTTTAACTTTTCACACCCCCAAAAAACAAATGATTAAGAAGAGCATGGACCTGGTCTGCCTTGTTCATTACTATTTCTCCAGCCCTGAGAGCAGTGCCTGCTAAGAGTAGATTGTCAGTGAGTGTTAGGAGAGGGAGAAGAGGAAAGGGAGGGGAGGGGAAGGGAAGACCAGCTGGATGGGATGGAATCTCCTCAGACTGAACTTCCCAGGGTGCAGTCCCTCTCAGGGAGCTCTAATGGGGAGACCCTCCCGCCAAGAGACCAGTGGGACACAGTCTGGCTTAACCGTGAAGCTTCAAAGAACAGTATCCTGGGTAGAAAGGAAAAGAAGGGATGGTTGAAAAGCATGGTGGGAAGAGCTTAGGGGCAATTGAGGGGCTGAAGAGAAGCGTGCTGAGGGGACATTTTTTCAGATATCCCTAGGTTCTGCTGGCTGGAGGCTGGTGTGAGAACCTGGCCGGGAGAACAGACAGCTCACCCAAAGCCCACTCCCAGCCTAGGGGCAGCATGCACGCAGAGTTCTTGGGTTGTGTGCCCAGTGGGCTGCATTTCCAGCAGTCACCATGGCACATGTTGTGTTAGGGTTTTGCCCCCCACCCCCACTGCCTTCTCCCAACTGTAGACTTTTCTTATAGGATAAAATATTAATCTCATATATATGTATGAGGCTCCCAGTTTAAAAAACAAACCCTTCTTTCCCAAGGCATTTGGCTCTTCCAGTTTCCTGTATTAGAAAATTAGAACGTATTCCCAAGGTCCTCCCGCAGGCCGGCCCCCTTATTGAGAGACCCCCTGGCTCTCCTGTCCAAGGGCCTTGCAGGAGGAATCCCTCCTCTGAACCTCTCTATGGCCCAGCTCCCTGCATTTCAGGGCACTTCAGCACATTGTCAGGCTGTTTGCGTTTGGATTGCAAAGCAGTCAAATATGTTTTCAAGGGAGAGGAGGGAGAAAAAAAATTCCGCCCCACCCCACCAGATCCTTCTTGGGAAGCATCCACAGGCATGGCTCGGTCTCCAGATTGGAGCCGGAGCTGAGAAACAGCCGGATGACGGATGCTGGCGAGAAACCACCGGTTCTCAGGCCCCGCCTGATGCAGTTCCTCCAGCAAAGATTCTTTGGCATCGTGGACTATCTGTCTGCTTCTCTGGACGTCTGCAGCGTCTTCTCACTCCCTCTTCCCTAGTAACAAGGCTTGAGTCAGGTATCTTTGAATTAGGAACTCCTCAAGCACAACGTCAATAAGATAAAATAAGGAAAGTGTAAATAAGAAAATGGAAAGATTTACTATATTAAAATGTTCACTGTGGTATAACAAATGTGATGGGATAATTTATTGAGATGACTTTGTGCTCTGTTGATGCTGCTATGCTAGAATCAGAAAGATTTAGTACAATCTGCTTTGGTTTCTGATGATTTTCTTCCTGTCTACCCTGTGTCCAAGGATATATCCTCTTGCCTCCAGTGGGGGTAGAGAACTGCACTCTAGACCTTAGGTGAGCCTGCAGTGAAGGAACAAATGCCCTTTTTGCCCGTGTTCCCAGGCTCCATTAGCCTTTTGCTATAGGCTCACAGTGATCTCCCTTCTGTGCCTCAGTTTCTTCATCTGTAAAACGGGCACAATAATATTCTCATGGGGCAATTGTGAGGATTGGGTGAGTTAATATAGGTAAAGCACTGAAAACACTATCTGGCACATTGGCACATAGTAAGTACTCAATAAATGTTGGGTATTATTGCTTATTGTTTTCTTCTTTTCTCTTTCTTTTTTTTTCTTTTTTTTGTTTTTTGTTTTTTTAGAGATGGGTCTATGATAGCATAGACATGCTATCATAGTGCCCAGGCTAGTCTCAAACTTCTAGGCTCAAGCAATCTCCTGCCTCCCAAAGTGCTGGGATTACAGATGTGAGCCACTGTGCCTGGCCATTATTAATTATTATTATCACAACTGTATAGAGTCAGAGAGGGAGAGAAAGATTAAGGATATGTGTCAGTTATCCAGAGAAACAGAATCAGTAAATATACTCTGTGTGTGTGTGTGTGTGTGTGTGTATGAAGAAATTTATTTCAAGGAACTGACACACATGATTGTGGGGCCTGGCAAGTCTGAAATCTGTAGGGCAGGCTGGAAGACTGGAAACTCTTGGGCAGAAGCTGATGTTGCAGTCTTGAGGCAGAATTTCTTTCTTTAGGAAACCTCAATTTTGCTCTTAAGACCTTTCAATTGATTGGATGAGATCCACCCACCTTATGTAGGATAATCTCCTTTCTTTAAAGCCAATTGATTGTAGATGTTAACCACCTGTACAAAATATCTCCCCAGCAACCCTCAGATTAATGTCTGATTGACTAACGGTACTATTGCCTGGCCATGTTGACATGTAAACTTGGCTCTCAGGATTCTAATCTGGTTAATTTGTCCCTCTGTAAACAGAGTGCACTGCCTGGTGGGCCTGATCCCCCCTGGGAAGCTTCCTTCCTCTTCTCTTGCTCCTGCTTCTCCTCCTCCCATTTCTTTTTCTTTTTTGAGATGGATTCTCGCTCTGTTGCCTAGGCTGGAGTGTGGTGGTGTGATCTCGGCTCACTGCAACCTCTGCCTTCTCGATTTAAGTGATTTTTCTGCCTCAGGCTCCTGAGTGGCTGGGACTACAGGTGCACGCCACCATGCCCGGCTAATTTTTGTATTTTTAGTAGAGATGGGGTGTCACCATATTGGCCAGGCTGGTCTCTAACTCCTGACCTCGTTATCTGCCTGCCTTGGCCTCCCAAAGTGCTGGGATTACAGGTGTAAGCCACCACACCCGGCCTCTGGCCTCCTCCTACCTTTTCAATGCTGCCTCTTCTCTTAAGGTCACTTACCTCCCCTGCAGTCCTGACCGTTGATGTGACTCTTCTCTTTCTTCCTTATTTCCCCTATGTCTTTTGGGTTCTTGGGGTGACAGAGGGGAAAAAGTCCAAAGAGGGACCCTGGACTCACAAAGGCAGCTTGCTTCTCCTTTGTTCAGGGTTGACCCTGGCTATTAAAGGAAGAGAAAGATCAGACATCACTCACTGCCAGGGTGACCCACCCAGCTTTCAGGAACTCATGAAGCTGACAGCTTGTCTATCTCCTTCCCAGTCTTTAATTACATGAACAGGCTCCCTTTCCTTGTCCCTTGCTCCATCCATTTTTCTTGGCTTTTTTTTTTTTTTTTTTTTTTGAGACAAGAGTTTTGCTCTTGTCACCCAGGCTGGAGTACAATGGCACAATCTTGGCTCACTGCAACCTCTGCATCCTGGGTTCAAGCGATTCTCCTACCTCAGTTTCCTGAGTAGCTGGGATTACAGGCATGCGTCACCACACCTGGCTAATTTTATATTTTTAGTAGAGACATGGTTTCACCATGTTGGTCAGGGTGGTCTTGAACTCCTGACCTCAGACGATCCACCCATCTCGGCCTCCCAAAGTGCTGGGATTACAGGCGTGAGCCACCGCGCCCGGCCTTTTCTTGGCATTGATCACAATAGATGGGAGAGAGACATTCCTATTCCCATGGTGATTGTCTATCAGCCAGGAGTTTTGCTTGGAAGATGTGGTGTGCCACACGTGCATTTCTCAATCAGTTTTAAAGTGTGTCTTCCACCCACACCCCCTTCCTCCATGGGCTCATGACTCTTCTGCTGCAAATTCCTTATTACGCACAACTTTGTCACCGTCTCCTTCTGGTTGTAAAATTTTATTTTAAAACAGTGTTTGCTGTGAAATATTTACAGATGAAATTATATCCTTTCTGAAATTTGCTTCAAAATAATGCAGGAAAGGTAAGTGGGTGGGGTATCGTTAAAACTAGGTCTGCCATAAATTGATGTTAATCAAAATAATATTAATACTATAATAATTGTTGAAGCTGGGTGGTGAGTATATGGGGATCATTATACTATTCTGTCTACTATTGAATATGTTAAAAAAATTTCCATAGTGAAAAATTTACAGAGAAGAAAACACTATGAAGTCCTTAAGTAATGTTTCCAATACAGTTCCGCAAAAATATACCCAAGATGTTTGATTAAATATATGATTTAATGTGTTCTTAACTCTTCAAGACCTGAGACAACAGGATGTTGTTGGGATTGGCAAACTCTGTACAGGCCAAATAGTAAATATTTTTAGCTTTATGGGCCATATAGTCTTTCCTGATTGGAGTGCAAAAGCAGCCATTGGCAATGTGTAAATGAATGTGCATGGCTATGTTCCAATAAAACTTTATGAGCACTGAAATTTGAATTTCATATTTTCACATGTCATATTATGAGATAGATTTCTTTATTTAAAAAGAGACATTAAAAATATAAAAAAACACTCAATTTGCAGGAGTTATAAAAACAAACGGCAGGCTGGGTTTGGCTTGTGTGTCATGGTTTGCCAACCCCTGTTATTGACTGTAGTTTAACAAACTGGAGATGGCCAGCAAGTTAATTTGGCCTTCCAGAATTGATTTGTTTCTTTGAAGAACCTTGAAAATAAAACCTCGCCTGTCATCTCTGTGTATGTTAAAAAAACAAGCAAACAAAATAAAACAAAAACTCAAGCCAACTACAGCATGTTAATTGAAAAAGAATAAAATAATTAAGATGTGAACAAAGTACAAGACTGAAAGACTCCGTTCCTCATTGCACATCCCCTATCCCACTACCCAGAGGTAACAATCAGGGTCCCAGTCCTCCAGGGACCCCAAAACACCTTCTCAACCTTCTTTCTTCCCCAGAAGGCCAGACATACATCAGTGCAACTGCGAGGACCAAGAAGAGAACAAGATATGCTGAACTCTTCCTCCAGTATAAAGAATTATATACTTTATATTTTGAGAATTGGTCCACCCACTGGCAGGTGAGCTCTTGGTCCTATCTGATAAACCAAGAGAGAAGGAATGGTTCTACGTCTGAGCTGATATGTGTCAGTGTTGCTCTAAAAAATAGGTGACTCTTTTGCTGTGCAGAAGCTCTTTATCATCAGAGTAAACAGGCAACCTATAGGATGGGAGAAAATTTTTGCAATCTGTCCATCTGACAAAGGGCTAATATCCAGAATCTACAAGGAAGTTAAACAAATTTACAAGAAAAAAGCAACCCCATCAAAAAGCAGCCAAAGGATATGAACAGATACTTCTCAAAAGGAGACATTTATGTGGCCAACAAACATATGACAAAAAGCTCATCATCACTGTCATTAGAGAAATGCAAACCAAAACCACAATGAGATACTGTCTCACGCCAGTTAGAATGGTGATCATTAAAAAGTCAGGATGTGTTTATTTCACATGGCATGCCTGTATCAAAACATCTCATGTATCCCATAAATATATGGTAAAACAAATAAAAATAATTTAAAAATTAAAAAAAACGCAGGAAACAACAGGTGCTGGAGAGGATGTGGAGAAATAGGAATGCTTTTACACTGTTGGTGGGAGTGTAAATTAGTTCAACCATTGTGGAAGAACTGTGGCGATTCCTCAAGGATCTAGAACCAGAAATACCATTTGACCCAGCAATCTCATTACTGGGTATATACCCAAAGGATTATAAATCATTCTACCATAAAGACACATGCAAATGTATGTTTGTTGCAGCACTGTTCACAATAGCAAAGACTTGTAACCAACCCAAATGCCCATCAGTGATAGACTGGATAAAGAAAATGTAGCACATATACACCATGGAATACTATGCAGCCATGAAGAAGGATGAGTTCAACCAAACACTCATGTTCTCACTTGTAAGTGGGAATTGAATAATGAGAACATGTGGACACAGGGGGACATCATACACCTGGGCCTGTCGGGGGTTGGGGGGCTAGGGGAAGGATAGCATTAGGAGAAATACCTAACGTAGATGACGGGTTGATGGGTGCAGCAAACTACCATGGCACGTGCATACCTATGTAACAAACCTGCATGTTCTGCGCATGTATCCCGAACTTAAAGTATATATATATATATGACTTATGATACCTCTTAGCAGGGTCCCAATAGGGAGCCCAGACCTTAGGCAAGGATTTATCCCTGCCTCAACTTTCCTAGTTTCTCTGGCCCCATCTGGATCTCCAGCCATGGGCAGCTAAGTTTTCTGGTTGAGTTGTGGGCCTGATGTCTCTACCTTTTTGCTTTTTATCTCCTTCTCTTTCCATTAAAAAAAAATTTTATGAGAGTGGACACTAATTTGACTCTTATCTTCTTTTCTATTTTTTCCCATAGGGAATCAAACAGGCTATTTTTGTTCAGAAGATGGTAAAATACATTGAAAGCAGAGAGAAAAAAAGCACGAGAGAGAATGCGCCCACTGCTTCCGCTGGGATCCTCACCTCCTGTTCTTGAGTTTTCTATGGGAGGCAGTTAGGTACTCAGAACAAAGCCTAAGTGGTGTGTGCCCACGTGTGTGTGTGTGTGTGTGTGTGTGTGTGTATGTGCGTGCGCACATGCGTGTGTGCTGTGTTTCCTTTTTAGAACCGTGGAGGAGCCTCAGGGATTAGCTGGTCCAAACCACTGACCTCATAGATGGGGAAACAGAGACTCAGAGAGGTTGAAGGCCAAAAGTGGGGGAGGAGTGGCTGCAGGGTGTCTGACAGCCAAGAAGTGAGGGCGGCCAGGTCAACATGGTCCTTGAATGCCCAGCTTGAGACTTGCCCTCTTCTGGGGGTAGTGAAAGTCTCCTGGGAGGTTCAGGCAGGGCAGTGGTGGTCCAGATATGTTTCAGAGGGATCGTATTGTTCTGTAGATGAAGGACTGTGGAGTGTGAGGCTGGAGCTGGGCAGCCTGCAGGGAGGTGAGGAAGGATGGACTGTGTTTGGTGATAGGGGGTGGTCAAAGAGGGAGAGGAGCTACTGGCTTGGGAGAGAGGCAGAGTCAAGGCGGGGCTTTTGCCCACCTCAGGAGATGTGCACCTTCAAGGGTGGGCGAGAAGGAATCTTGGGGTGGGAAAGACTGAAGATAGGAGATGATCACCCAGATAGAGCAACATCTTGGAGGTGGGGATCCGGGGCCAGGTGAGAGAGGAGGGGAGGACAGAGGGGGCAGGGGGTGGCCTTGACAGCTGGGAAGTCCAGCCTGCAGGTTTGTGCCCAGCCACAAAGACTGACCTGTGATGCAACTGCTGTCAGTTGAGGTTCTGGTGTCAGGAGTCCTTGGCCCTAGAGGACATTGCTACTGAGAGGACAAGCCAGATGGATGAGCACTAGACCTTAGGGTCCCCACTGTCCCCTGCACACCATGCCCTCATGACTCTTGGCAGGAAGTGGCATCCAGGTGGTGCCAGCTACTGTTTAATGATGGTTTATGTGAGAAAGCAGAGAAGTTCATGAGCGCTGGGCACGGTGGCCCATGCCTGTAATCCCAGCACTTTGGGAGGCCGAGATGGGCGGATCACCTGAGGTCGGGAGTTCAAGACCAGCCTGACCAACATGGAGAAACCCCATCTCTACTAAAAATACAAAATTAGCCAGGTGTGGTGGCACATGCCTGTAATCCTAGCTACTCGGGATGCTGAGGCAGGAGAATTGCTTGAACCTGGGAGGCGGAGGTTGCATTTAGCCGAGATTGTGCCATTGCACTCTAGCCTGGGCAACAAGAGCAAAAAACTATGTCTCAGAAAAAAGTTCATGACCACAATGAAAAATTGCCCACTGGACAGCTGGACATCCCCTATCTGCGTCCCTGCCTTTACTTTTTGGGCCAGATTTCTTCATAATATCAAGCAGCACTCTACCCATATTTATTTCAGCTCCTTTCCGATTTCTGACAATTAGTTTCTTGGCCATTAAGCTGGACAGAAGCAGGAATACTTTAATGTGCTTATTTATATCTCACAAAGGAACTTACATAAGTTCCCTTGTAAGTTCATTCTATGGTCCCTGGAAGTGTCAGTGCAGAAGATTAAATTGACTCATCTATTTTTTTTAGTCCTCTTTCCTGAAGGTCAGCTTTGAAGCAAATTGCATCTTTGTCATTAGCGAGCTAAGGGCCCTTTAACCATTCACCTCATTCTTGAGGATGAAGACCTTAGAATCATAGAGTTACCGTATTGGAGTCAATTTTGAGAAGAAGGGGGGCAGTGGGGGGAGGGCCTTCCAGGCTGAGTGGCAGCATGGGCGAAGGCATGGAGGTTCCCTACAGCCTGGCTCCTTTGTAGAGCTGGATCCTTTAGCCAAGGGGCCGAGATATGGTAGGGGTGAGGGCGATGGGTGTCAGTCACAGGAGGATTTTAAGCACAGAGATGATATGCTTAGGCTTCGTCCAAGGAAGACCATTTTGGCTGCACAGTGGAGGGTGCATGGAGAGAGGAGGGCGGGGAGGCAAGGGGCCAGTTGAGAGTGACCGGTTTCTGCAACCCCGTAAGAGAGCTTCGTAAGACCAGCATAATTTCAGAGCCCGGTGCAAAATGAAAATGTGGAACATCTTGTTAAAAAAATTAAGTATAATGAAATAGGACTCAGCCACATCAAGGAATGAAGTACTGATGCATGCCACAATGTGGATGAACCTCCAAGACATTACGCTAAGTGCAAGAAGACACACCGCAGGCCACATATCGTATGAGTCCATTTATGTGAAATATCCAGAATAGGCAAACCTATAGAGCCAGAAAGCAGGTTAGTGGTTGTCAGGGGAGGGGGTCAAAGAGCTATGATTGCTTTCTGGGTACAGGGTTTCCTTATGGGGTGATAAAAAGTTTTGGAACTAGATAAGGGTGGAGGATCCTGGATCCTGCAGCCTAACAGACTCACAGCAGGAATTCCACAGTTCATTCAATTGCTCTGACCTGCGATGTCAGTGACGACACTTTTCAGGCTCACCTGGACGAGAGTGACTGCTTGAGCTTCCAAAATGCAGTTCATTGCCAGCTCCATTAGCAGGGTCACCCCAGCCTTGGCCACAAAGTGAGACTGTCTGTACAAAAAAAAAAAAAAAAAAATTAGCCAGGCATGGTGGCATAGGTCCCGAGTGGTCCTAGCTGCTTGGGAGGCTGGGGTGGGGGGTGGGGGGTGGGGAAGGGGGAGGGTGGGGGCAGGGAAGACAGCTCGAGCCCAGGAGTTCAAGGTTGCAGTGAGCTGTGATGGAGCCACTGCACTCCAGCCTGGGTGACACAGCAAGATCCTGTTTTTTAAAAATATCACCCCCTCAGAGGCTGCTCTTACTGCTCAGATCACCAGTAGACACCTCCCCGCATTCCTGCACACCTGGACAATTCCTCACCAGCACCCTGTATGAAGCCTGGGGGCCGGGGGCAGTCCAGTTGAATCAGAACACCTTGACCCTAGGGAAATCTTAGCCCTTGATCTAGTATAGTCCCACAGCCTATGCTCCTGGTTATCATTGGCCACTGCCCCCAGGGCACCTCCTGGAGTGATCTCTAAGAATGTGGTTCCTGGAGCCCTTTGTGCTGTGGCTGGGATTTGCTCTGGCTGCTCTGCGAGCAGGCCTCCAAGTGGGGCTTCCTGAAGCCAGACTGCAAATCCCACTTTAACTTTCATCAGCTGCATGTTATTGTGCCTATCTTCGGGCTTACCTGGAACCCAGTTTCCTCATTTCCCAAGGAGCAATGACGCAAATAACACAGTAGGCTAGGAGCAAATAAGGTGGAAAAGAAGAGATGGGAACATCTGCTGGGCTGTCTGTGCCAGACACGTTACTAGTGGTTTATTATCTACGTTAATACTTACATCAGCCCTTTGAGAGTAGTGAACGGCCCCATTAGCAGCCGATTGAGATCCAGAGAGGTTAATTAATTGGCCCAAGTTTGCACAGCTAGGACTCTGCCGACTGGGAGTTGAATCCTTGTTTTATGATTTCAGAGTGCCTGACTCTTTGTATCAGTTTTCTATTGCTGCTCTAATAAATTATCACAAGTGGTTTAAAAACACAAATGTATTTAATTTATCTTGCAGTCCTAGAGAAGAGAAGTCCCATGTTGGTCTCACTGGGCTAAGATCAGAATGTTGACATGGTGCATCTTTTCTGGAAGCTCTAGGGGGGAATCCATCATCTTGCCCTTTCCAGCTTCTAGAGGCTTCCTGCATTCCTTGGCTTGTGGCCAAGTTCTTCTCCTGCTGCGCCTCTCTGGTTCTCTGACTGCAGTCAGGAGAGGCATCTCTGCTTATGAGGACTCACATGATTCGACTGGAGGAGCGAAATAACCTAGGGGAATGTCACCCATCTAAGAGTCCTTCAACTTAATCATTCCTACAAAGTCCCTTTTGCCTTGTAAGGTACCATATTCACAGGTGCTGGGGATTAGGAGGTGGACATCAACGTGTGTGTGTTAGAGGAGAGGGGACTTTCCTCTGACTACCGTGCCCTTCTAGAAGGATGGATTCCTGACTTGACAGACGCAGAGCCATATTCTTCCAAAAGCCTTGGTTTTCTCACATGGTTCGGAAGTTCTCTCACACTTTTGAGATGAGCTATGTGTGTGTGTGTGTGTGTGTGTATGTGTGTGTGTGTGTGAAGATCTGTTAATTTATAGTAGTAGCTTGGACATTTGAGATGAATGTCGTGAATTCTGTGCCAAAAATTATGTGTCATCAGGCACTCTCATTGCATTTCAGCCAGTCTGCAAAGAGAGAGATTGCTAAGTGTTATATGAGACAAGAGGACCACAAGGGCAGGTTTTAAGCACAATTATTTTGTCCAACCCTCTGATTTGGAGCATCATAGAATTTGAGAAGTGCATGAAAACTTCTCCTCTAGGCACCCCGATGATCTTTCAGCCCGACTGAAATACTGTGAGTGAAGGGAGCATACTACTTATTATAGCAGTTTACTCCAAGGTCAAATATTTCACTGCTTGGAACACTTTTATTTTCTTGCAGTTGAAGCATGCCTCTCTTTGCTTTCTACCTACAAGTCCTGGTTCTGTCCTCTGGGGCACATTGATTACCTTTCTTCAGGGAGGTGAAAACAGAGACCTTTACTCCGTATGTCTTTTCCTCTTCAAGCTAAATGTCCCTTGTGATTTTGAAGGCTTTTTCACAGTCTGTTCATCTTCCTTAGGCACAATGAATTTATTCATATCCCTGTTAAAACGTGGTGACCAGGCGTCTTTTCCCCAATTCAGTGCCCCTTCCTCTTCCCTCCGCCCACCCTCCCTCTCAGGGCACTGCCTCTCTCCTCCTTGAGACCGTCTTGCACAGAAGGGCTCCTTCTGATTCTCGACTCCCATGACAGGACTTCTGGGTCTTCCAGGAAAATAAAGCCCAGCCCTAGGGGCATGCTGAACTTGCTGACCCTCTCCCAAGGGGAATGGGTGGGGTCTGTTACGGGCTGAAATGTGTCTCTCCAACCTCCTCAAATTCATATGTTGAAGTCCCAACTCCCAGTATTTCACAGTGTGACTGTATTTAGAGATAGGACTTTGAAAGGGGTAATGAAGGCAAACTGAAGTCATAGGGGTAGACCCTAATCCAATATGAGCGGTGTTCTTCTAGAGGAGATGAGAACACAGATATGTACATGCACCCTGTGAAGACACAGGGAGAAGATGGCCATTTTCAGGCCAAGGACAGAGGGCTCAACAAAACCAACCCTGCCAACAGTTTGATCCTACACTTCTAGCTTCTGAAATCATGAGAAAATGGTCTGGGTGCAGTGGCTTATGTCTGTAATCCCAGCACTTGGGGAAGCCGAGGCAGGCAGATCACTTGAGGCCAGGAGTTTGAGACCAGCCTGGCCGACGTGGTGAAACCCCATCTCTACTAAAATACAAAAAATTATCCGGGCATGGTGGTGCATGCCTGTAGTCCCAGCTACTTGGGAGGCTAAAGTAGGACAATTGCTTGAAACTGGGAGGCCAAGGTTGCAGTGAGCCGAGACTGTACTATTGCACTCTAGCCTGGATGAAAGAGTGAGACTCAGTCTCAAAAAATAAAAAATAAAATAAAAATAAATAAAATCAAGAGAAAATAAATTTCTGTTGAAACTACCCGGTCTGGGGCAGCCCCTGCAAACTCATATCGGGTTTTAGTCATCAGAACCGCCCCAGTTGGCCTCCCCTCCTTTCCAGAGGTGTTACACCCCACTAACCAAAAATAGGGAAGATTACTTCAGGAAAAAAAACCCAAATATGATTAAGTTCCCAGTAGGCCACCCACTGGATAACTTAGGGCAGAGCTTTGGCAGCATCTCTGCTTCTCCAGGAAGTCAGATCCTAATTTTCTTTTCTGGTTTATGGATTCCCTCTGGACCGTGGGGGTCATTCATTGTCCCTGGGTGCCTGAAGTGGCAGCTCTGACTCACTTCCTTATTTCTAATGGAGGGAAAGTGGATTTAATAAGTCTAGAAGGAGGGACACCCCAGTAAACAACATGGATTTAGCCACACTCTAGGAAGGCTTCTAGATGCACTTGGGCAAGGCGATGGTTCCCAGACAGCACTCCACATCAGCACTGGACAGCAGCTTGAGGAGCTGGATGGGGTCTGGGCTCCAGAATGCAGCTGGAATGAGACAGCTGAGGAGGATTTTGGAGCATGGCACCCGGAAGTTCATACCCCAGCAGAGTGGCCACGTATCCACTCATGCCTTCATGGGGATCATTTCTGTGAGGTGCAGGGTTTTGAAGGTCATTATGTGCTGGATGCCTGAGCTATGTTAAAAGCAAGACGAAGTTCATCCTTTTCTGTGGGTTCAGCCCAGATGGCATCTCAAGCCTGGAGTTGATTCTAGAAGTTGAGAAAGGCCAGTGCCGAAAGAAATGCAGCCCTCTGATTGGCTGAGCCGGTCACTGGGAGCAACCAGACAGAAGGGCAGGAGGCAGGGGTCTGCAGGGCAGGGTCCCAGGATGGATGGACCCTTATCACGGGCAGCTGGCTTTCTCCTGTGTTCAGTGCTGTAGGCCAAAACCAGTTGTCTGTGTTACAGAGCCCGTTTTCTTATAAGAGCAAAAGGTAGATGTATTAATGTATGTTTGTTTTGCACATAGGAGAAAGGAGGAAAATGAGGGATTCAAACAGTGGGGGGTGGGGACTTTTGACCTAGCTGAGGCAGGGTAATATACAGGAAGGAGGGAGAGTAGGGAATAAGCAAATAACAGAGTGTTTCCATCCCTTTCCCCTCTCAGGGTGAATCACAGCTCTGAGCCCACTGGGGCCAGCAGTGAGCACTTATGTGTTGGGTTCTGAGATTCTGTAATCTCTGGGCTGAGATCCTGTACATATTGAGGTCGCCTGAACTGATGATGTTGTAATCCTTAGGGATCATTCTGTGGCGTGGTATGAGGCCAAAAATTAAGGCCTCATATTATGTGCCATCTTGACATCTGGTGAAACTGGGAGGGCCTCAGAAAGCCTAAATGTAAGTTTCTTTCCCTACTCTGCTCCCTAGGGGTGTGTATTAGTTAGGGTAAAAGGCTCAGCTGCTAGAACAAAAGACTCCCAAATACTGTAGCTTAAAGAACAAAGAAGTCAATTGTCTCCCACATAACAGTCAGAGGTGGGATGTTCCAGGTCAGCAGGTAGTTTTGCTCCACATGGATGTTCAGGATCCCAGTCTTATTAATTAATGACTCTGCCATGTTTATGTGGCTTCCAAGGTCACTTTTATTATTGCCATCCTGTCAGTAGGAGGAGAAAAATGTGCAAACTCAGGGCCATAAGGACCATACATGTTTTCGTAAACAAGTGAGACAGAAATGGCACGTGTTGTGTCCACTCATACCCCATCCCTGGCCTGCAGAGAAGCTGGGACTGCTGTTCCTGGCAAAACAGCCATGTCCCAATCACAGCTACTGTGGAGTAAGAGGAGCTGGACTTGGGTGGACAGCCAGCAGTTTCCTCCAGTAGGAGCAACTTGATGGGGATAAAGGGATATAGGGCTGGGACTCAGAGGATGTTAGTTCAAGTCCTGGCTTCCCCTCTTGCTACCTATGTGTTCTTGGGCAAACTCCTCTCCTCTGAGTTGTACTGTCTCTATCTTGATTCCAGTGTCATCTGTGGAATGAAGATGAGAGCCCCACATACCTCACTGAGTTATTTCAAGGATCAATGACATGCCGCGTAAGCTCAACTTTGCTGGCATGCATAACATATGCTGATGTCCTTGGCCTCTTCTGGCTTTATCATTCTGTGCCCTGTGGGCAGAGGATTCTCTGCCTTGATATCCTGGTTGCCTGTGAGGCTCATCTTCACAAATCAGCTGTTTATTAGGAGCCAGTGAGTCAATGGGGATTGGCGTGGGGGGTAACCCCAAGCGCTCAGCAACTCCTTATCTATGGCCAGCAGATCACTCTGGGGTGCCTGCCTCCACTTGCAGCTTTAGGAACTACGTTCCTTTTCTGCTAAGAAAATTGAAAGCATTCAGAAAGAAAGATGTGAACATATGTAGTGGAGGAATAAAAGAAGTCAGACAAGCATTAGAGCTGGGGTTTTCAATCTTGGGTTCACTGACCTTTGGAAAGGCCTATGTATGGACACTGGGGTTGTGAACCCTTTGAAAGTGCAATGCAAAATTTTGCGAGAATGGTGCACATGGCCTAAAAAGAATTTCCTTCAGGGGAGAAGTTCCCTGAAGTTACCAGAATCTGTAAGGGGTCCTTGGCTCGGGAGGGCTAAGAAGCCCGTGAATGGATAGACCATCTCAACCAGCACCCTGTAAAAAGGACAGTGACCAACTGGTATGTGTTTGGAGAAGGCAGTCCAGAAGCTGAGGGGACAGAGAGCAAATTTTATGAGAAGGACTTGTAGAAAGAAATTGGGCCATTCACTTTGGATAGGAGAGGCTGGGACATGAGGGCAGGACATAGATATGGCCATCAGATTTTTGTTGGGCAGGGTAGCAGTGCTCTGCCCACATCGCCCTGCACTCTTCATTCCTGAACATGTTCCTATGACAAGTTCTTGCAACTCTGGCTGAGGGTTTTCTCTGGCTGCAGAAGCTCACTGGTGCATGGGCCAGGTTGAAATACTAAGGATTTTATACCCCTGGGAGCAGTACTCAACCAATGATGGGTATAAATGGGTGGGTAAAAACCCAGCTTCCTCACCCCTTGGGTGGGATAACTCTAAGGTATCGTCTATGTCAGCATCGAACAATAGAAATATGTGAGCCATAAGTGTGAGTCATACATGCTTTTAAATTAAAGTAGAAAGAATTAGCTGGGTGCGGTGGTTCACACCTGTAATCCCAGCACTTTAAGAGGCCAAGGCAGGTGGATCACTTGAAGTCAGGAGTTCAAGTCCAGCCTGGCCAACATGGTGAAACTCCGTCTCTACAAAAAATACAAAAATTAGCCAGGCATGGTGGCGGGCGCCTGTAATCCCAGCTACTTGGGAGGCTGAGGCACAAGAATTTCTTGAACCCGGGGGGCAGAGGTTGCAGTGAGCTGAGATCATGCCGCTGCACTCCAGCCTGGCAATAGAGAGAGACTCAGTCTCAAAAAAGAAAAAAAAAAGGAAAAAAGAAAAACAAGTGAAATTAATTTTAACACTATATTTAACCCAATATATTAAAAATAGTCATTTCATAATCTTACATAATATAAAAATCATTACTGAGATATCTTACACTTTTTAAAAATACCAAGTCCTCAAAATCCGGTGTGTATTTTGCACTTATTCTACATCTCAATTTATACTAGCCACATTTCAAATACCCAACAGCCCCATGTGGCTGGTGGCTGCTGAGTTGGCTAGCAGAATTCTATATCATCTCCCAGAGGTTTTCCAGAAGGATTGAGCTACAGTTGCCCACAGTGGTAGCCTTTTCATTAACACATCCCTTGTTGGCTTCTGTTGCTAACCTGTCTTAGTTCCTCCGCCTCAACAGGGGTTCCTAAAAACACCTCCAAAATAAATGTCTACTTTTGGGGATCTCTTCCTGAGACAGGCAGTCACGAGAACAGAGGTGCTCTAGAGTAGCACTAGAGAGTAGCACTAGAACCCACAGATAAAAGTACCAGGAGAGATATAGGGACATCACTGCAGCTATTGATTAATTAGTTCATTCGTTCAAACATATGTGTTGAGCTCTTGCTGTGTGCCATGCACTCTGTTGGGCACTGTGCAAAAGGGGAGTAGGTATAAAGGTCCCCATCACATGGGTTGTCTAGGCAGATGCAGGATGACTGCTTGGTAGGACAGCTCCACAGGACTTCATGAATTAGGCTAGGATTTTGATCATGTGCTGTTTGGCATCCTTTCCAGCCCATCAACACTGCCGTTCATGATTCATCTGAGCCTTGGGGAAGCTTCTCACGTTGTTAATTGCCTGTATCCCATGGCACGCTGCTCCCTAAAGCTGCAAATCAAGGTTTTTGTGACATTTCTTCTCTAGCAGTGACTTGTGATTAGGTTGTTGTTCCTAAAAAAGGTCCATCCCTCATCATCTTTGCAATTTCCCCTTGATTTTCTTGTTTGGCAAATTGCAGTTCTCCAGATAAAGACTGGTTTGGAGTCTACTCACTTTCCCCCTTCATTACTCAGCCGGAAAATACACCTAAAACTCCTGTTGCTGGGACTTCAGAGACCATCTGGTTCAATGCCTGCATTTCAGAGATGGAGAAACTGAGGGCTGGGAAGGGGAAATTGCTTGCGCAAAGTCACATGATAAAATAATGGTACTGCTGAGATGAAAAGAAAGTGACTGGGGTCTCTATCCCCAGTCATCTCTATCCCCATCTCTTGGCCTCAACCTGTCCTGGCCCATGGGGCTGGCCCAGCGCAGGCTAATGTTGTGAGTTTACACACATCACTGGATGGGATGTGGAACCTACTCCAGGAAGGAAATGTTTCTTCTCGTGGTGGGAGAGAATGTTCTTGGTCCTGAATTGTCCTGAGGCTTTTGGAGGTGGCCACACAGTGGTTAGGGTGAGTCAGAATATCACCTCCTCTCCTGACTCTAGATGGGTCTCCTGGCTGCTCAGGGTATCAATTTACACTTCTTCAAAGTGGGAATGGTGACCATAATAACCATGTTGCCTCAGTTTGCTTTGGTGATAAAGGACAAATAAATCCTGTTTCAGCCCACAAGGTTGGGTCTCTGTTGAACTTGACCACCTCTCATTCCAAGCTGTGCATTGGTCTCTGTACCCAAGCCTCTCCAGCTTTTTCTCAGTCCTTCAAACATGCTGTGCCTTTCCTGCCACTGGACCTTTGTCTATATTGTTTCATCTGCCAACAACACTCTGCACCACCTTCTCTCTCTGTCTCTGTCTCTCTCTCTCTCTCTTTTTTTTTTCGACGTGAGAGTATTGCTATGTTGCACAGGCTGGACTTGAACTCCTGGGCTCGAGCAATTCTTCTGTCACAGCCTCCTGTATAGCTGGGATTACAGGTGCACACCACATCTGGCTGCCTTCTTTTTAACTGCTCATCTACTTACTCCTTGCCCATCCTTCAGATCTTAGCTCAAGAGAGGTCTTCCTGGACTGCTCGGATGAATTAAGGCTCTCTGTCATATTATATCACCACACATCTCTCTTTAGAGCATCTGTTGCAGTATTTAGTGACACTCTTATTGGTGCAATTAGGTGATTTTTTGTCTGCCTCATACACAAGACAGTAAGCTCCACGAGGATAGGATGACTGTTGTGTTCCTGGCACTAAGCACAAGACCTAGGAGATAGTAGCTGCACAATAAATATTTTCTGAGGTTTAAATGTTGAAAGCCTTTTTGCAAAACGATTGTTCACCTAATCCTTCTAGTCACCTAGTAATAGAAGTATTATCACACCTTGTGGCAGAGATGGTATTACTACGCAGATATTCCATATGTTGTCTTATGTTTCTTGGCTCCCTGTTTGCTCTTGCAAACAGCATGCAATTTATATTGCAGTTTCTTTCTTTCTTTCTGTTATCAGAGGTAGGCGGCACCAAGGTGCCTAGTTCTGGCTAAAAAAATATGAGTAGGGCTCATGCGTGTCACTTCTCAGATAGTTAGAATTCCAGTCTAATGCAGTTCTTCCCTTGCCATGTGAATATGGAAGCCTTACATTCCAGGTGTTGCAGCTGCAAGGTGGAGGAGACTGTGGCTGCCCATGTGACTATGTAGAGCACAGCCTCTCACAGGCTCACTTTGATTATTTATCATGAGCAATAAATCAATGCTTGCAGTATAAAGGCATCGATTTTTGAGCTTGTTTGTTACATAGCATAGCACTTAGTTTATCCTGACTGATAAACTCCCAAGAAAACTGAGCCCCAGAGAGGAGAAGTGGCACACTCAAAGTCACATGGAGTTAGGGTCAGAGCTGAGATTCTGCTCCTGTTGGTCTCAGGCGGTGGTGAGGACAATGGTAACAATTCATTGAAAATAATAAACTGCTGTGTGAAAGATGAGATTTTTCAAGGTGTTCTTCCAAAGGTGTCTGGTCTAGGGGCTCCATGCTCCACACTTTGTGGGATGGGGAGCAGTGGTGGAAATGGGGCTGTAGAGAGGCCACCATGGACCTGCTGGTCTGGAGGAGCTTGCATTACCCTCCAAATCTGAGCTGCTTGCCTCATAAGGACCACAGGGGCAACTGGTGGCTATGGCCAACTCTTCTGCCAATGTTGGCCTGTTTCTCCTGCAATGGAATTGTTCTGTCACGAATACCACAGAATCTGATTTTTTGGGGGTCAGCTAGTCCAACTCTCTACTCGACATTATGTCCCCTGGACCACATACCAGGCCAGTGGTCTTTCAGGCTTTGTGGGAACACATTCTGCATTTCCAAATCAGACTGGAGGTGAGCCAGCTACCAAAACTAGACCTCAGACTTCCAGCCTCTGCCTCTTCTGCATCTCCAAGTCACTCCCAGCCACTCCCAGCTCTCAGAGCAGAGAGACTGGCCTACCAAAGGCTTCTTAAAAGAAGTGGAGTGTGGCCGGGCATGTGGCTCATGCCTGTAATCCCAGCACTTTGGGAGGCCAAGGTGGGCGGATCACAAGGTCAGGAGATTGAGACCAGCCTGGCCAGCATGGTGAAACCCTGTCTCTACTAAAAATACAAAAAATTAGCTGGGCATGGTGGCACGCACGTGTAATCCCAGCTACTTGGGAGGCGGAGGCAGGAGAATTGCTTGAACTTGGCAGGCAGAGGTTGCAGTGAGCTGAGATGGCGCCATTGCACTCCAACCTGGGCGACAGAGTGAGACTCTGTCTCTTAAAAAAAAAAAAAAAAAAAAGTGAAGTGCATTCCAGGCAGAAGAAATATTATAGCTTGAGCAAAGGCATGGAGATTTCAGATAACTTGGTTTAGCAGGGACAAAAATTAAGAATGAGTATTTTTAACATCTTCCCTGATTCTATGGGGAAGAATTCTGGTCTACTTGGTCAGCTCCTGGGTTTACCTTTGTTATTTAGAATCCAGGTAATCCAGGTAGAAATGGAGAGAAGCACTAAGATGTGAGAAGGTTAAGTTGATCTACCCAATGAAGAACAAATATGGGAAGAGATGAAGGGGGTGAGAAATAGAAGAACTTCATGGTCCGGCATTGAGGGTGGGTGAAGGAGAGAGGGAGTTTTGGGTAAATGCTGTGTGTGGAATATTGAAAGCAGCAGTGATAGGAAAAATTTTAAAGATGTTTATGGTTGTGTGTTCAGAATGTACTTCTCCCTTTGACATTTCTTTGAAATACCAAGTAATATTTCAATTATTTTGAATTACTTTTGGGTGTTGGCTCTTTCTCACAATATAATGCTGTATGAAGCCTTGCCCACATGGCCCACATCCACATTTGGGTTACATGATGTTTGGCATTAGACTTGGGAGGAGTTAGTGTCAGGATCATTAGGGGTGATCAGGGTAGAGAATGATGATATGTGAGGCTGTCGAGGAGGACGAATGTCTTTGGAGCAGTGTGGGATCTACTCATGGTCCCTAGGTCACCAGGTCCTGGTGCTGTGTTCCACTGTGAGTGTAGGGAGTAATAGTAATAAGAATTGCCCACACTTATTATACACTTATATTGTGCCAAATCCCTATTAACCTCAGGGAAGGCACCAGGTTCAAGAGGCTGAAGAAGAGACCCAGAGCCAGCAATTGAGGCATGGGGTTTTATTAGGGGCTTCCTAACGGAGGAGAGAGTCCAGTGGCAGTGGGTTGGAGAGGAGACTGCCTTACATACACACATGGTGCAGTGGTGGTGGGCTGGACAAGATAGCCACCTTACATACAGCCCAGTGATGGTGGGCTGGACGACATAACCACACAGCCCAGTGATGGCAGGCTGGGCAAGGAAACTGCAACTGCTTGCAAACAACATGCAGTTTATATGCATTTTCCTTCAATCCTTCTTTCTATTATCAGAAAGACAATGCTTTTTATTCAAAGGAGATAGGGAAAAACACCTTTTTTTGTGTGTGTACATAGTAGATGTGTATATTTGTGGATTATATGAGTTGTTTTGATACAGGCATGCAATGCATAATCCCATCAGGGAAAATGGGGTGTCCATCCCCTCAAGCATTTATCCTTTGTGTTACAAACAATCCAATTATACCCTTTGAGTTATTTACAAATGTACAATTAAATTATTTTTGACTATAGTCACCCTATCGTGCTAGCAAATACTAGGTCTTATTCTTTTTGTTTGGAGATAGAGTCTTGCTCTGTCATCCAGGCTGGAGTGAAGCGGCACGATCTCGGCTCACTGCAACCTCTGCCTCCCAGGTTCAAGTGATTCTTGCAGCTGGGATTACAGGCCTGTGCCTTCATGCCTTGCTGATTTTTTTGTATTTTTAGTAGAGACAGGGTCTCACCATGTTGCCCAGGCTGGTCTCCAACTCCTGGATTGAATCTATTCACCCTCTTTGGCCTCCCAAAGTGCTGGGATTACAGGTGTGAGCCACCATGTCCGGCCTTATTCATTTTTTCTAACTATTTTTTTGTACTCATTAACAATTCCCACTCCCCACCCCTCCACTTTCCCACTCCCCTACCCCTCAAGTGGCTTTTATCAAAAAATCGGCTAATATATTAGTATTTTCAGTTAACTCTCTTCCCTTAATGACCTCTACCTGGCAAACTTCGTTTATCCCAAAACTCAGGGCCTCAATCCCTGTACAGCCTGTGTTCCGTGGGACAGACTGGGGGCTCAGATGCTTATCATAGTCAAGGGATGAATCTCTGGGTTGGCCGCTCCCAAATTTCCTAGCTTGGAACACACATTCAGGTGCATCTGCCATACAGGATCATTCTAAACGTGTGCTTAATGCTCTCAGGTGCATTTCCCCTATAACTTGCTATGTGTATGGCAGGTTCCTAAGAGCTTTACCTATATTATCTCAATAATCCTCACAATAATGTAATGAGGTAGGTATTACTATCTTCATTTTATAGATGAAGGAGTTGAGGCAGAGAGAGGTTCAGTGATTTGCCAAAGTTAATTCCTTGGAATTGGTGGAGCCTGTATTTGAATTCAGGTAGTTAGTAACATAGGATCAAAGCAATTGTTTTTAAAGAGAAGAGTGACTTTGGAAGTCTTTGTAAGATTTTTCTTATCCTTTTCTCTCTCTTTCCCCCCTCCTTCTCTCTTTTGTGAGGGATTTACCATAGCATTATGTGAATTTATTGGATTTATAATATGGTTTACAGAGGCAACAGTTTTAGTTAGAGAAAATTGGTTTCCTTTTCAAAATGTCATGATTCTCATTTTCTCCCAGCATCTTAGGCTTTTTCAAGCTCCCCTTAGCTCCTAAGTCATTCAGAAGCATGCTTCACAATTAGAATGCTAGAAGCGCTCACACACCAATTGGAGTTTTGTTATTTGTTCAAAAGGACACTTAAACCCAGGAGTTGCCTGTGACAGGAGAGGAATGAGTGAGAGCTAGAGGGGATAGAAAAAGAAGCCAGTGTGAAGCTATTGGACATCCCCACGGATGAGGGGCTCCATTCATCCATCCATAAACCATGCAGTCACCTGTTATCTACCCTTCGAAAGGTACAGACATCCTCACCCATCCCTGTATCCATCCATCCAACCATCCATCCAAATCCTTGTATATCCTTTTTCCCTTCTTTCTTTCTTCCTTCCTTCCCTCCCTCTGTCGCTCATTCCCTCCCTTTTTCTTCCTCCTCTCCTTTTTCTCTCTCTCCCTCCCTCTCTTTCTTCCTTTTCTTCGTTGATTCATTGGATGACTAAGTCATTCTTTTAATAAACATCTATTAAGCACACACTCTATTCCAGGCACTGTGCTAAACAGAGGCTGAGGATACAGAGATGAGTAAGTGATAGTTACTGTCTGTAAGGGCCTCTAATCTAGCAGAGAAGACAGAAATGAGAGTGGACACATCATAGTAGGGAACTACAAGTGCTATGAGAATGCTGGGAACCAAGAAACAAGCCCAAGGATGGGAGGTTGAAAATGTAAAATTAGTCTCCAGCTTAGGGTTTGGGTTGTTTCTCTAGCACCTCAATGGAGTGGTGCCCATCCTGTTTCTCAGGAATTAGCCTGGAATGGCTGACTTACTACTATTTGTTAAACATCTTCTGTATGCCTAGAATTGTCCTAGAGAGTTAACAAACACCTATATCTAGTATTACCTACAACCCTAAAGAAGTGAGGTTCACAGAAGTTAAATATTTTTTCTCCAGGATTACACAGGAAATGAGAAGCAAAATAGGAACACAGAAAGTGGAAAGAAAGGTTGGGAACTGGCACAAGTTTTGCTCTTGATGTGGGTTAGGTTCTGGGAGAACTGACTTGGAGCAGATGGGGACCCAGGAAGTTCAGTCAAATGGGATAAGCACACATGTCCCAAGTGTATCAATCAGCTATTGCTGCATAGCAAACCACTCCCAAAATTCCCAGTCACATAGCTAAGGGTTACTGGATGTTGGTTGGGCTTTGAACCATGGATCTGGCTGGGCTACACTTCTCAATGTGGATCTGCTCAGATCTGCTCCACATGGGTTCATCCTGGATCCCAGGCTGGAGGGGCAGTTGTTATCTGGGTGTGTTCTTCTCCCTGCAGGTCACCAGAATGCAAGAGTGCATAGTCCAACTCTACAAGCACATGTCAAGCCTCTTCTTGTATTATGTCTGCTAACGTCCCATTGGACAAAGAAAGTCCTGAGACTAAGCCTGAAGCCAAGGGTCAGGGAAAGTACACTCCATCCTCCATGAGGCCAGAGCAAATCATATGAGCAAGCTGAACATCAGTGAGAACTATGTCCTTCCCAAGGAGAAGGGTGGCAAAGAGTGAGTATTCTTGAACCACCATCTGAAATATCCACAAGAGGTGGCAGCAATTCTCAGAGTCCACACAATGGCTGAGGATGAGGTAGAATACAAAATTGAATTCTCAGTTAGAATTCTAATCTGAGGTAGAATACAAAAATGAATTCTCAAAGTCCACACAAAGGCTGAGGAAGAGGTAGAAAACAGCAGGTGTCCCAGCAACAGTTGTCTGTCAGCAGTCTGGACAGGTGGCTGGCATCAGGAAAGTCAGGCTCCAGGAGCTGGGACTAGGCCACTAGGTTTTTGAGATTAGGGTTCAACCCTGTCCATAAGGAACTGGAGTCCAGGAACAGAAAGGAATCGGTCTCCTCACATAACCTGATAGGGACTGAGGTAGAAAATGAAGAGTTGGCCTTTCCCCTGCTAGATGTGCCTAGGGCTTCCACCTTGGTATCAGTTCAGCTCTCAGAGCTTGGGCCAGGGGTCAGGGCAAGACTGGAGCTGCCTGCCATTGCTGATGCTTTTGGCTGGGCCTGGCTTTGGGACAGGGGCAGGGATGGGCTCATAAAGAGATGGGGCTGTGGCCAGAAGCAGACTGGATGGACAAGACATGTGAGTATGGAGGTCTTGGATTCCAGGTGGACCACTGGAGACAGAGCTAGGGCCAAGGGGGTTGAAGACACTGCAAGAGAATGCAGGGGCTGGATCCTGAAGGACCTGGAATGCCATACTCAGAGGTGTGTACTGTCTCTGGTGGTCACTGATGCCCACTGAGGATCTCAAGCTGAGAAGAGATGTCATTGGTTGTGCTTTAGCAGCTCGCTATTCAAGGCGTGGTCCAGAGACAGTGGCATCCGCAACAACCTGTTGCTTGTTAGAACTGCAGTGTCTCAAGCCATACCCTACGCATACTGAATCATAACTAATGGGATCCTCAGGTGATTCCCATGTACATTTACCCCTTTCAGCCAAACTGAAAGGTAGGAGAGCATGGATCTCCCAACTGCCAAGTCTGCCCAAGACTTCTGACCCCAACTGCAAGGAGGTAGGGTCCAACTACGAAGTTAGAGGAAAGAGTCCTCCTAAGACCAACCTCACTTCTGACACCAACTGCAAGTTCGGGAGGCTTCCTAAAACCACCCTAAGATTTCAATAATTCTCTAGAAGGACTCACCTCACTGAAAGCCATTATAATCATGGATATGGTTTATTGCAGGAAACGGATACATTAAAATCAGCCAAAGGAAGAGATGCATAGGATGGAGTCTGAAAGGGCTCCAAATGCATAGCTTTCATTGCCCTCAGGATGTGCTAGTTTCTCAGCATTGAGATGTGACAGTGTGGATGGTGTACCGTGCCAACCTGGGAAGCTCACCTGCCCTTTGGACACTCTGGTGTCCAGAGTTTTTATTGGAGCTTCATTATATATGCATGACTGGTTGATGGCCCACAAGAGTGAACTCAATCCTCAACACCTACTCCCTAGAGAGGCCCACCATGAGTCACCTTGTTAGCATAAGCAAGGTGTGGTCAGAGGGGCCACCACGAATAACACCGTCCAATCATTTAGGACATTTCAAGGGTTTAGAGGTTACCCCCCAGGAGCCTGGAACAAAGGTCAGACCTCTAATTGGGAATGGCCAAGTTCTTTACTATATAACATTAATGCTTCCTTCTCAGATGCCTCCTCCCCTTAAGAAGTTCAGAACAGAATTACATATTTCAGGCTCTCCATCTCTGATTATTGAATTTCTTCCCTCCTTCCCCTATTTCTCCCCCTCCAAAGCAGGGCTCCTAGCCTTTTTCTTCTGCATAAGCCCCCAAGCAGTCATCAGTTTGGTGAGGCCTCTGAACTTCTGCTCTGTAAAGAGTCTTTAAATGTATAAAAAGACATAGAATTCCAAAGGAAATCAATTATACTGAAATAAAGTTATCCAAATGTTAAGAAAATTTGTGATATTGTAATAAATGTGCTTTTTGTTAGCACTTTAAATAGCAAGCTAGCAGAAAGTTTAATAATTACTGTGATTTCAAAGTAGTGTTAAATGTAGATATTTAAAAATATCTGATTTATGTAGCAACTGTTAGGTGATATGAAAATATCCATGGATTTTATTGGTGAAAGCCCCAGATTCTGCTACTGCTACTATGGTTTGTTGTCTACATTCATAATGCAAGAAAATGCTAAATTTCAGACCATTAGTGAAAAAAAGAGGTAACTTCTTTTCCTGCTCAAGTTCATAGATCACTGAATTCTATCCATAGACCTGTGTACCCCAGGTTAAGAAACCGTGTTTCAAAGTCTTGAATGACATATACTTATGTTTAATTGGACACTGAATGAAAATTTGATTTGTTTTGAGAAATTTTCAAGAAGTTTGAAAGAGTCATTGAGATAATTGGAAGCACCCTGGAGTTGCACAAAACTTGAACCAGGACTTGATACGCTGGTGTCTGATGGATTTATGGATAAGTATTAGCGGAGAGATTGATGACCTATAATCCCTTCATCTGAAAAATTTACATTATGTGATACGGCCCAAAGGTGGGCTTGGCTTTTCCAATTATCAAAAATGGCATTTTAAATTTATTCAACCCGAAAGCACTGGCCTAATGCCAGGGTGAGGATGGAAGAAAAATAAATGAAAGTTAAGAAAAGCTGAAAGAAAACCAACTGTGCACAGCCTTTGGGAAATCCATTTGCAGCCACCAAAAGTCAGCGAGTCCATCTGGAGAAAGCCAACTTTCCACACTATTCAGGACAGAAAAAAAATGGATGAGACCCAAGAACAAGACTGATGTTTGAAGAAAAGGCATTTTCAGCATGACCTACAAAGATTTTGATTATGTTAATTACTTTTTGAATAATTTTCACTGGCACTGTAAAACCTTCCACTTACAGAAGGGTTTTCCTCTCTGTTCTCTTTTAGGGATATGAAGGCAGACATTGACTGTTGGGTGCATGCCAGTGCTGTCAGAGTGGAGTGTTCCCTGAGAGGGCAGGGGCCGGGAATCCTTTCATATTTCTATGTAACTCACAGGCAACAGGCTCTTGGAATGCGTCCCCTTTGGGGTCAGACCCAGTAGGGATAAAAGCCTTCTGGTGCGGTTTAGAAACACTCTTACTAGAAGTTTTTTTTTTTTGAGACGGAGTCTCACTCTGTCACCCAGGCTGGAGTGCAATGGTGTGATCTTGGCTCACTGCAAACTCCGCCTCCCGGGTTCAAGTGATCCTCCTGCCTCAGCCTCCTGAGTAGCTGGGATTACAGGCACATGCCACCATGCTTGGCTAGTTTTTTTTTGTATTTTTAGTTGAGACGGGGTTTCACCGTGTTAGCCAGGATTGTCTCCATCTCCTGACCTCGTGATCCACCTGTCTTAGCCTCCCAAAGTGCTGGGATTACAGGCATGAACCATCGCGCCCGGCTTTTTTTTTTTTTTTTTTTTTTAAAGATGGGGTCTTGTTCTGTCACCTAGGCTGGAGTGCAGTGGCACAATCATAACTCACTGCAGCCTCAAACTCCCGGGCTCAAGCAATCTTCTCACCTCAGCCTCCCAAGTAGCTGGGACTACAGGGGTGTGCCACTGATACAGTTTGGATCTGTGTCCCCACCCAATCTCATGTCGAATTGTAATCCCCAGTGTTGGAGGTGGAGCCTGGTGGGAGGTGATTGGATCATAGAAGTGGATTTCCCCTTTGGCACTGTTCTTGTGATAGTGAGTTCTTGTGAGAGCTGGTCATTTAAAAGTGTGTGGCACCTCCCCCTTCTCTCTTGGTCCTGCTCCAGCCACATAAGAAGTGCCTGCTTTCCGTTCACCTTCTGCCATGATTGTGCATTTTCTGAGGCCTCCTGAGAAGCTCAGCAGATGCCAGCATCGTGCTTTCTGTACAGCCTGTGGAATGTGAGTCAATTAAACCTCTTTAAAAATTGCTCAGACTCAGGCATTTCTTTGTAGCAGTGCAAGAATGCACTAATACAGCCACCATGGACTAATACAGCTTCTTATCAGGAGTTTGACAATGTGAAGGTAAAAGGGAAAGTTCTGCCTTGCTGGGCTCTGGCAGACCTGCTGCTTCAAAGTCCACCTGACTGTGGCCAATTAACATCTGAGTCACAGGAAACTTCCTGAGAACCCAAGGAATAGAAGCTAGGAGCCCTTTGGGGCATCAAGCAGACACACATGGCCCTGGCATAGGGCTGAGCCAATACACAGAACCCAGGGAGAGATGTTCTTGGTATTGGATGGGGCACTGAAGGGAGTGTGTTCCCCTTTGAAAGTTGGGTTATACCTTAAATACAGCATGTTCAAGATGAAACTCAGAATCTCTCCCTCTTCCTTACTCTTCTCCAAGGGAATAGTGAAGCCAGAATCTTAGCTGTGATCTTCCTCCTTAATCCCCATATCCATTCCATCAGCAAATCCTACCTATTGTCTTTGAAACCTGTCTGCTTCTTTCTCTCCATGTCTACTACCATCACTCTTGTCCCAGCCATCATCATCTTTCTCCAAGAGTCTAGGATTAGACAAAGGGCTTCTCATTGATTTCCATGACTCACTCTGCCCCATTTAACTGATTTTCCTGTGAAGATTTCATGAGGAAAGGAGAGAAAATGCATTTATTGGTATCCATTATATTTCAATTCTTTAATTCATTCAATAAATATTTGTTGAGTACTACATGCAACAAGCTCTGTTTTAGGTCTGGCAAACTGGGACATGTAATCATCCTATCTCTCATGCTGTTGAGTGTTATCTTGGAACCATCTCCAATTTCAGAGTCTCTGTTCTCCGTAAGTGATAATCATCGGGATTTTTTTTTAGACAGAGAATCTACATCAAAGCTTAACCATTTTATTTTTCATGGGTGATAAAAATTTCAAGCAGAAAGAGAAGTTTGGAAAGCAAAAAGACCAAGGACTTGCCACCCAATATGAACAGATGAGCACATTTAATCCAATATGTGTCAAATCTTTCTCAAAAGATAAGTCAAATGCTACCCTTATTGCTGAAGTCCTCTTTATGCTTCTCCTGATCCCATTCTCCCATTCTTCCAGGTGGCCACTCCCTTCAGGTTGGTATATTCTTCCTGCCTATGCTTTAATATCTAAATTACATATGGATATATTTATAATCTCTTTGAATTTGTGAATTTAAAAAATTAACGTGGTATCATGCTATAAATATTCTGCAACTTGCTTTTTAAAATCAAACATTATGCTTTAGAAATTAATCCATGCTGATAATATAGATCAGGTATATCCATTTTAATGGCTGTATAGTATTCCAACTTATGAACACATCACAATTTGCCTCTGCATTTCTCTCTCTCTCTTTTTTTTTTTTTTTTGCTATTGATAGATGAGTAGATCTTGAATTTATTTTGCAAACAAGACCTATTCTATCTATCTTTTAATTTAGGAGGCTAAAAGCAGAGTCAGCTTGACTTCAAGGACTGGTTTCTTAGTCTCCAGGTCTCTGTGTTTCTCTATGGAGGGCTATTTAAGTTAGTACTTATTTTTGATGATGGATGATGCTGCAGTAAATATTTTTATTCTTTTCTCCATGAGCACATACATGGGATATTTGTATATTTTCAATCTTTACCAGATACTGACAAATCACTGTTCAAAGAGGCTAGCTTGTGATGTGGTAGGAAAGCTCTAGAATTGAGAACTAGGAGACTTGGCTATAGTCCAGTTCTGGTACCAACTCCCAATGTGACCTCAAGCTTTCCCTTCCTTCCCCAACTTTAAGATGAAGGTCTAGACCAGAAAATCTCTACATTTCCTTCCTCCTGGGCTAGTGAAAGAAATGTTTTGTAGAAAGGTCTTCCCTCCTGGGAGTAAAAAATCTTGCTAAGGTGTGGTTGCTGTAAACCCTAGAGAAGGGTTTATTGCATAAGGCAGTTGAACTTTTTGAGTTCCTTCCAAGTGCTGGGCATGGTTGTCTTACACTTACCTGACTCAGGAGATTAACCTGTCTTCCCAGTAAGGGAGGAGACCACCCCTCATATTGTCTTATGCCCAATTTCTGCCCCCAAAGAAAGAAGTAAAAACTAAAAGGCAGAAATGAAATCCACAGGCAGACAGCCCGGCGCCACACCCTGGGCCTGGTAGTTAAAGATCGACCCCTGACCGAATCAGTTATGTTAAAGATTACAGACATTGTACAGAAAAGCACTGTGAAAATCCCTGTCCTGTTCTGTTCCATTCTAATTACGAGTGCATGCAGCCCCCAGTCACGTACCCGCTGCTTGCTCAATCGATCACGACCCTCTCACATGGACCCCCTTAGAGTTGTGAGCCCTTAAAAGGGACAGGAATTGCTCACTTGGGGAGCTGAGTCTTTGAGACGTGTGTCTTGCCGATGCTCCCGGCCGAATAAAGCCCTTCCTTCTTTAACTCGGTGTCTGAGGGGTTTTGTCTGTGGCTCGTCCTACTACACCAGGACCACAGAGCTAAGAAGTATCAGAACTTGGACTTGAACCCTGGTCTGAGGGATTCCAAAGCCCGAGTTCTATTATCCTACAAGTTGTTTCTGCTTTGCCACAGGGCAAGTTATTTTCCAACACCCCTATCTGGACTGTTGCAATGGCATTATCCTTGGTAGTCTCAGTGGGCAGACACTGTAGATACCAAGGGGACCCTGCTCTGTGCAGAGACTGAAGCCAAGGCCCTGCCCCAGAAATTCACAGATGAGCCTTTAGACATGAGGAGAGGCTAAGAGAGAGCCCTCTTTTGGAGGGAAGATAAGGAACAAATGAGGCTGACCCAGAAGCTGAGGACATCATAAAGAATGAACTGTGAAGGCATTTATTCTCCAACTACAGCTAATGAACCAGTGAGGAAATGGCATCAATAAGAAGCAAATTAAACATCAGCTCTAGTTAATTCGTAAGCACAGCTGCCTGCCTTCCTGTGTTCAATTTCAGACTCACATTATGAATTGCCTCCCTGGAGAAACTAACTCCCTCCCCCTGCAAAAAGGCCTTGAGCCAATAAACCAACTTTTAATGGAGCGGCATCTTTCAATCGAAGGACGGCAACTTATCCCTGGGTCCTGGCCCTGTGGTGACACAAACTCTCTGATCTGCCCAATCTCACTCAAGGTTAATGATTAAAGTAGAATTGAAATGAAATTAATTGCAATAAATGTGTAATTAGCACAGCCATTGATTAAGGGCATTTGAAACATGGTCTGTGCATAAGACATTGATTGCCATGCTTTCTTTGATAAATGTAATTGCAATATCTTTTGTTACTCTAGAAGGTCTTTTCTTGTGTAATGAATTTCTACAGGAAGGACTGGCCTCGAAGCCATCAGCCTTCCTGAAAATCAGAGATATAAAGAGACTATTCCAGGCCCCAGTCCTGTTAAACATGAACTTTTTTGCCCAGATTTCCAGTAGGATTTGTTTCAAGGTGGCTCCCTAGCCTATATGGCACCTTAGTGCAAGTGGAAAGAAGACATCCTTTCTGTTGGGAAGACCCAGCCCAGGCCAGGATACATAGCTTGGCAAGTAGAACACAGGCTGGATTTGAACCCTCACTGTTCAATTTAACTGGGCACCTTTGTGCAGTGAACAACTTTTACAACTATACATAGCAGACTTGGTATCCTTTTCCATGTAGGAGGAGTCAGGAAGGCAAAGCCAGACCTTATTGGTTTGAACTTGCCCCAAGAGCAAAGCCTACAGATCTTGATTCCCCTCCTGGCTTTCCCTAGCTACTTGACTGATTGGATGCTATGCTGAAATTGACATTTGGAATTCTGGGACTTCAGCAGTAGCCACATGGGAAAGAGAGTGAGACTGGGCTAGGTGTGGCCTGGTGGAGTGTGGTGTAATTCGGCATAGGATTGAGCAGTGGGTAGTCCATCGTCTTAACCACACTATCAGAGGGGGCACAGTGACCTCAGGTCAATTAGGCTGGTATTCACATGCAGGGGTCAGACGTGGCAGGTGGGCAGGACTTGCCAGAGGAGTTGGTGGACAGCAGTGCTGGAGGTCCCTTGCTATACTGAGTCTGGCAGTATGGGTAGTGGGGACCAGCTCTGAGTCAGTGGGAGAAGTGTAGTATGCTAGGGAAGCATGAACCAGCTCAGCCCCTGCCTGGGGCAGGGCTGAGTTCCAGGCTGAGTGACAAAGGAATAGAGGGTGATGTTTGATGCTCAGTGATAGCTGTTCCTCAGCTTTCTGGGTTTGAGAAGAAAGGGTCCTGAGTGATCCTGGGGTCTTCCCTAGAGGAGTTAGTGTGTGTGTGTTCTTCATACTGAGGAGTTTGCTCAGTCATGTAGCCATTTATTTTTTCATTCACTACTCAGTAAATATTTATAGGTACCTTCTATGTGCAGGTGCTATGCTAGCTGTTAGGAATGAGCCCAGTTCATGCTCTTAATAGAGGTCAGGGTTGAATGGGAAACACAGGCTTTAAATAATCACATGGACTTAGAGACCCCCCCTCTAAGTTACAAGGGGGGACGAGTGCTCTGAAGGTGTGCTGGGCACCTTCTGTTTGTCCCTCTATATCTATGCTGTACTCTCCCCTTCCCTTCTCTGTGTCCTGGAGGTGATTACCATGGATTGTGTCAAACAGCCATTCTGTCCTCTGCCTTCAGGTTGTACTGGGCCAATGGGGGCCAGGCAGAAAAGAAATACAATTTATTCTTCCAGATCACTGGAGGTTTACTGAAGGCCTTGGTTCATCTTGCAAAATTTAGTCTAGATATTGGTCATCTCCCCCAGGAAAGTCTTTTTCTTCCTGGCCTTAGCTGCTTATGGCCAGCAGCCAAGTCGAGCCCCAACAGAGGAGAGAGCAGAACCATGCTGGGCCTGCTGAGGTCCACACAAGGAGCCATTTCTTCATCCTCATCAGCAGATTTAGAATAAAGTTTGTTCCTCACACATGCTATTGTTTCCATGGTTACTGTAAAGGCATTCTAAATGTAGATGATTCTATAATAAGCTGGAATGACTCTTTTGGGGAAAAAAGTTTTGACCCTCTTCTTACAAGGAATGACTCAATGACCCAACGGGTGTGGTGACTGCACATGTTACTATGGAATGATGCATTTGGGCTGTGGGCAGTAGTCAGATGGCTTCAGAGTGCCCCTTGCCACCAACTAAGGCAAAGCCCTTATCTTGCAAATGCAAAAACTGAGGCCCAAAGGGGAAGTGAATTTCCCTGAGTTCCATAGAGAGCTGAAGCCTGAACCAGGACTAGCTGCAGGTCACTAGGACAGGGTGTCCCTGGGGAAGGAGCCCTGAACTTAACATGAGAATGACATAATATGCACCTTGCCTTTTGGAGCCTTAGTTTTTTTAACCTGTGATATTATTTGTATTATTTGGTGTAACTCATGCTGGTTGCTGTAACAAACAACTCCAACATCTCAGTGGCTTTTCAAGAGTAAAAGTTTTGTTTCTTGCTCAAGCATAATGCAATTGGGCATTTGATGGATGACCTACCATGCTGGGACTCAGGCTCCTTGCAATTTCTTTTTGAGACTTGAGTCTTGCTCTGTCGCCAGGCTGGAGCGCAGTGGCACAATCTCGGCTCACTGCAACCTCCGCATCCCGGGTTCAAGTGATTCTCCTGCCTCAGCCTCCCGAGTAGCTGGGACTACAGGCATATGCCACCACATCCAGCTACTTTTTGTATTTTTAGTAGAGATGGGGTTTCACCATGTTGGCCAGGATAGTCTCAATATCTTGGCCTCATGATCCACCTGCCTCGGCCTCCCAAAGTAGCAACTGTACCATCTCTAAAGATCTTGAAGTCATTCAGCAGATCTTCTTGCATTTGAAGAGCAGATGATGACCAGCCTCCTTCTTCTAGGAGGCTACCTCTGATGACAAGGCTGGTGGATCCATAGGAGGGAACATGGAAAAAGTTGTCCTCCAGCCAGGAATATCTGCTTGGATTGCTGCATTTTGGGATCTATTTATTATCTAGCCTACTCTGACCAGGCTGAAGGTCTCTGAAACAGTGCAAGAAGTTGGTTTTTCTCTAAAAGACCTATTCAAGCCTTCCACTTTCACATGGCTCTGTCACCAGCTGCCACGTTGCAGCTCACATTTTAGGGAGGACACAAGTTACAGGGGAAAGATTAGAAATTTTGAAATCATGCAGACCTGCATTTTATCTTTGTCTCCACTCCTTGTTAGCCATGGGATCTTGGGCAAGTTATTCACCTTCTCAGAGTATCCCTTTCTTTATTAAAAATGGAGATAATTAGTAAAGTTGTGAAGATTAAATGGGCTAATGTAGAGCAATGTTTGTTCATAGCAGATGTTCAATAAATACACTCTTTATTACCTTCTTAGTCTGATCCAGAAATACTTTTAGGACCTGGAACCTGCTGGCCCTTCAAAACAGTGACGACTTATTCCTCCATACCAAGCCTCATTTCCTGCATCTTCATCTCTTTTTATCCTTGTCCTGATAGCTGTGTGTGGAGTGTATTCCATAAGAGAATCTCCACCTTCTTAGACTTTTCCTACCACTCCAAGCTCTGCACCCATCCTACAATGCTACCAACTCTAACAGGCCTGAGTGGGAAAGGCTGATAAACATCGCTTTGGACCCACAAGGCTGAACCATGCAGTGTTTTGGAGGCCGTTATGTGACTCGATTTTATTCTAAATGCAACAAAAAAACCCACTGAAGAATGATACAACATGAAAGAAGAATGACACAGTTTACATTTTAAAAGAGATGCCTTTCCCCCTCTTGCTGTGCAGAGAATGAATTGTAGAGGTATGAGAATAGAAGCAGGAAGATCTCTTGGGGTGGCAGTAGCTGGGATGGAGAGAGGTAGACAGATTTAAGAACTGTTTAAGAGAAGAAGTCAACGAGACTCGATATCTGAGAAGCTCTCCCAGAACATGAGGATCTGAAAGTAATGAGAGGGAAGATGAAGGAGATGAAGGGGAAGCTACACAGACTCAAAACCTAGAACATTGTTCCAGCAGCAATACTAGCAGTGGTGGCAGCTGCAGCAGAAGCAGCATCTAACGGTGCAGTTGCAGAAAGCTTAACTGAGCTAAAGAAAGACTTGAACCTACAGATGGAAAGCCTTCCCATGAATTTAACATAAAGAAACCATCCCCTCCTCACCACCTGGGAAAATTTTGCATTTCAAGGCTGAAGAAATAATCCTACAAGTATATATGAAAGTAAACATTTAAAAAATAAAGGAAGAAAGATCCAACTGCGTTAACAGCAAATTTCTCTGCAACATTGAATACAGAAGAAAATAGGACATCAAAGCTTTGAAGGAAAATGTTATTCAAAAATTCTATGGCCAAGCAGCAGGTCATTGGTATTGGAAGACAATTTGAAAACATTCTCGGCCGGATGCGGTGGCTCATGTCTGTAATCCCAGCACTTTGGGAGGCCAAGGTGGGCAGATCACGAGGCCAGGAGACCAAGACCATCCTGGCCAACATGGTGAAACCATGTCTCTACTAAAAATACAAAAATTAGCTGGGCTTGGTGGTGTGTGCCTGTAATCTCAGCTACTCGGGAGGCTGAGGCAGGAGAATTGCTTGAACCTGGCAGGAGGTGGTTGCAGTGAGCCGAGATCACGCCACTGAACTCCAGCCTGACGACAGATCTAGACTCCGTCTCAAAAAACAACAACAACAACAACAACAACAAAAACTCTCAGATATGCCAAGACAGGGACTATACCACTTGTATTTTTTTTTCCTGAAAAATGCACAGGAAAATGCATTTCAATATATCAGGATTTGAAACAAACACCTTAAGAATGGGAAATTCAGTATTTCAATGGTGAGCAGTAAGAGTTGAAATAGTTTGAACTGGAATAAATCTAAATATATTGTTAAATGGAAAGCAACTGTCATAAATAATTCTAGAAAATAAAAATAATAATAGCTAGTGTTTGGTGAGCACTTTCTATATGGTGGGTGCTAAAAGCTTTACCCATATTAACTCATGTATTTCTCATAGCTTCATGAGGTGGGTAGTTTTAGAACCCCTATTTTAAAAACAAGTAAGCTGAATGGAGAGAGGTTAAGTAATATCCCTAAGGCTACACACACATGAACCTAGGAAACATGACTAATTATATTTCTTCCCATACATACAGGAGAGAGGGCATAATAAAAATGAATTCAAATATGGGGCAAATCTTGCAAGCCTATGCAAATAAAAATTTGTATACAAGGATGTTCAGGTGGAAGTTCAAGCAAGCTACCCTCCTACAATAAACATAATACTCTTGAAAAAAAAAGTATTTTTTAAGTTTGCATTGTTTGACCCAGCAGTTCTAGTTCGATAAATATATCCTAAGAAATAATCAGTAATACACCCAAGGTTTATGTATGAGGATATTCATTGCAGTGGTATTTATTATGAAAAGTTTAAAAGCAATAGAAATGACCAACAATTTATACTTAGTTGAATTCAATACATTTTGATATTGAACATCTATATGATGAAAAATACGAAGTCATTCAAACTATATTGTAGAGGTAGACCTGGAGACATGTATTAGAATATAGAGTCAGCTACTGTTAAGAAGACCCAATTTATAATGAAGCAAAGAAAATGGGAGTTTCTTCCTCATTCACAGTTTGGAGATGGTCAGTCCAGGGCTTGCAGTAGCTCTGCTCCATGAGGTCACTCAGGGCCCCAGTCTCTTTATATTTTGTTCCTCTGCCTTCTATCTTGTTAACAGTCTATTTTGTCATATCAGCCCTCTGTCTCATTATCAGTCTATTCTGTTATCAGTCTATCTATGTTGTTATCAGTCTTCTTCTATTATCTTATAGAACATGATCCAAGACAGTCCACACTTTGTCTTCACTCCCTTTAGCTGAAAGTAGCAAAAGTGGGCAATGGAGGGCATATCCCTTCATTGCCTTCAGTGCAGTACTCCCATCCCTTCCACTGGCTAGAACTTGGTCGCATGGCTACCTCTAGATGGAAAAGGCAGCTGGGAAGTAGGGTTTTTTAAAAGAATTGTGGACAATCATAAAACCTTTTGATGGATTCTGTTACTAAACCGCAAATGAGCACAAATAGCAGTCTTTGATTCAGCACAGAAACATTTTTACAACATACTTAGTAGAAAAAACAGGACCAGTTTTACATGTCTGTGTGCACTCATAAATAGAATTCCTTTTCTTTATAAACAGTGGTTATCTTTGAGAGTTGGGCTTGTGGATGATTCCAATTTCTTCTTGCTTTTATGGTGAAAAAAATTCCCTGTTTTTTACAAATTAACATTTTTCCCCCAGTAATAAGAAAATCCTCACCATTTGTACATTAAAAAGAAGTAATTTAGGAGAGAAAGCAGTGCCTCTTGTGTGCTTGCAGCCGTCTCTCTTTCTTCTCGGATGTTCCTCTGCTAGGCCTCTTTTGTTGGTGGATCTTTTGGTTCTCATGCAAAATAATAACATTGTCCGGTCTGTGGCTCAGATGTGAAAGCCCAGTGGGGGCTGTGAGTTTATTTTAGTTTGATGCAAGGCAGTTTTCCACTATGAAGAAAAGCCTCAGACGTGGCTGCCAGTTCAAGGGGATAATTAAGAGTAGGTCTCCGGTTCTCTCAGGAAGGAGAGGCTTTTGCTCCAAGTTGGGGAAAGAAGGGCTATTCAACAAAGAATGGGCGCTGGAGGACAGTGCAGGAGCCAGGAAATAGGAAGTACTCAAAGAGGCCATGATTGTGATACGGCTCCGATCAGTGAAGAACACCAGGGTTCTTGGTCCTCACGCCGGTTTAGATAAAATGACACGGACACCCGTGGAGAGGTTTTAAGTAGCAGAGAATTTAATGCGCAAGAAAGAGAAGAGATGGCAGCAGGAAGAGGCTTCCCTGTACAGAGGCGGGGGGTGGTGGTGGGGGGTCCAAAGACAAAAAAGGAGGTACCCGCCTGCCACAGATACCAGCCAGGTATATATGCAGAATCTGGAGGAGGTGGTGTCTGATTTGCATAAGGCTCAGGGGATTGGTTTGACTAGGCATGTCATTCACGTAGCCAGAGAAAAAGCTGGCCCTCCCACCCTAGCCTCTTAAGATGCAAATGCGGGGCACCATGATGTTCTACACATGTGGGGATATGTGGGGGCAGCCATGTTGCCAGGAATACGTGGGGCAAGGGCAAGAAGGTGGCTGGAGTCGCCATGTTGGGTGGACCCGGTTTCTAATGGTCTATATTTGCATATCAGAGGTTGCCGGCCTGGCTCTAAGAGCTGGGGCTTTGCAAGAAACTTTTCCAGAGATGCTTTAAAAAATGAAAACTTCCCAAGGACTCCTTTTCCTCTCTATCTGCCTAAAATAATTTCCTAATAACTCCTACAACAATTCTAGGTCCTTCTGCTTCTTAGAGCCTGAGACAGTGAGGGTTTGGGCAAGCCCTGCTTCTCCCTGGGGCCTGGTTTCTTACCTGATATTCCCCAGAGTGGGGCAGTTTGACTCCTTCTCAAAGCTTTGATGGACTGGTTGTTAGTGAGGCCTTTGGTCTCAAGAGGGAGGTAGAACAGAGGAGTGGCAGCAGCATGACCAGGTGAGGGCTTCCCACGTGCGAGGTGAGTGTTTCCCACGTGCGAGGTCAGTGTTTCCCATGTGTCCGGTGAGGGCTTCCCGCTTGTCAGGTGAGGGCTTCCCGCATGCCACATGAGTACTTCCTGTGTGCAAGGCATCGTTCAGTTCGATGATGGCCCAGGGTCTAGAACTGCATTTTCCTAACTGTGTGATTGTAGACAGTACTTACTGGCTCTGTGCTTGAGTTTTCTGTGAAGTGGGACAGCACAACTTCTACCTCACAGGATGGGAGGGAGGATAATTGAGCTAAGGCCTGTGAAGTGAACAGCATGGTGCCTGGTGCAGACTAAGGCACTGTATTAATTTGCTGGGGCTGCATAACGAAGTACCACAAACTGGTGGCTTAAACAACAGAAACTTGTTTTCTCGGTACCAGATGCTAGAAGTCTGAGATCAAGATATCGGCAGAGTTGGTTTCTTCTGAGAGCCATGTTGGGAAGATCTGCCTAAGCCTGTCTTCTCGGCTTGTAGATGACCATCTTTTCCCAGCGTTTACACCATTTTCCTCTGTTTTTTTTTTTGAGACGGAGTCTGGCTGTGTCACCCAGGCTGGAGTGCAGTGGTACAATCTCGGCTCACTGCAACTTCTGCCTCCCAGGTTCAAGTGATTCTCCTGCCTCAGCCTCCTGAGTAGCTGGGATTACAGGCACGTGCCGCCACACCCGGCTAATTTTTGTAATTTTAGTAGAGATGGGGTTTCACCATGTTGGCAAGGCTGGTCTGGAACTCCTGACCCCAGATGATCTGCCCACCTCAGCCTCCCAAAGTGCTGGGATTATAGGTGTGGGCCATCTCGCCTGGCCCATTTTCCTTTTATGTGTCTCTGTATCTAAATTTCCCTTTTTTAAAAATGGCACCAGTCATACGGGGTTAGGGCCCACCCTAATGGCCTCATTTTAACTTGATTACCCCTGCAAAGACCCTGTCTCCAAATATAGTCACATTCTGAGGGGGTACATCTTCAACATCAGCTCCAGGTTATGCTGCTGCTGCTGGTCCACGAAATAGCAAACCTCTGAGTAGGAAATTTTGCGGGGGGGGGGTGGGTACACAATTCAACCCATAAAAAGCACCTATATTATCTACAGCAGAATGCTAGAAATATTGGTCGCTATTATTCCCAGGGATTCTCATGAGCTTTGACATCCATGCTGCCCCAGCCAGCTCAAGTTGCCATGGAGCTGAGTTCCTGGAAAGGGAACAGCACCATCTTTCTTGCCCACGCCACACTGGTAACATTGCTGTCTGTCTCCCAGGGCTCCATCCCAGACAGCTCAATGTGTCAATAGTTTCTGGAGTGCTGGTCAGCTTCCATTCCAAGGGCTACCCCGTTCATCTCTGCCTTCCTGCTGAGAGCTGGAAAAATGCATTTATTGTATCCATTTATTTAGCAGTGACTTCTGTTATGCTTACTATGCACTAGGCATTATTCTAAGTGCTTTACAAATACTAACTCATTTAATCCTCCTAACAACCCTACGAGGCAGGTATTAATGTTACCTCCCAGATGAGGAAACTGAGGCATAGAGAAGTTAAATAACTTGTCTGAGGTTTTATGAGCAGCTAGTGGTAGAGCTGGGATTTGAACCAAGACAGTTTTGTTCTGAACAATTACACTAAAAAGGGGAAGTAATGAGGGAGGAACACAACTCTGGTGCCAGAGAAATGTTAGTTTGCATTCCAGCCAATGAGCAGAACTAGAAATTTCTATCACAGCCTGTTTCACTTGAAGCTTTCAAAGAACAGGCTTATTCCCCAGTTCTCTTGGTTGTGTTTCATTATGTAGTTTGAGTCCTCAGCTGATGGCTGGAGTGGACATGTGACTTCAGGGTGCCTCTGTCTGTTGACTGGGACCTGTGACTGGTGTGGCTAATTGGATTTCTCGCTCAGGAATTTGGCTAAGAGGCTTAAACAATGAGGTTGCGGAGTTGAAACCTTTTGGTCAAGAGGCCTTGGTGGGCTGGACTGGTTGTTTTAAGACGTGTGCAAACGAGTTAGAAGGCAGAAGAGGACAGTGTGGGGGAAGGAGAACTGCCTTCACAGGTGAGAATGGAGCCAGGCACAAGGAGATACAGAGATGCCTCATGCTAGAGTAGAGGTTGTCCCTGGGAGAGAGAAACACACGCACACATGCACATGCACACAGAGGTACACACGTGTACACACATGCACACGCACACATGAGCACACATGTACACACACACACACCTGCATATGCACACACACAATGCACATACATGCACACACACAATGCACATACATGCACACACAAGCATACACATACACACATGTACACACATGTACATACACACACGCACACATGCACATGCATGCACACGCGTGCACTGCCAGTGCACCTCCTTTTCACTGGGCAGGTGCGCCATCCCTCAGGCTGCTGAGAGTGTTGACCACTAATGCCTTATAGTTGTCCCTTGTCCATAGAAATCCTTGGCCTAATGGCATTCAGGCCAGGTTGGTGGGTTCCCCTCCCCCAGCAAGCTGCCGCCAGTGACTGGCTGACATGGGGCACTAAAGACCAGCCTCCTTATCTCAAGAGGGGACCAACTCTGTGGTTCCATTTGTACTTGAGCTCCCTGTGGCATCAGGGCGAAGTTGTTCTCCACCCCGTATGACATCCTTGCTTGGCTTCTTTCCCTTTCCTTGTCCTGTTTCCCTCTCTCCCTTCCTCCTGAGAGCCTCCATGAGTAAATTACTTGCAGAAGAATCCCCATCTCAGGGCAAGAAACAGACAGGTGCTGTCCACTTTCAGGCTCCTAGGATTTGGTCTTCTTGTGTTTCCTATCCTAGGATTCTGGGTAATCTATTTTCTTTACAACACCACCTTTTTGCTTGAGTTAGCATGAGGTCTCTGTTTCTCGCAGCTAAACAAGACCTAATTGCACCAACTTGGTAAAGTTACTCAACCATTCTCAGCCTCTCTCCATCTGGAAAATGGTGCCTATTATTCTCCTGACTTCAGCACTTGCTTTCATGACTTCATAAGAGAATGCACGGGACAGCTTCCAGCATTGTGATTGGCTTGGAGTAGGCACTCTATTAATGAGTTCTAGTTTCTTTCACAATATTCTTTTCCTGTTTGTCTTCCTCCCTTGCTCAAGTCTATTCAGGCTGGGGAAGCATAAAGAGAAAACATGCCAGCATGCTGTATGATTTTCAAAGCACCATGGAAATGCGGGTGTTCAAAGATGTATGAGTTTGGAGTCCCAAAGACCTAAGTTCAGCTCTCTAGCCTGTTGCTTCTCAAATTATAATGAACATGCAAATCACCTGGGGAGCTTGTTAACATGTAGACTCTGATGCAGAAGGTCTGGGTGGAGCCTGAGATGCTGCCTTTGTAACGTGGCTCCAGGTGATGCTGATGCTTCTGGTCTATGAAATAGCAAATCTTTGAGTAGCAAGACTCCAGGCTCTCTCTTTTGATCGCAGAGTCACTTTTTTCCTCCCCAAACAACCTACCTGAATGGCAGACACTTCCCTTTCCATTCCACTTTGTGCATCCTATGAGATGTGGTTCCTGCCAATTAGAAGCTCTCGGTGTTTGAGATGGCTGGGAGGGCCACTGTAGAGCTAACTGTAGGGGATGTGGGAGTCTGGGGAGGGACACTTGCTACCAGCTCTCCTACCAGCTCTCTGGCTGCCCTCAAGCACTGCCAGCTAATTCCCTGAGAGCTGCAAAAATTTATCAGAGAAGTGTCACTTTTCACCAGTCCAGGGGCCCTAGACTGGAATTTTTAGGGGTTCAGTTGCAGCTTTTGTGCCTAAAAGTACCTCCATCTTTACTATGCAGAGGACGTCAGGGAGGTCTCCTTGGAGGAGATGGGCTGTTGGCTATTGGTCTGTCACTCTGCATGGGTATCTCCTGATTCCTACCCATCTACTCCTTTGAGCAAGGACCACATACCTAGACTCCCAGAGCTGCTACTCACCTGCCATCTTATCTCCTGTTACCTGGGCTCTGGCCCACGTACACTGCCTTCTGGATAAGACCATTGACACCTGAGTTCATTGTGTCCCTTTGGCCATGGCCTTGGGCCTCCCAGCTCTCTACAGATTAGAGATCCTATCCTGCCTCTTATAGATCCAGGGCTTGTTTTGATGTTGTGACTATCGTAAGAAAGGTTCAGGCAGTTCCAGATATGAGAAAAATATTGTGTTATTTTCATAACATTTGAAGAATTTCCTCCTTTCATTATAATCCTGGCCAAGTCCCTACAAACGTTCCCCTTTCCAAACTGAGATTGGTTTTCCTTGTTCATTGCTGCCAGCAGCTGGAATAGGGTTCCTCCATCTGCTGTTTTATCCTCGCCATTCTCCTTTCTTTGCCCATCTTCTCCCCTTGGGGCTTGGAGAGTGGCGATATTGTCTCAGAAAGATCACTGTGGGCCTGAGAAGTCGGGGAGATCTCCTGGTCTGCTGGTGCATCTGAGAATTTTCACTTACAGCTTAGAAGTAAGTGGGCAGAGAACAAGGCCCTTGATTGACTAATCCTTTCTTTAACGTGCACTGAGGATCCAGGTGTTCCAGGCATGGCTCTAGGAACCGGGGATACAGCAGCAAGCAGGCATGATTCCTGCCCTGACAGTCTAGCTGGGTGGGTTACACTTTCTCTATCAGTGGAAGCCCTGCACACACACACACACACACACACACACACACACACACACACCCTGGCCTTCAACCTCGTTTGTGGTCGGTCTAACGGATTTCACTGTTTGCTCAGCAGTGAGTAGAGGAGGGACACATCGCAGGCCTGACTGGAGTTTTTAGGGGTTCAATTACATCTTTGGTGCCTTAAAGTACCCCCCTCCTTACTTACTATGGAAGCTGTTTGGGGGTGGTGACCTGGAGTAGGAGTTAGCCAGGCGATGGGGGATAGAGTGTGGAAGAGTGTTCCTGGAGGAGGAACTTTGCTGCCCTCACTGTGGCTAGGGTACTGCCTGTAAAGGGGATGGGGTGGTGGGCAGGGAAGTGGGCGGCAGAGGCAGAGCATGCAGGGCTGTGGAAAGAGAAGATTTTGGACTTTGTCTTAAGGTCAACAGGAAGCCCATGAAGGATTTTTAGCACAACTGACACAATCTGATCGGTGTTTTTGAAATCTTTCCCTGGCTTCTGTGTGCAGAAGAGGCTGTTTGCAAAAGGCAAGAAAGGACGTGGAGGACCAGTTAGGAGACTGTGTGGACACCCAGGTGACAGTGAAGGCAGAGAAGAGGCCACAGAACCACAGACAGATTTTAGAATTAGTAAGATTTAGTAGTTGACTAGACGTTGGGGGAAAGAGAGGGGTCATGTAAAAGATTCTGATCTGAACAACCAGCATGAAGATGATACTTTTTTTTTTTTTTTGAGAGATGGAGTCTCACTTTGTTGCCCAGGTTGGAGTGCAGTGGTGCAATCTCAGCTCACTGCAATCTCCACCCTCTGGGTTCAAGCAGTTCTCCTGCTTCAGCCTCCCAAGTAGCTGGGATTACAGGAACGCACCACCACGCCTGGCTAATTTTTTAATATTTTTAGTAGAGACGGGGTTTCACCATGTTGGCCAGGCTTGTCTCGAACTCCTGACTTCAGGTGATCTGCCTGCCTCGGCCTCCCAAAGTGCTGGGATTACAGGCTCGCGCCTGGCCAGATGATACTCTTTACATACAGAGAAAATGCCAAAGAAGGAGAAAGGAATTTTGGGGGTAGGAATTGATGGAGAAGTTCTTGAATTTGTTTTGGAGTGCCTGTAAGGCACACAGATGGACAGTTGGATGTATGAGTCTAAAATTCAGGAAGGAGATTGCTCTAGACAAGTGCCGTTTGACAGAACTTTATGTAATGATGGAAATGTTCTATATCTGCTGTCCAGTGTGACTATTGAGCACTTGAAATGAGGACAGTGTGATTATGAAACTGAACTTTAAATTTCATTTAATTTTAATTGATTTAAATTTAAATGTAAATAGCCACATAATGACTAGAGGTTCTGTATGGGACAGGGCAGCGCCACAGGGGCAGGATCCTTGAGACCGTATTAGATAGCATAGCTGTTTTTCCCTGTGACTTTCCTTAAAAAGAATTTTCCTGACTATTCTTTCCTGTTTTATTTTTTCTCTGACTTTTTTATTGTGGTAAAATATACATGACATAAAATTTATCATGTTAACTATTTTTAAGAGTACAATTCAGTGGCATTAAGTATATTTACAATGTTGTTTAACCATCGCCATTATTTCCAGAATCTTTTCATCATCTTAAATGGAAACTCTGTACCCATTAAACAATAGCTCCCCCTCCCACCAGCCTGGCAACCACCATTCTACTTCCTGTCTCCAAATTTGCCTATTCTAGCTGCCTCATATGAAAGGAATCATACAATGTTTGTCCTTTTGCATCTGACTTATTTTACTTAGCATAATGTTTTAAAGATTCATCCATGCACGTATCAGAATTTCATTTTTTTATGGCTAAATAATATTTGATTTTAAGTATGTAATGCATTATTCTTTTTAAGACGGAATTTAGTTAAGTTATACTGTAGGTTCATTGGCATGTGATGGAGACTCAAAATATATGTCTCATGTAATACAGGGTCTCAACCCTGGACCCCCAGGGTACCCATAGCCTGTTAGGAACTGGGCTGCACAGCAGGAGGTGAGCAGTAGGTGAGCATGCGAGGCTTCCTCTGTATTTACAGCCACTCTCCATTGCTCACATTACCACCTGAGCTCCACCTCCTGTCAGATCAGTGGCAGCATTAGGTTCTCATAGGAGCGTGAGCCCTATTGTGAACTGCGCATGTGAGAGATCTAGGTTGTATGCTCCTTATGAGAATCTAATGCCTGATGATCTGTCACTGTCTCCCGTCACCCCCAGATGGGACTGTCTAGTTGCAGGAAAACAAGCTCCAGGCTCCCACTGATTCTACATTATGGTGACTTATGTAATTATATCATTATATATTACAGTGTAATAATCATAGAAATTGCCTGGACATGGTGGCTTATGCCTGTAATTCCAGCATTTAGGGAGGCTGAGGTTGATGGATCTCTTGAGGCCAGGAGTTCCAGACCACCCTGGCCGACATGGTGAAACCCACCGCATCTCTACTAAAAATAAAAAAATTCTCCAGGCGTGGTGGTGTGTGCCTATAATCCCAGCTACCTGGGTGGCTGAGGCATGAGAATCTTTGAACTTGGGAGACGGAGGTTGCAGTGAGCTAAGATTGTGCCACTGCACTGCAGCCTGGGTGACAGTGCGAGACTGTCTCAAAAAAAAAAAAAAAAGAAAAGAAAAAAAGAAAGTGCACAATACATGTAATGTGCTTGAATCTCCCCAAAACAATACCCCCAACCCTGCATCCATGGAAACATTTTTTCCCATGAAACCAGTCCCTGGTGCCAAAAAGGTTGGGGACTGCTGCTATATAAGACAGTGATTTTGCTCTTATGTGAAAGTCAAAGTGGTAGGGCAATTCTTTCTATCTTGGTGCTCTGCCGTCTTCAGGATATTGTTTTCATCTGGGTGATCCAAGTGGCCTCACTACATATCAGTGGAAAAAGAGGAAGAGAAGGGCTTTCCCAGATGATGCACACATTTAGTTGGCTCATATCTCGTTGGCCAGAACTTGGTCACATGACCATTCCCAGTTGCAAGGGAGCCTGGGAAATGCAGTCCTTTTTCTGGGAAAGTTGGGATTCTACTACTTAAAAGGAGGAGATAATGAATATTGGAGGGAAACTAGTATCTCTGTCCTAGATGGTATGTATTTACACCCCAGTGTGAACAATGAAGAAACAGCATAACCTTTATTGAACACTTATTATGTACCTTCTGTCACCTCTCTTCCTTCATCTATAACACTTTATTTTTAATCGATCATATATATATTTTTTGAGACAGAGTCTTGCTCTGTTGCCCAGGCTGGAGTACAGTGGTGCGATCTTGGCTCACTGCAGCCTCCACCTCCCGGGTTCAAGTGATTCTCCTGCCTCAGCCTCCTGAGTAGCTGGGACTATAGGCATGCGCCACCATGCCCAGCTAATTTTTGTATTTTTAGTAGAGATGAGTTTTCACCATGTTGGCCAGGATGGTCTCGATCTTCTGACCTCGTGATCTGCCCGCCTCAGCCTCCCAAAGTGCTGGGATTACAGGCGTGAGCCACCGCACCCGGCCTATCAATAATATTTTTATTATTAATTCTCTTAGAACTTTTAATACAATTATTCTTCAATTAATTGATTTATTAGCTTTGAACAATATATTGTGAGCCCTGCCGTCCCCATTAAGAAAAACTAGGTATTCAGTGTGCTTATACCTGCCTTCTTTCCCTCTTTCCCTCCTGACTTTTATTATATTATCATTTTTATGCTGTTATGCCCTATAGCATTTCTGTTTTGTTCTGTATCTCTCCATGGTTCTTTAGCCTTTGTTCTACACTTAAGCATTTTCAGGGCTCACCATAAGTTCTATTAACATAACTTTTTCATTCAACTCTTGGAAAATTTAAAATTCTCCTCTGGTAATTTCTTCAAGAAGTGCTAATGGGAATGGTATTCCCTTGCATGTTAAACAATACTAGCTATCTTTAAATTTAACTGACATTTTGCTAGGTTATAAATCTTTGATCAGCTTTTCTTTTCCTGAAGACTTTGTAGATATTGCCTACTGTGTTCTAGTTTTAAACATTGTTATGGAAAAGTCAGAGGCTAAACTAAATGTTTTGAACCTACAGATTACTTGGTATTTAAAAAAATTTCTTTTCTGTATGTCTATTGAAACTTTTTTCCTAAAAATTTTTAGTCCAGTAACCTTATTAATTTATGCCTCAGTATAGATTCATCTGTTTTATTTTCTTCCTGGGACATAGTATGTTCTTCTAAGCTATAGATTTAAGCTTTTTGTCATTCAGAAAAGTTTTCTTAAATAGTATCTTTGAAAAATTTTAAATTCTATTTTATCTTTTTCAGGGACACCAATTATGTCTTTGTTGAATCTCCTTTGTCTCTCTTCCATATCCATCATTTTATCTCTGATATCTTTAAATTCTTTATTTACTTTTCATTTTGCTCAATTTTCTCAAGGTTGGCAATTCACTGACTGTGTTTTCAGTATATCTCTTTCTTTTCTTTCTCCCAAAACAACTTTAATTTCTGCAATTGTTTTTTCATCTTCCAAAGCTCTGGAGTTATTTTTTCATCTCTGCCTGTAGTCTTATTACTTTTTCCATGAGCTCTTGTCTTTCTGCTTTAAGTTCTTGATTCATGGAGATACCTTTTTTCTCTATGTTCCCTGAGTCCACAGGAAACTATTTGGTTACTATTTTTATCTGCTTGGTGTTACACATTTTTTAGTATGCATTCTTCAACTTATTATTGTATATTCCTTTCCCTCTTGTTTCTCTCAGTGTTTTCATATATTGTTGCAATTTCCGTTGTGATAATTACTGAGAGCAGTTTAGATTAGAAGCTATTTGTGGAAAAGCTGTATGGAGCAGGAGTCAGAGGTATGCCATGAGGCAGGCTAGAAAGATCTCTTTCTGGCCCACAGTGTAATCCCAAATGAGATAGGGTTGGATGTTGGAACATACGTGTGTGTGTGTGTGTGTGTGTGTGTGTGTGTGTATGTGTGAGTCTTAGCTTTTACTTCCCTTCAGAAATGATAGGATTGTTTATTACCTAGAATTTCTTTCTCCTGGTTCTTGTGAAATTGTCTGCTTATTTCCTTATTCAGACCTGCTTGTTCTGCCCTTTCCTGGTGTTGATCGGGCTTTAGGAAACTCTTCAAAGACATTCTGCTCATTGCAATCTTACTAGTTCAAACAGGAGGTCACTGGTTTTCCCCCAAGGTGTGCATCCCATTTTGGAGAGTGCTGTGTTCTGCTAGATCTGCCTGAGATTGGCTGTGGCAGTGAAGTAGGAGACTGGCTGGACTTCTTTTCTGGTCATAACCCTGCTGACCAAAACAGGATCTGCTTTGGACAGGATAAAGTGAAGAAACTGGCAGAAACCAGCAGATGATGAGGAGGGCAATCCCTGGCCACCACCGTTGCTCATTAGTATGCGACAGGATCATCACAGTTTACAAATGCCATGGCAACAACTTAGTAGTTACCACCCCTTTCCATGGCAGTGACTCAGAAGTTACTGCCCTTTCCTAGAAAGTTCTAAATAACCCACCCCTCAATTTGCGTATAACTGAAAGTAGGAATAAGTGAGTATAAATACAGTTGTAAAGAGCCCATACATTGCCAACTCTGGGAGCACTGCCTAGAGTTAGCCCTCCTCTATAGGGAGCAGTACTGTTCAATAAAAGGTTGCTGTAAACATCACCAGCTCACCCTTGAATTCTTTACTGGGTAAAGCCAAGGATCTTCTCAAGCTAATCCCCAAGTTTGGGGCTCACCTGCCCTTCATCAGCAGGTGTCTTTTCTTCCCTGGTCCAATTGTTGACTGTGTTTGACCAACTTCCATATGCTGAGGATGGGGTTTGGGGGCTATTATTACATTACTGTTAGTACTATTTATAACTACAGCTCTCTTTTTACAAAACAAATAAGTTAATGTGCTTCCTAATTTAACAAGAATGAAATATCTGCTATTGTTCCCCCTTTTCCATGTTTCTAGTAAGTTTCAGAGAAGAAAAAGAAATAGATTTGCTTATTCATTTTAAAACCAGAAAAATGTGGTTTTCTAATCCATTTCCTTTTCACTTGGTTTATGAATCTCCTTAAATGACAAGGCAATTGTTGAACCCAAGCGGAAGACTGATTTCCTGATCTGCTCAACTCTGTTCCATAACTGGTGAATCATTGTACCATTTGCAACCATAAGGTACTTTGTGATAAAATCTTTTTGACATTTTAAACATTATATCTAAATTTGGAAGCCACTTAAATGCAAGTAGTGACACTAATTTGACTATTTATTAAAGCGACTCCTTTCTTTCTTTCTTTCTTTTTTTTTTTTTTGAGACAGTCTCATTCTGTCTCCCAGGCTGGAGTGTAGTGGCATGATCTCGGCTCACTGCAACCTCCGCCTCCT